>NW_018654717.1:3351718-3653299 GCF_000001405.40 Homo sapiens
TTCATGAGACTTTTGGAATTTGCTTTACTGCACAACTCAATCGGAAATAGAAAATAAGAAGAGATACTGTTCCTACTCCTGTTTCTTGGAACATTAGACATTGACATAATAAACAGTAACACTTATTAAAATCTCCTTTCATCTCCTTTCTGTCCTGTTTACTTCTCTCACAGTCTAAATCTGATCAGAACCTCCCTCCTTAACAAGCCCCCTCCGAAACAAATAAAACCTTCTTCAGGTAGGGGAGGGTAATGCCTCCACCTTAATCACTGTGTCCTAACTTAGATGGTTGCAACACATCTGAGATATGTGATATAGATGAGCTATGTAGATGAGAATATGAATTCCCATTCAATACATAGAAAATTTGTGGTTATTCGAGAATAAAATCCACATCCAAACATATTTCCCCCAGGTCTCGGATATTGAAAAGCAAAACATGTGGGCTGCTTTCCTCCAAGTTTAAGTTTTTAGAATCCTCTTACATGCATTTGTCAGAGTTATATTTTTGAGCATCTTCCTTGGTCCTAGGGAATGGAATTGCATCCATCTGTTATCTCAACTTGAGCTTTCCCAAAGCCTAAGGACGGTCCTTGCCTGTAAACTCCAAGATGTCATTTTCTCTGTTTCCATCACACCCACTTCATCAGTCGCTTTCCCTAATTCTCAGGGAGCCCCAGAGCATGTGCCCTTCCCCACCTTGCCTTACTCAGCCGCTCCTGGACTGTCTGTCCAACCTCATGACTCAGCCGGGCTTCACACCAGCGCCCTCAGCAAACAAACACCAATTGGAACTCTTGACCAGAATATTTCTAAATGTCAGCTTGTCCTCACCCTCCACGCAGCTGTTGCTTCTGTTCCCAGGAGCCCATTATTCCACATGGTTATGACTCAGGGCACTGAATCGCTTAAGAAAAAGAAAGTATCTGTAACAAAATGACAAGGAATTGATATATTTAACATAGTGAAAGATAACACACAAAAAAACCATGAAGACCCTCCATCAATAAGTGGATAAACGATTCCCCAAAATTAACTATAAATGATTAACAAACTCCGGTGAAATGTTCACCCTTCCAAGTAATCAAAGCAATATAAATGGAAACAATGATAAGATAAAATTTGATAACAGAGGTATTTAAAAGATAATAAACAATGCTGTCAAGGCTTAGGAAGACAGATATTCTCACACACTTCTGCTAAAGTGGAATAATCTTTGATGAAAGCAATTTCAGTGTATACACTTCCAATTTTAAGAGTCTAACATAAGGATAAAATAAGAATAAAAATATATACACAAGGATACTCATCGTTATTTGTATTAGCAAAAAAAAAAAGTGATAGCCTTAACATCTATTTTTGGACAAATGGTTGAATAAGTTCTTACTGATTATGCTGATAAAGATTTTAATGCATAAGAAAATACATATTTATGCATGTGTCATATAATTATGGAAATACAGGTAGATAAGCAGAGAAAAAAATGAAAGGGAATACACTGACATATTAACAATTATTTGAGTTTAAATGACGAAACTATGGGTGATCTTTTACCTTAAGTTTCTTATGTTGTTCAAATTTTCTCTAATAAGAATGTGTTATGTCTATAGTAAAGTGCAGACATTTTTTTAAAATTATACTTTAAGTTTTAGGGTACATGTGCACAACGTGCAGGTTAGTTACATATGTATACATGTGCCATGTTGGTGTGCTGAACCCAGTAACTCGTCATTTAACATTAGGTATATCTCCGAATGCTATCCCTGCCCCCTCCCCCCACCCCACAACAGGCCCAGGTGTGTGATGTTCCCCTTCCTGTGTCCATGTGTTCTCATTGTTCAATTCCCACCTATGAGTGAGAACATGCGGTGCTTGGTTTTTTGTCCTTGCGATAGTTTGCTGAGAATGATGGTTTCCAGCTTCATCCATGTCCCTACAAAGGACATGAACTCATCCTTTTTTATGGCTGCATAGTATTCCATGGTGTATATGTGCCACATTTTCTTAATCCAGTCTATCATTGTTGGACATTTGGGTTGGTTCCAAGTCTTTGCTATCGTGAATAGTGCCGCAATAAACATACGTGTGCATGTGTCTTTATAGCAGCATGATTTATAATCCTCTGGGTATATACCCAGTAATGGGATGGCTGGGTCAAATGGTATTTCTAGTTCTAGATCCCTGAGGAATCGCCACACTGACTTCCACAATGGTTGAACTAGTTTACAGTCCCACCAACAGTGTAAAAGTGTTCCTATTTCTCCACATGCTCTCCAGCACCTGTTGTTTCCTGACTTTTTAATGATCGCCATTCTAACTGGTGTGAGATGGTGTCTCATTGTGGTTTTGATTTGCATTTCTCTGATGGCCAGTGATGATGAGCATTTTTTCGTGTGTCTTTTGGCTGCATAAATGTCTTCTTATGAGAAGTGTCTGTTCATATCCTTTGCCCACTTTTTGATGGGGTTGTTTGTTTTTTTCTTGTAAATTTGTTGGAGTTCATTGTAGATTCTGGATATTAGCCCTTTGTCACATGAGTACATTTCAAAAATTTTCTCCCATTCTGTAGGTTGCCTGTTCACTCTGATGGTAGTTTCTTTTGCTGTGCAGAAGCTCTTGAGTTTAATTAGATCCCATTTGTCAATTTTGGCTTTTGTTGCTGTTGCTTTTGGTGTTTTAGACATGAAGTCCTTGCCCATGTCTATGTCCTGAATGGTATTGCCTAGGTTTTCTTCTATAGTTTTTATGGTTTTTCTTCTGTGGTTTTTATGGTTTTAGGTCTAACATTTCAGTCTTTAATCCATCTTGAATTAATTTTTGTCTAAGGTGTAAGGAAGGGATCCAGTTTCAGCTTGCTACATATGACTAGCCAGTTTTCCCAGCACCATTTATTAAATAGGGAATCCTTTCCCCATTTCTTGTTTTTGTCAGGTTTGTCAAAGATCAGATGGTTGTAGATATGCGGCATTATTTCTGAGGGCTCTGTTCTGTTCCATTGGTCTCTATCTGTGTTTTGGTACCAATACCATACTGTTTTGGTTACTGTAGGCTTGTAGTATAGTTTGAATTCAGGTAGTGTGATGCCTCCAGCTTTGTTCTTTTGGCTTAGGATTGACTTGGCAATGCAGGCTCTTTTTTGGTTCCATATGAACTTTAAAGTAGTTGTTTCCAATTCTGTGAAAAAAGTCATTGGTAGCTTGTTGGGGATGGCATTGAATCTATCAATTACCTTAGGTAGTATGGCCATTTTCATGACATTGAGTCTTCCTACCCATGCGCGTGGAATGTTCTTCCATTTGTTTGTATCCTCTTTTATTTCATTGAGCAGTGTTTTGTAGTTCTCCTTGAAGAGGACCTTCACGTCCCTTATAAGTTGGATTCCTAGGTATTTTATTCTCTTTGAAGCAATTGTGAATGGGAATTCACTCATGATTTGGCTCTCTGTTTGTCTGTTATTGGTGTATAAGAATGCTTGTGATTTTTGCACATTGGTTTTGTATCCTGAGACTTTGCTGAAGTTGCCTATCAGCTTAAGGAGATTTTGGGCTGAGACAATGGGGTTTTCTAGATATACAATCATGCCATCTGAAAACAGGGACAATTTGACTTCCTCTTTTCCTAATTGAATACCTTTATTTCCTTCTCCTGCCTGATTGCCCTGGCCAGAACTTCCAACACTATGTTGAATAGGAGTGGTGAGAGAGGGCATCCCTGTCTTGTGCCAGTTTTCAAAGGGAATGCTTCCAGTTTTTGTCCATTCAGTATGATATTGGCTGTGGGTTTGTCACAGATAGCTCTGATTATTTTGAGATACGTCCCATCAATACCTAATTTATTGAGAGTTTTTAGCATGAAGTGTTGTTGAATTTTGTCAAAGGCCTTTTCTGCATCTATTGAGATAATCATATGGTTTTTGTAGTTGGTTCTGTTTATATGCTGGATTACGTTTATTGATTTTCATATGTTGAATCAGCCTTGCATCCGGGGATGAAGCCCACTTGATCATGGTGGATAAGCTTTTTGATGTGCTGCTGGATTCGGTTTGCAAGTATTTTATTGAGGATTTTTGCATCGATGTTCATCAGGGATATTGGTCGAAAATTCTCTTTTTTCATTGTGTCTCTGCCAGGCTTTGGTATCAGGATAATGCTGGCCTCATAAAATGAGTTAGGGAGGATTCCCTCTTTTTCTATTGATTGGAATAGTTTCAGAAGGAATGGTACCAGCTCCTCCTTGTACCTCTGGTAGAATTCGGCTGTGAATCCATCTGGTTCTCTACTTGCTTTGGTTGGTAAGCTGTTAATTATTGCCTCAATTTCAGAGCCTGTTATTGGTCTATTCAGAGATTCAACTTCTTCCTGTTTTAGACTTGGGAGGGTGTATGTGTCGAGGAATTTATCCATTTCTTGTAGATTTTCTAGTTTATTTGCATAGAGGTGTTTATAGTATTCTCTGATGGTAGTTCTTATTTCTGTGGGATCGGTGGTGATATCCCCTTTATCATTTTTTATTGCGTCTATTTGATTCTTCTCTCTTTTCTTCTTTATTAGTCTTGCTAGCAGTCTATCAATTTTGTTGATCTTTTCAAAAAACCAGCTCCTGGATTCATTGATTTTTTGAAGGGTTTTTTGTGTCTCTATTTCCTTCAGTTCTGCTCTGATCTTAGTTATTTCTTGCCTTCTGCTAGTTTTTGAATGTGTTTGCTCTTGCTTCTCTAGTTCTTTTAATTGTGATGTTAGGGTGTCAATTTTAGATCTTTCTTGCTTTCTCTTGTGGGCATTTAGTGCTATAAATTTCCCTCTACACGTTGCTTTGAATGTGTCCCAGAGATTCTGGTATGTTGTGTCTTTGTTCTTGTTGGTTTCAGAGAACATCTTTATTTCTGCCTTCATTTTGTTACGTACCCAGTAGTCATTCAGGAGCAGGTTGTTCAGTTTCCACGTAGTTGAGTGGTTTTGAGTGAGTTTCTTAATCCTGAGTTCTAGTTTGACTGCACTGTGGTCTGAGAGACAGTTTGTTATAATTTCTGTTCTTTTACATTTGCTGAGGAGTGCTTTACTTCCAACTATGTGGTCAATTTTGGAATAACTGTAGTGTGGAGCTGAGAAGAATGTATATTCTGTTGATTTGGGGTGGAGAGTTCTGTAGATGTCTATTAGGTCAGCTTGGTGCAGAGCTGAGTTCAATTCCTGGGTATCCTTGTTAACTTTCTGTCTCGTTGATCTGTCTAATGTTGACAGTGGGGTGTTAAAGTATCGCATTATTTTGTGGGAGTCTAAGTCTCTTTCTAGGTCTCTAACAACTTGCTTTATGAATCTGGGTGCTCCTGTATTGGGTGCATATATATTTAGGATAGTTAGCTCTTCTCATTGAATTGATCCCTGACATTTTTTAAAGGTATTTGTATTGGAAATCAAAAGTCCTGCTTACTAGTCCAAGTTTTAAAAGAGTTATCAAGCTTTGTGTAATTCATGTAATCTTTCTGAGCCTAATTTTTCTATTCCAAAAGTGTGGTGGCTTTGTAATGTGTCAACTTGAGAAGAGGGAACTGGTTCCTAAAATTCATTTGTTTGTGAATTCCCAGCTGGGGCAGGTCTCGGAGATTGGGAGGGTAGAGGTAAGGCTGCAGCCATGTGGTTCTCACTCTCAGCAGGCAGGTGCAGGGGATTAGGCAGCTCCCACATGTTGTCACTCACCTGCTGGCTCAGTTGGATCCGGTGAGACAGCAATCAGTCCTCAAGCTGCTTCCCCTTCTCTCACATCCCCATTCGTCTTCTCCAAGTCCTGAACCAAGCGTATATTTACTTCTGTGATCAAGAGTGCCAGCTCCTCCTGCAGGACACCCACACCATCAAGGCCAAGGGCAACAAGAACTGACACAGGTTCAATCCATCCTTAAGGACTCCAACTTGTGCCTCTGGTTCCGTCTCATCCTGACTCTCCCCCAATTTACATATATCTTCCTTGTCCACCCTGCAGGACTCAAACCCCAGGATCAAGCACTAAGAAAACAGCCAGAGAGAGACTTTTCCAATCACCTCCCACAACTGGGTAAGGTCAAATCCTTATAATACATAATAAATAAGCGCATACCTAGCGGCCATGCTTCTCCAATTGAACCATGACTGATATAAGAAAGACGTGGGACTTATTTATTCAAGTCCATGTTTCCATCCAGCCCTGAATTAAGACATGGGGATTTATTTATTAAAGTGTAAGTTTCGTTCCAACCCTAAACTAGAGCATTTTAAAGTAAACTCAAAGTCTCTCTACATCCGTAATCAATAGAAAATCCAGAGACACATCCACTCTACACAAAATTAACAACTGCTGGTTGGACAGTTCAGGGGGAGGTGCCAAGCACACATGGGTATCACCCCTCCTCCCGAAATCCCATGAAAAAGATGACAAAAAGAATTTGAAAGGTATAAACACATAAGAGTCAAGAGAATGGCAGGAGAGCTAACAGTAGGTAAAGAGTTTTAATGGACTGCTAGAAGACATAAAGCAGATGGAAGAATGATGAGAAATAAAGGGAAAAGAAGGAAAGTCAGCCTGGAATATAAACGAAGGGGCTGCATGACCTGAAAAAACTCTACTCTGTACTCTGAGATAGCAGGTGACATGAGGCAGTGGTGTGAGAAGTGGTGCTGAGGAGTAATTGAAGGCCTGCAGATGGAGCATGTAGACAGCCCAACCTCCAACTCTTCCCTACCACAGCGCACAAATCTGCCGTAACCGGGAACTTCTCCTACCAAAAATTGAGGACAGTTGATTTTCTCTTTCACTTCTTTTTATTGTGATAAAATACACATAACATAAAATTCATATTCTTAACTATTTTTAAATGTGCAGTTCAGTCGTGCAGGTCAGTGTTTTTGGGTTTGTTGTTGTTGTTGTTTTTGAGACAGGGCCTTGCTCTGTCTCCCAGTGCATTGGCACAATCATAGCTCACTGTAGCTTCCACCTCCCAGCTAAAGCAATCCTCCCATCTCAGCCTCCCAAGTAGCTGGGACTCCAGGTGTGCATCACCACGCCTGACTAATTTTTTTTTTCTTTTTTTTTGGAGATGGGATCTCACTATGTTGTCCAAGCTGGTCTCAAACTCCTGGCCTCAAGCAATCTCCCCTCCTCAGCCTCCCAAAGTGCTGGGATTGCATGAGTCACTGTACCTGACCCCAGTTCAGTGTTTTAAAATATACTCATAATGGTTTTTTGCAGGTTTTTTTTCTTTTTCTTTTATTTATTTTTTATTTTTTTTTTTGAGATGGGGTCTCTCTGTCACCCAGGCTGAAGTGCAGTGGCAGGATTACAGCTCACTATAGCCTCAAGTGATCCTCCCATCTCAGCGTCCCAAGTAGCTAGGACTACAAATGCATGCCACCACACCCAGACAATACATTCGTAATGTTGTGGCAACCGTCACCACCATCCATTTCCTTAACTCATTTAGTCTTGTAAGACCAAAACTCTATATCCTTTAAACAATAACTTCCCATTCCGCCCTCTCTCCAGCCCCTAGCAACCACCATGCTACTTTCTGTCTCTGTGATTTTGACCACTCTAAGTAATCTCATCTAAGTGGAATCATACAGTATTTGTCTTTTTGTGACTGGCTTCTTTCACTGAGCATCAGGTTCTTAAGGTTCATCCATGTTATAGCATATTGCAGAAGTTTCTTCCTTTTTAAGGCTGAATAATATTTCATTGTATAGCTCACACTTTGCTTATTCATTCATCCATCGATGGACAGTTGGGTTGCTCCCACATTTTAGCTATTATAAATAATGCTGTTATTAACATGTGTATGCAAATATCTCTTCAAGATCCTGCTTTCAATTCTTTTGAGTATATACCCAGTGGTGGAATTGCAGGATCATATGGTAATTCTATGTTTAGCCTTTTGAGGAACCACAATGCTGATTTTCATCATGGCTGCACCATTTTATATTCCCACCAACAGCACACAAGCATTCCAATTTCTTCACATCCTTGCTGACATTTATTATTTTTTATAGTAACCATCATAATGGATAGAGATGTTCTTAATTTTTTAAAAAATAAAGATATTTAAGAATTTTTTTAAAAAGTTATTCTCAACTTTAAAAACCATCTGGGGAAAATTAGAGGACCTAATAAGGAGTGTAACCAGAGTCAAGCCCTGCATCCAATTCCATGTAGAGGTGCCCCAGCATAACAGCCTGTTCCCCACCTGTCCCATTAAAAAGGCTGACAGTCAGCAACCCAGGTTCTAGACACAGAGCTCTCAATTCAGTCTCTTTATTGCTTTGGTTTTACACATAGACAATGCACCTAATATTTGCAATGTAAAATTAAAAATCAAGCAGTAACCCCCTCCCCCAAAAAACAGAGCACAGATAATTCAGGATACAGAAGATTACTGAAAACACAAGCAAAACAAAATCTGTAAAACCCAGAATTATATTCTATGAATAAATGAGCCATGAGGGAATAAGAAAGAGCTCTTTGAATTAAAAAATGTGGCTACACAATTGCAGAAATTTAAAGAATGCAATGGAAGGATTGAAAGATAAATTTGGGAGTATCTCTTAGTGTATAAGAAAAAAAGATTTTAAAATATGAAAGAAACTTTAAGAGCAAGGGATCAATACGTGTAGTCCAACATCAGATTAACAAGGATTTTGGAAAGAAATGCAGAGAGGAAGAAACTAGCTAGGAAATAATAAGAGAGAATATACCAGAGTTGAAGAAGGACACAAGTTATTAGATTAAACAGAGATTCCTCTAAGTAAAGGCTCGAAGGATGAAAAAAGACTTCTACCTAGATATGGCATTATGAAATTTCAGAATACTAGGGATAAAGAGATAGTAAACATATGCAGAAAAAAAGAAAAGAAAAAAAAAAGGTTTCTTCCTAAAAGAGAACAGAAGTTAGCTTGGCATCAGACTTATCAGCATCGGTGAATCAGGAACTCAAGGGAGCAAGCTCTAAAGGAAAATTATTTCCAACTTAGAATTCCATATCCAGGATGAAGGTAAAATGGACACTTCAAAGTAGGCAAGGAGTCCAAAGTTTACCTCTCATAATCCCTTTCTTAGGGAGCTACTTGAAATTAGAGCCCAGATAAAATAAGAGTATAAAACAAGAAATAAGTCATGTATTCAGGAGACCAACCAAATTCAACCCCAGAGAGCAGCGAGTAGAGATCTAGATTGGAATAGAAAGACAGAGGGTTCTGGGAATTAACAGCAACAAGAAAAGTATGATTTAAAGTTAGAAAAAGTTGAGGCTTTGATAAAGGCAAGTACTGGAGTATTAAAAATATGTATTTGAACTAAATGTTAGTCACAGTCTCCACTGAAAGGCAGAGTAGTGATAACATTAGACCTACAGAGAATAAACCCTAGTATAGTAATGTGCATATCAGTAAACAACATTTACATGCTTAGAGTAATATAAATAACACTTCCTTTTTTTTTTTTTTTTTTGAGGCGGAGTCTGACTCTGTTGCCCAGGCTGGAGTGCAGTGGCACGATCTCGGCTCACTGCAACCTCCATCACCCGGGTTCAAGTAATTCTGCTGCCTCAGCCTCCCAAGTAGCTGGGACTACAAGCACGCACCACCACGCCCGGCTAATGTTAGTATTTTTAGTAGAGATGAGGTTTCACCATATTAGTCAGGCTGTTCTCGAACTCCTGACCTGAGGTGATCCACCTGCTTCAGTCTCCCAAAGTGCTGGGATTACAGGTGTGAGCCACCTCACCTGGCCTAACACTTGCTTATTGCTTATAAAATCCACATACAGAGAAATCCTGGGCAAATCTATGATGGTTACAGAATACAATGAAGCAAGTACCAACCCTGAAGTGGCAGGAAGTGGGGCGAGTCAGAAGGAAGGATGTGAGCAGAAATTGCCTTGCCTTACAGAGTGAAGAATCAGGATACAGTGGACAAAATAAGACATGAAGTGTAAGGATGTTGTTTCAGGCTGCACACGTGTCCCAGAGAAGAAGAAACCAAGCATCGTGATAGAACTCTGTTGAGCCAGGCAAAGTATGAATGGTCTGATCTTCCTCCATCATGGAAAGAAACTTATACTGATTCATCAAGAAGCAGGGATAGAAGCCTGTTTATATTGTTATTTATTTTAGAGACTATAAAAGTGACTAACCAAAAGAACCAAAACAGGGATGGTTGGGAAAAACGTGGTTATCTTTGGGCAGTGAGGCCACCTTGACTGGAAGACTGCCCAAGAGTGAAGGTGACAAAGGAACCAAGATCAGGAGACCAAGAAAAGAGGACAATCCAGATCCAACAATATCGCTAGAGTCCCTTGGTCAAGCTGAATATGGAAATGAGCTTTTCCCTATGTAAGCCAATAAAGTCTGCTTTTGAGTTGGGTTTCTGGAACTTGCCATTAAAAATGCCCAATACATGCCAACTACTCCTCCCCTTTCCCTCCCACCTCCCCTCCAGTTAAGGTCTTTGCCTTCTCATCTTTATAAACTTGCATTGCCAGATGCCTTGTGTATATATTTACATAAGAAGTTCAAAGTTCCTAGGTATGCGAGTTAATAGTGGAATTATTTAATTGATAAGTCCAAGTTTATCTAGCAGTGCTGTAAGGAAGTCCAGGTGCAGTCGCTTATGCCTGTAACCCCAACACCTTGGGAGGCCGAGGCAGGAGGATCGCTTGAGTCCAGAAGCTCAAGACCAGCCTGAGCAATATAGTGGAGACCCCGTCTTTAAAATTTTTTGTTTAATTAGCTGGGCATGATGGCAGATGCCTGCAGTTCCAACTACTCTGAAGGCTGAGACAGGAGGATCACTTGAGGCCAGGAATTGGAGGCTGTAGTAAGCTATGATTTCACCACTGCATTCTAGCCTGGATGATGGAGCAAGACCCTGTTTCTAAACAAGAATAAAAATAAACAGTAATTTTTTTTTTTTTTTGAGACTGAGTCTCTCTTTGCTGCCTATGCTGGATTGCAGTGCTGCGATCTCAGCTCACTGCAACCTCCACCTCCCAGAGTCAAGCAATTCTCCTGCCTTAGCCTCCTGGGTAGCTGGGATTAGAGACACCCACCACCACTCCTGGCTATTTTTTATTTTTTTATTTTTTATTGTTAGTAGAGATGGGGTTTCACCATGTTGGGCCAGGCTGGTCTCGAACTCCTGACATCAAGTGATCTGCCCGCCTCGGCCTCCCAAACTGCTGGGATTACAGGTGTAAAAGATTTTTAAAAGTAAGGAGGAGGCCGAGGTGGGAGGATGGCTTGAGCCCAGGAGTTCAAGTTAGGCAACATGACAAAATCCTGTCTCTGCAAAAAATATAAAAATTAGTTGGGCATGGTGGCATGTGCCTGTAATCCCAGCTACTTGGAGGTTGAGGTGAGAGAATCACCTGAGCCCAGAAGGCCAAGGCTGCATTGAGCCATGATGAAGCCACTGTACTCCAGCCTGGGCGTCGGAGTGAGACCATGTCTCAAAAAAAAAAAAAAAAAAAAGGAGGCAATGATGATTTGAAGCGACCAGATTGTCTGCCTCAGTTGAGTTTCTGGGTTTGGAGCCTCTCTGGTAGCCACAACAAGAATATTCTTGGATTGAGCCCCAAAGTTCTGCTGGTTGAACAAAATGCATGGCTGTCTTCTTCCATTTTTAGAATCATAGAGTCCTGGAATACCAGAAATGAAAGGGTTTTAGAGATCACCTAGTGTAACACCCCCATTTTTACACATGAGAAACTGGGACCCTGGGAGCTTCCATGGTTTGCTCAGAGGACACTCTGAGGGTGAGTGGCAGAACCAAGACTGGAAGCTGGGTTTCTCCAGGCTCACAGTCCCTGGCTCCTTGTGTTGAGTCTTTGGGGAGGAGGAAGAAAAATGAGAGCAAAATGATAGGGTCAGGACTGCAGAATCAAATGAGAAGCACCAACCGAGATAGGAAGGTTTCTTGAATGACAATGACTGACACCTGGGTCTATGCAGGGGGCCTCCCTGCTCAGGACTTTCTCTGAGTGTGGCCCAGGCTAAGGAATTCTGAGGCCCTTCTGATGCTAAGACCTTGGATCTGGGAGACTAAGACATGTGGACTGGTAAATCCTTCCTGTGTCTTCTAGGTGTGCAGAAGCGCACAAGGACACCTCCCAGCTGGCGTCATTGAGGCCGGCAGCATTTTGACATGTGGGTCAGGGTTCTCTGGGTCATACTGTCATGTTTTGAACTCTTTTCTGTTGGAGAAAATTTTACCATTTTTTCAAACCCAATCAATAGTATGGTATAGTCTTGTTTAAATGTCACATAATCGCACTGAAGAAACATCTAAAGGAGAAAAAAAGAACTACCTTTAGCCTCACAACCTTCACCCTATAACTGACTTCCCTTTTGCTTTTTCTCTTCTGGCCCTTGTCCATGTGCACACATAATTTTGCTTGGTTGTAATGAGAAGACACATACAATTTTGTATTAAAGCAATAAAGTTTTAATGATGTATAGATATACAAAGAAAATAGCTATAAAGCAATATTTATGCAGGTTTGTAGGGGAAAAATCCATTTTAAAGGAGACAGTATGGAATAATAGAACATCTTAGAGTAGTCCATTTGGGATAGTGCTTATAAGACTTTAATAACATTTCTTCTCTTTCCTTTTTATATTGTTCCTTAACCAAGTCATGATGAAATAAATGTTATATATGTTCAGCTTATATTTGTGCCATTTGATTTTTAAAACAATCATGGTGCTTCACAAGAAAAAAAAATATCATAGATCTTGGTGACTTCCACCCCAGTGAGAGGCCAGTTTTCCATAGCATTTGGTTTTATGTAAGCAAAGCCTAATTTTTGTATCCTCTGTCTTGCCATGCAAAATCAGCCAACCTCAAGTAATAAGCAAACAAGCATCGACCTATTATTTACTGTGCATCTAGTGCTGGTCATTATAAGGTTCACAAAATGGTAGACCTTTGCCCACAAGGTCCTTTCAAACTCCTTGAAAAATGGAGGCAAAAGTACATTATTGAACTCTCAGTGAATTGACCTGATGTATTATATATTTAATTGTCTGTTTGTTTTCTGTCTATATTCTCCTTATACTGTAAGAAACATTTGCTATTCCTAATTCTGGAGGCTGGGAAGTCCAAGATCAAGGTGCCCGCAGATCCAGTGTCTGGTGAGGGTTGCTTCCTGGCTTGTAGACAGTTGTCTTCTCTCTGTATCCTCACAGAGCAGAGGCAGTGAGTGAGCTCTGGTTAGATCATCTCTTTATAAGGACACCGGTTCCACCATGGGGGCTCAACCCTGTGACCTCTTCCACACCCAATTACCTCCTAGAGGCCCCATCTTCAAACACCACCGCACTGGGAACTAGGGCCTCAACATGTGAATTTGGGAGGGAACATTCAGTCCAAACCACCCTCCTGCATGCCTGCCCACTGTGGCTCCCACTGTGTGGCTGACTGCCATTTTCTGTTGCACTCATGCTGGGGCTGCATCCTAGCTGCTAGCTTTCTTGCTGTCTCTCCAATTCCAGACTTTAAACGAACTGGTCTTTCTCATTGATGTACCTCCAATAGCATAAGACAGATTGTATTATGTGAGAAGAGGGGTGGTCTTTGTACCTCTTATAACACTTCCACATGGACACACTAATGAGAAGGCTAATGGATACATGAACACTCTGGCTTCCCTAAAATGCAGGCACTGATGGCACCTGTCCCTGTGATTGTGTATTCATCAGGATAATTCATAAAAAGCACAATCTACTTTCCCCAGTTTTAACAGGAAGGGATTTACAACAAGGAATCATATGCCTGGCTCACTGTATCAAAGATAGACTCTACACTGAGTGTATTAGTCCGTTCTCACACTGCTAATAAAACTTACCTGAGACTGGGTAATTTATAAAGGCAAGAGGTTTAATTGACTCAACAGTTCAGCACGGTTGGGGAGGCCTCAAGAAACTTACAATCATGGTGGAAGGTGAAGCAAACACATCCTTCTTCACATGATGTCAGGAAGGAGAAGTGCAGAGTGAAGTGTGTTGGGGGAAGCCCCTTATAAAACCATCAGATCTCATGAGATGTCACTCACTATCATAGGAACAACATGGAGGTAACTGCCCCCATGCTTAAATTACCTCCCACCAGGTCCCTCTCATGACACATGGGGATTATGCGAACAACAATTCAAGACAAGACTTGGGTGGGGACACAGCCAAACCACATCACTAAGCTACCAGAAGCAACTCCCAAAGTCACAGCACAGAACTGTACCACCAAGTTTCCTGCCACAATCAAGAAATTCCTGGTCAAATCAGGAAGCTACCACTACAACCAATGAATCCAAAGCAACACCACATTGCTGCAGTCCAGTCCCCTGCCCTTCTCGGCTCCAAATTCAAGTCTCCCCCTGGTGTAGCTGGTTGATATCATCTACATCACAACCAGAGATGTAGCTGCAAGGGAGTTTGGAAGTGTCATTCTTAGCTTCCCAGACTCTAGAATAATAGGGACTCTAGAGGACCAGAGGTTGAAATAAAGGCTAAGGGATCCCAGCCATGCTATCTTCCACACTGAGAGAGAGGGAGATACGGTTTGGAAATTTCTCCCTTTCAAATCTCATGTCATAATTTGATTTCTGCTATTGGAGGTGGGGCCTAGTGGGAAGTGTTTGGGTCATGGGAGCAGATGCTACATGTACATCTTAGTGTCATCCTCAGAGAAATGAATGAGTTCTCACTCTATTAGATCACATGAGAGCTGGTTGTTTAACAGAGCATGACACCTCCCCCCGCCTCCTGTGCCCTCTCTCGCCATGTGACATGCTGGCTCCCTTTGCCTTCTGCCAAGAGTAAAAGCTTCCCAAGGTCCTCACCAGAGGCCAAGCAGATGCCTGCAGCCTGCAGAACCATGAGTCAAATAAACCATTTTTCTTTATATATACCTCAGTTATTCCTTTATAGTAGTGCGAAACAGACTAACACAGACGGAAATGCACCAAAATTAAGGAGTGGCCTTGTGTGCTCCCTATCTACTCATTTTAGTTACAGCAATTAATCCTCTATAGGTCAACAAACATTTACTGAACCTCTACTATCAGGAACTGCGCTCTGGGCTGAGAACATCAAGATGACTCCCACACTGAGGTTGCCTCTAAGGAGCTTGCAGTCTAGTGGGAAAATCAATTTGATGAACCAGTGGTTACAACACAGAGAAGGGTTTCTAGCAGAGATTTGCACAAAGCGCCAAGGGACCCCAGATGAAGCCATGCACTCTGGATTCCTCTCCTCTGAGAGGATCAACCAGGTGTCTACTGCTTCTTTTGATGTCCCCTGCTTTTCCCCAAGTGTTTTCTCTGAATGAGCTCTGGGGTCAGAGTCAAGGCAATCAGAGTTATAAATCACATGAAAGCTGGCCGAGCTGCCTCAAGTCCTGTTTTGTTGTCATTGTTTTAACAAAGCACTGAAATGACTTTCCTCAAGCCAAAACTCTTTCAGCACGTATTGATACAGCTTTTTTCATACATGCATTTACATGTGTGTTTATGTAGTTCTGCTCGTATCTATGTGCAAGCATCATTTGCGTACATATCCAGCCCATCCTTTGTGTACATCTGTACCCTTGAATGTTTGTGGGGTCACATGTATTTGCATGGAGCTGTGATTCCACATGGGAGTGTCTGTGTGCATGGTATTTCAGCTTGCTTGTTGTTTGTAAAAACACATGAATGTAGATGAAAGTTTGAGGAAGGTCAAATAAAAATAAATAAATTCAGGGAGGCATCAAGGAAGAGAGGCGCAGGCACCACACGTAAGTGGGTCTCACAGTGAATGGTGAAAGTGGCCTTAAGGGCATCTTGTTTTCTTTCTAGAGCTATCTTAGAAATTCTCTTGTATTATTTCCATGTAAAAGGACCCTTGAGTACAAGACTAGTCCCTGAACAGCACCCAACCCCCTGCTCATCTCCTACCTTCTATACTGTGTGTTCCTGGAGAACAGAAACGGATCTTTTTCATCTCTGGAGCCACAGTGCACAATGTCCACCACAAAAGTGGTGTTCAAGAAAGAAACCAGGAGGGAGGCAGAGAGGGAGGGAGAAAACAAGGGAGGGAGGAGGGATTGAGGGAGGAGGGAAGGGGCAGGCTGAGGGGAGGAGGAAATCAGCCCTATTCATCATGGGTGGACAATTAGCCCATGGTAATAGAACTGAGCTAATAAATTGCTGGATAAGATAGATGAGCACTAACCCACTGGAGCAAAGGGTGACCCCCTCTCCGACCCACCCTCATGTCTTCTTGGTCCGAGTAAGCTGCTCCCCTGACCCATCCGTGGACTCTTGGCCCTCGGGATGGGGGAGGCCCTTGAGTTGACCTC
This sequence comes from Homo sapiens, assembly GCF_000001405.40. NCBI lineage: Eukaryota > Metazoa > Chordata > Mammalia > Primates > Hominidae > Homo > Homo sapiens. The sequence continues at coordinate 3,368,074 of NW_018654717.1, forward strand.
CATGAAGTGCATTTATCTACACAGATGCCTGGGCTGCAGTAGTGTGGGCAAAGCTCCAGCTGTGGGCTGAGCCTGGGTCTTTTCTTGAGGTCCTGCTTCTCTGAATGACTTTGGGTAAATCACTTAATCTCTCCGGGCCTCACCTGCAAGCATCCTTATCCCTTAAATGATGTATTGTGTGAGCTCTAAGGTTCTTTCCTGCCCCAGAATCCTGCGATGCCCTGCAGTGCCAGCCAATTCCTGCCTCCCCTGCCATCATGGAGGCTCTGGGTTCTGTTTGTGACAAAGGCCTTGGGAATGTGGCCCTTCCCCTCCAGCCACTGCCTCCTCCCTGGACAGTCTCCAGTTCTTGGTAGCCACACAGGCCTAATATTTGAGGAAAACAGTACCACCTCCTGACAAGCAGACAGGATCAAAAACCAAGGTATCCGTACTTAAGCACAGGCAAGCACCAAATCTCAGGCCAGATACAGAGGTCGGCATTGGAGGTTGCTCCAGCAAGTCTATGCCCAATATAATTAAATCCACCCAATCCCAGGCCCAGTCCTTTCTTAGTCAAGCGTGCTCCCGGGGCTGCACAGACACCAGCAAATCCTTCCTAGGTTCCCTTGGCTACTCTGGAAGTCCTCTCCTCAATGCAGCCCCCTTTCTCTTCTCTGTCCTACTTCTCCCAATGGGTTCCCAGTTTCTCCACGTCCTTTTTACTAAGAGAGCATGAGCATGAAGGCCTCTCTTCAGGGAAGGGAAGACACTTCTCGCATTTATCCATTGCACGGACACATTAGCTGCTAGTGATTAAAGAGATCACAGGATCCACTCTCATTTTCAACTTCCCAGGGCACAGGAGAATAGAACAGAGGAGGCTGGCTGCTTCATCTGAGACTGGAAGGGGAGAAGGTGAGTGCAGATGAAGATATTTGCCTTGGGGAGGGAAGAGGGCAGGAAGTCAACTAATATTAATGTTCAAAGCACTTAAGAGCGTTCTGAGAAGGGTCCCCAGGATTAATGCATCCCATCCCTCTCCTAAAGGACTTTCCTGTCTAGTGAGGGAGACTGGCACATGAGATATAAATGGTAATTTGCATAAAGCATCCTGGAAAAAACTGCCTAATGCAGCCTACTGAGGGAGTTCCAATAACGGAGTCATTGATTCTGTCTGGAGAAGAATCAAGATAGGCATCCAAGAGGAAGTAGAACTTGAAGACTTTCAGAGGTTTCTGTCTTGTTGACTAGCAATAATAATAATATGCTACACCTTTGCTGCACCTTGTGGTTTACAAAGCAGCCTTGTGGCCTTTGTTCCATTTGATTCCATTTGTTTACGGGTATCCATGCACTTCCACAGCCATTGAGCCTGCTACGCAGCAGGCACAGCTATGGCTCCTAAGATGAAAAAGCGTAGTGTTGGCTCTCCAAGGTTTCAGAAGGGAAGCAAACAAACAATAAGAACGAGGCTAAGTATGAGTTCTGAAGGGATGCATCAAGTTATTGTGGTGACAAAAGGGAGTGTGGAGCTTAACCCAGGGTTGAGCGTGGAGAGAAAGTTTGGAGATGGAATTAAGATTAGAACGCTTTAGTGGATGCTAGGAATGAGCAGGATGTATAGGGTAACCAGAGGGTCAAGATGGAAGAGAACATTCTGAAACAGCACAAGCAAAGGCAGTGACTGAGCATAGTTAGATGAGTATAGGGAGGAGATGGGGACAGAAGAGCTAAAGATACAAGCAGGGGGGGCACAGTGGCTCACACCTGTAATGCCAACACTTTGGGAGACTGAGGCAGCCAAATTGCTGAGCCCAGGAGTTTGAGACCGGCCTGGGCGACATATCAAAACTCCGTCTCTACAAAAAATACAAAAAATTAGCCAGGCATGGTAGCTCACACCTATAGTCCCAGCTATTTGGGAGGCTGAAGTAGGAGAATCACCTAAGACCAGTTGAGGCTACTGTGAGCCAAGATCATGCCATTGCACTCCAGCATGAGTGACAGAGTGAGACCCTGTCTCAAAAAAATAAATGAAAATAAAAATAAAAAAGATACAAGCAGATGCAAGATCACCCCCCAGGGCAATCCTGGAGCACAAAGGGCAGTAGAGACAACATCAGAATTACTTGAAGAGCTTTTTTAAAATATACACATCCTGGCCAGGCATGGTGGCACACACCTGTAATCCCAGCACTTCGGGGGCTGAGGTGGGAGGATCCCTTCAGGCCCAGAGTTCGAGAACATCCTGGGCAACATAGCAAGATGCTGTCTCTACAAAAAATTTAAAAATTTCCCAGACATTGGCAGGGCATGGTGGCTCATGCCTATAATCCCAGCACTTCGGGAGGCTGAGGTGGGTGGATCATGAGGTCAAAAGATTGAGACCTTCCTGGCTAACACGGTGAAACCCAGTCTCTACTAAAAATACAAAAAATTAGCTGGGTGTGGTGGCAGGCACCTGTAGTCCCAGCTACTCGGGAGGCTGAGGCAGGAGAATCACTTGAACCCGGGAGGCAGAGGTTGTAGTGAGCCAAGATCGTTCCACTGCACTCCAGCCTGGGTGACACAGTGAGACTCTGTCTCAAAACCAAACCAAACAAAAAAATTTCCCAGTCATGGTGGTGTGTGCCTGCAGTCCCAGCTACTTGGGGCGCTGAGATGGGAGGACTGCTTGAGCCTAGGAGTTCGAGGTTGCAGTGAGCTATGATTATACCATTGCACTCTAGTCCAGACCACAGAACCAGAACCCAAGAACCTGTCTCTGAAAAAAGAAAAAAACAAAACAAAACCACACATCCCACATCCCCATCTCCCCTTCCCCAGATCCTAGGATTCCTTGGAAGGAGGTACCTGCAGTGGTCTCACAAACTCCTTTTGAAAATAAGAAATAAAACTGAGCAGTATTCTCCATGCAATTCTGATTTCTAAGCCATCCCCTTCATCCCCTGGGTTAAGATGACTGCTGAAATGCATTTCAGCGTCTCCCTATCACTCCCTAAATCAAGAAGAGGATTCTCTTCCTGTCTCCTGGCCTTCTGGTTAGAATTAACTATGCTGGGCCCAGTGCTACCCACCTGTAGCCTGAAATTTTGGGATTCATGCTCTGTTTTACATCTCCTCTACAGCAGCACCATTAACCAGGCCTCTGTTGAATGACTTCTGTTGACTCTGTGTATTAGTCTGTTTTTACATTGCTGATAAAGACATACCCATACAAGAAAATTTACAAAAGACACAGGTTTAATGGACTCACCGTTCCATGTGGCTGGGGAGGCCTCACAATCATGGTGGAAGGTGAAATGCACTACTTACATGGTGGCAGACAAGAGAACAGAACTTGTGCAGGGAAACTCCCCTTTACAAAACCATCAGATCTCGTAAGACTTATTCACTATCATGAGACTAGCATGGGAAAGACCCGCCCCCATGATTCAATTACCTCCCACTGGGTCCGTCCCACAACACATGGGAATTGTGGGAGCTACAGTTCAAGATGACATTTGGATGGGAACACAGCCAAACCGTGTCACTCTGCTAGACCCTCTGGCTCTGACCCCTGGCCTGTCTAGATTTCTGATAGCTCCCAAGCCCTGTCTACACCTGTCTATCAGTCTGTGCATTGACTCAACAGCTTGGGTTAGGGTCAGCTTAGTCTCATCCCTGGTCCTAGTCAGCCCTATCAATTGCATCACCTGTCCCAAGATGGCAGATTGAAGCTTCCCAGGTTTCACAGGGACTGCAGGATGACTGGCAAGTCTTTTCAGTGGAAGAGGGAGGGACTTCTTTCCAAACACGAGAATGAGAATATACAAAGGAATAAAAAACATAACATAACAAGTCTTAAAAGAATTTGGGACTTGAGAAACTGCAAAAAAACACAGTGTGGCTGCAGCATGTGGCACGAAGCAAGGGGCAGGGAGGATGACGCTGGGAAGCCAGCACAGAATGAGCCCTGGAAGGGCCTTATTTACAGAAGATCTGCCCGTGGGATATAAAACACTTCCATATGTGATCATTTGGGGGTTGTCAGTCAGCTTTCTAATCTCTGAATTATTGGGCTTCTGTTTTCTTAGAAAGTTTCTCAATGGTAAAGTTGTCATTTAAAATTAAGTTGGGTCCCAATAAATAATATAGTGAGTATCTAGTGACACTAAGGATAGTAGAGAGAGGTTGAACTTGAGATTTATGAAAGAAGCAAAATCAGGAGGCTGTTGTGAATCATTGAGGGGATATATTAGCCAAGGATACTTTTGATTACCAGAACATTCAACACAAACTGGCATAAGCGAAAAGGAAACTGGTTTGCTCATGTAATGGGAAAAGTGCAGCAGTAAAGTGGGCTTCAGATGTGCTTCACTGAGAGGGACCCTGGGCCCCGACTCTTTCTCTGTGATCCACTGGGCTCTGCCTCCCTCGGTGATGGGCTGTGTCCTCCTGCTGGGTTTCTTCATGGTAGTCAAAAGGCTGAACTTGTTTCAACCTCATAGTTGTGCACCACCTTCTTCAAAGCAAAAAAGAGGTTTTCCTTTCTTCAGCTATCACACAAAAGCCATTCATTTACTCTATTTGGACCAGTCAGAACCAATCTCAGGGCCAGGGGAGGGCCACACAATGAATGATGTGGACCAACCTCTAAGCCAATTTCTATGGCAAGAGAGATGAAAACATTAAAGGATTTGTTCAAGGGCCTTGGACTAATCAGGGCCCACCATGTGGGCTAGGGGTAGAGTAAACTCTGCTGCAACTGCATAGCAAATACCCAGGGAGGCAGGTGGGAGAGGAGTAATTCCACAAATTAAAATCTGGGCACTGTGAGCAAGAGGAGAGAGAAGGAATGGATATTGGGTAAGAAGCCAACCCTTGTCCATGCTAGAGGGTGAGGAAGGAAAGACTAGGGACTCTCTGGCTCTGAGACTGTGGATGTTAAACAACCTTAACAAAGCCTGGAGATACAGAAGAATTAAGTTTGGGGGCAGGCAGAGAGTTGAGGGAGAATAATAAATTTGTTATTGAATTTTAAGTGACTAAAGGACACAGGTATAAGTGGAGATGTTTGATGATCAATTCTGGATGTTTCCAGGAACCTCACACCAGGGAAACCACCACTAAATGATCCCACTGTTTATCCCAACACTGTGCCGAGTCTCTTTAGAGTTTTGAAAAACTCCACAGTTATTGATTAGCCGTTAGTGATTCCCTCCGTCCCGGCATAATTATTTCCTCTTCTTTCGTGCAACAACCTCCAAATAACTGGAAATGGGGCTGAGCAGGTGCAGATTGGAAGACAAAACACCCCTCTTAATGTGAAAAATTAATTTGTGGCTCTAATTGCTTCAAACTCCAAAGGAAAAAAGAAAATCTCCATTCTCCCAGCATTCAAAATAGAACACAGGCTTTATTTGAATAAAGAAAATAATCTGTCAAGGGAAAAATAAGGACTTATGCTGCTCAGATGTCAATCTTAACAACATTGTAAAGGAAAAGCAGGTTTAATTACAGTCAAATCTACATAGAATCACTTTTGAATGGTGTGCACAGGAGCCTAAAGGTCTAAGATTTAGACGTGACAAGATACTTCAACAAAGGCTGGTGGAAACAGCCAAGTGTCGCGGGGTGGGGTGGGGGAGGCTTGACTCTGGACTGGAGTTGTGCCATACGGAATAGAGGGGGCCAAAGAAAAATATTCTCAAGTTGCCTTTTGAATCTATTAAATCATCACAGAAAATTAAATCTAGACTCTCTTCCCCAAAGTATTTTATTTTCTAGAACACAGCCTTAATGGTTGTCCTGTATCCTTGTGAAGAACACACAAAGAAATGGCCTGGAATTTTCCAGTTTACCAATGTTAAAACAGAGGCTAAGAGAAAGGGCCCATCCGAAGCGATCCAGAAAGCCAGTGGTGACTCTGAACGTGAGGAGCTAGAGCGATACCGCATCTCAGAAGCCAGGCCTCAGAGCCATCAACCAAAAACAGAAGGCAGTTAGTGTCGCTCCACAGAACATAAGCCTACCCTTACCCATCTTTCCTAAGCCTTCCCCTCCCATTCCCCCAAAAAAAGAATTTGCAGAGAAAAGTAACCCATGTCCTCCTAGCGAAGCAATTTCTCTGCACCAGGGTCTGTAAACATTGGAGGGAGGATCTAGACAATTCAAAAGAATATATGCTTTACTAAGCTTAAAGGGACGTACCTCACAGGGCACCTGCGGGTCTGCAGCCAGATGGGTGCCCTCTGGCCCTGTGCCCAGGCCACTCTGCCCAGGCAGTGCAAATGGCCTCTCTTCAGCTCCCATCACTAGTCTAATCATGACTATCCTAGCTCCCTAAGGGGAAAAAAAAAGTTTCTTTTTTTCCTTTCTCTCTCTCTCTCTCTCTCTTTTTTTTTTTTTTTTAAGACAGAATCTCGCTCTGTTGCCCAGGCTGGAGTGCAGTGGTGCAATCTCGGCTCACTACTGCAACCTCTGCCTCCCAGGTTCAAGCGATTCTCCTGCCTCTGCCTCCTGAATAGCTGAGATTACAGGTGCCCACCACCACACCTGGCTAATTTTTGTATTTTTAGTAGAGATGGGGTTTCACCATCTTGGCCGGGCTGCTCTCGAACTCCTGACCTCACGATCCACCCGCCTCGGCCTCCTAAAGTGCTGGGATTACAGGTGTGAGCTACTGCACCTGGCCAAAAAAACACGTTTCTATGCCTTCTCTGTTCTTGTTTTCTTTCCCTTCTCTTTCTATTCATAGAAAAGCCACTGGAGGAACTCAGTTCTTGGTACTGTGTATGTCTCCCCACTCCTGTGTTACATCTCCTGAGATCTTTAGGAGCATCAAGAAAACACTGGAAAATCCAAAAAGGATAATAGAACCTATAAATATATCAAGGCAGTAAACTGGGTCTATTATCAACTCCGAAAACAAGGGCTGAGTCACACGTAGCATACGCAGACAGGAGTACTTCATGCTAGGAATGTCTTCCCTTAGGACAATGTTCAGGGACCAGAATGGGGCCTGCAGAAGTCAGAACATTCCAGCTGCTTCACAGATCATTCTCCAGGAACCCCTGAAGAGGTTCCCTAACTGAGGCTAGTATGAAGACAACAGAAACACTGGTTGCCAATCAATGACTGTGCACCATAGAATGACAGTTACACACGCTTCGTTATGCAATTAACATGAATATAATCCTACAAACAACAATAAGAAGTATGTACAGGCTTCTGATATTAACTTCCAGTCTCCCAGCATTAAGTCAGACATGACAAGGAGTTGCTTTTGTCTCATCCCGTAGGGACTCGTTTTCTTCCCACATTATCCAGTCTCTGTGATCTCTGTGTCCCAGGCTGCTCTTGTTCCCTGCCAGTCTGTGCCAGAATGGTTACTTCCTGATATCAGTGTCATTATTATTAATTGCAGAAAATACCGGCCTCTTGGCCTTGGATTTTAGAAACAGGCTGCATCTGCTGTGGTTACAGAAGAGTGCGTACTTTCCTTTCAGTGCTCTCCGCTGAATGCCCAGTTGTCAATAATTTACCATTTCAGGGCTGGCTTTTTCTTCTACATGATTGTGGCTTTGTGTCTCTCTCTGAGTACCTCTGCCTGTGAGCTCTGTGTTCCCCAAACTTCCTAAAAGAAGACTGGGGACGTTATCAGCTTGCTCCTTTTGACAGGAATAGCAATTTGCAAATCCAAATGGAAATTGTTTCTCTTCCCCAACACAGCGAAAACTCCCTCTGTTGTGTTAGAACACATTTGGTAAATGTGCCCCTGACCACAGTCAGTTCTTCTTGCAGCCTGACTCTGGTATAGCAGTGTAATTGTATGAAAGACTCAATTAAAACCATGCAAGTTTCAAGGATACATGATCCTAGATAATCAATCCTATTTTTGCCATAACATACCTTTTACTTTCTAGGAATTGGCAGAGGGTTGGTTACTGTAGGCAGAATCTGTAATTAGTAATCAAATATATTTAAATGACAGAATCTATTCCAGTAGAATGTTTTACCCCAACTTGCTTTAGATCTAGATATAATATCTAGATATGAGGAACCTGATTACAATCCTGTATGGGGTGTTTGGACCCTGGATCTATAAAACAGCACTTCTATCAAACTATATGTGACAGTCCCATATGTAAACTTAAAACAGTTGTTTCTATGAATCAGTAATTAGTATTTGTTCTCAGCTAAAACATTTTGAGGCCAGGTGTGGTGGCTCACGCCTGTAATCCCAGCACTTTGGGAGGCCAAGGCAGGCAGATCACGAGGTCAGGAGTTCGAGACCAGCCTGACCAACATGGTGAAACCCCCGTCTCTACTAAAAATACAAAAATTAGCTGGGCTTGGTGGCGTATGCCTGTAATCCCAGCTACTTAGGAGGCTGAGGCAGGAGAATCACTTGAACCTGGGAGGTGGAGGTTGCAGTGAGCCGAGATCCTGCCACTGCACTCCAGCCTGGGTGACAGAGCAAGACTCTGTCTCAAAAAAAAAAAAAAAAAAAAAAAAAAAAATTGAAATGTATTTCCAGGTGGAAACAACCTAAATGTTCATATCATTGGACAATTTTTGCATGAATGGATAAACAGAATGTGGTAGGTACATACTGTGGAACATTATTCAACCTTAAAAAGGAAGGAAATTCTGAGCCATGCTATAACATGGGGAAACCTTAAGGACATTAAGTGAAATAAGCCAGTCACAAAATGACAAATACCATATGAGATACTTAGAGTAGTCAAATTTATACATAGAAAAAGTAGGCCAGGCACAGTGGCTGAATGCCTGTAATCCCAGCACTTTGGGAGGCTGAGGTGGACAGATTGCTTGAGGTCAGGAGTTCAAGGCCAGCCTGGGCAACATGGTAAAACCCCATCTTCACAAAAACACACAAAAATTAGCCAGGCATGGTGGCACATCACTGTGGTCCCAGTTACTGAGGCTGAGGTGGGAGGATTGCTTGAGCCTGAGAGGCAGAGGTTGCAATGAGCTGACATTCTGCCACTACACTCCAGCCTGGGGGCCAGAGCGAGACCCCGTCTCAAAAAAAAATTAAAAAAGAAAGAAAGTAGAATGGTGGTTGCCAAGGGCCGGGCACGGTGGCTCACACCTGTAATTCCAGCACTTCGGGAGGCCAAAGGAGCCGGGGGGGGGTGGATCGCCTGAGGTCAGGAGTTCAAGACCAGCCTGGCCAACATAGTGAAACCCGGTCTCTACTAAGAAATTACAAAAATTAGCCAGGTGTGGTGGCGAGCACCTGTAATCCCCACTATTCAGGAGGCTGAGGCAGGAGAATCTCTTGAGTCTGGGAGGCAGAGATTGCAGTGAAGCAAGACCATGCCACTAAACTTCAGCCTGGGTGACAGAGCAAGACTCCATCTCAAAAAAAAAAAAAAAAAAAAAGAATGGTGGTTGCCAGGGGTTGAAAGGAAGGAAAGAAAATGAGTTATTGTTAAGAAATACCAAGTTTCAGTCTGGGTAGATGCAAAAAGTTCTAGAGACACTGGGGGGTGATGATTGCACAACCACATGAATGTACCTAGTGCCACTGAACTGTACACTTAGAAATGGTTAAAATGGTGGATTTTATGTTATATGTATTTACCACAAGTTTTTAAATGTGATATAAAAAAGTTCATTTCCAAGTGAGGATTTTTAATATTTCCTAAAATATCTGACTCTGTGGTTAAAATGGCTTCCAAATGACACAGATTAGTTCTCCTGTGATCTTAACAATATATACAGAATACCCATAATCTCACACACATGAGAATATGGTGACATCCAGCTGCAAAGATTTCAAAGTTCAGAGCAACAAACCACTAGGGCTTTTTCTTGGTTTTCTGGACAATGCACCTAAAAGGCTTTTCTGTTCTTCAAAATCCTAAAATGTATGTCTTGTAGTTCTACTCACAGGGGAAGTAGATAGGCTAAGAAGGCAAATGCACGGCAAATCATTCTCCATGACAAATCACAATGAACACTCTGCTTTGCTTTGCTGCTGCAGCCAATGACCCCGGAAGCAGTGTTGTTCACCATTGCACCTCCCAGGGCTCCTCCACCTGGTTCCTCCCTCACCCTGTCTGTGGCTCTCCTGCCTAGACATGTCCTGTCCACTGAACTGAATTGGAGGAAGGAAATGTTTGTCATTAGGAACCAATTACTCAAAGATACAAAGTATATATGTACATACATTTTCCTTTTTTTTTTTCATTTTTCTAACTTTTATTTTAAGTTCAGGGGTACATGTGCAGGTTTGTTACATAGGTAATAAATTTGTATCATGGGGGTTCATTGTGCAGATGATTTTGTCACCCAGGTATTAAGGCCAGTACCCATTAGTTATTTTTCCTGATCTTCTCCCTCCTCCCACCCTCCTCCCTCCTATAGGCTCCAGTGTGTGTCATTTCTATTTTCATTTTCAAAGAGAGATCTCTCTGAAGGCCTCACATTACCTGTTCCAGATAACTTTTGACAACAACAGCTTCAAATAAGGTAAATATTCATCACCACATACAAGCTGAAACGAAAATAAGTCATCAATGGAATCCTAATGAAAATAAGTCCTTAAAACAATCCTTCTTTTCTTTTTTCGGGAACTCTGTGGATGGCTATGCATTTGATTCCTTTTCTCATGTCTGACTCTGTTTCTGGGGGTGTCATGTGGCAAAAAATAAAATAAAACTAAAAATAAAAAAAATTTTAAAAAGGAGGAGGATGGGCTTTTAAGCCAGAGAGAGAGAAATCCCATTCCTGGCCCTCCTGTGTGCCAACTGAGCAGCTCTGGCTCTCTGGAGGCCCCAAGCTGTCTATCTGAAGATGGTAACACAGGCATCCATGCTGCAAGATTGTAGCAAGGATTAGAAATTATGTATGAACAGCATTTGAAGCAGTGTGCAATAATTTATGTCAATGATCGTGATGTCTGCATCTCAAAGACAGTGGCGTATGTCACACACCAATACCTTTACACTGCTCAGTGCAACCACACCTCCCTCACCATTCCCCAGGAAAAGGTGCTCTGCTCAGAGTCTCGGGAGACAGCACACCCAAGGTGGCTCAGATTCTTTCTCCTTAAACTATTGCCTGTTTTATCAGTGTGGAAAACTGGGCAAATAGTACAATCACAGTAAGAGTCTCCCCATCCGTAAATGTTGCATCAGGCCAGGTACAGTGGCTCATACCTGTAATCCCAGCACTTTGGGAGGCTGAGGCAAGTGGAGCTCAGGAGTTCAAGACCAGCCTGGGCAATGTGGCAAAACTCTGCCTCTACTAAAACTACAAAAAATTAGCCGGGTGTGGTGGTGCATACCTGTAGCCCCTGCTATTCAGGAGGCTGAGGTGGGAGAATAGCTTGAGCCCGGAAGGCTGAGATTGCAGTGAACTGAGGTTGCAGCAGTGCACTCCAGTCTTGCGACAGAGACCCTGTCTCTAAATAAATAAATAAATGCTGCATCAGGCCTCAATGCTTGAGACCTAAATCTGACTTATATCTGTTTTGGCCAAATTCCATGCTGATCCTCTAGAGACAGCACCCAAGCCACAGGACTGCTTAGTATTTTCTCCGCACCGCCATGGTTCCTCACTGCTGTGGTTCTCTTTCTTCTTCCCATTTCCCACTATTGTTCTGTTTCCTTTCATATAGACTATATTCCAGAAATATGAACATTAAAGCTTAAGAACAGAGTTCAGCCTGTAATCTCAGCACTTTGGGAGGCCCAGTTGGGTGGATCACTTGAGGCTAGGAGTTTTAGGCGAGCCTGGACAACATGGAGAAACCTCGTCTCTACTAAAAATACAAAAATTACCTGGGCATGGTGGTGCAAGCCTGTAATCCCAGCTATTCAGGAGGCTGAGGCAGGAGAATTGCTTAAACTCAGGAGGCAGAGATTACGGTGAGCTGAGATCGCACCATTGCACTCCAGCCTGGGCAACAGAATGAGACTCCATCTAAAAAAAAAAAAAAAAGAACAGAGTTCAGTTCTTACTTAATACAAGTCATTCTTCATCAAAGGAAATGCTTTGCTTATGCATATTCAGAGAAGAATAACAAATATGGTCTGTCGTGTCTTCCAGAACTTGGTATCTTCTTCCTTTACCATTGGTGCTACCACCAAGGGACAGGAATGCATGCTAATCACAGATACTTAGTCAACTCATCTTTCTGCCTCGCCTTGCCCTATCTCAGGGAGCCTTCTCCCAGTGTCCCTGCAAGTGACCTTATCCCCTCAACCACAGCTGGTTGGATCAGGGATGACTACCTGATCCAAGCTGGGCCAATCAGATTCTTTTTTAAGAAGTGATTATTGAAATACAGGAGTTCTAGCTGGCCTCCTGGGAGTACTTAAGCTGGAAACTTATCAAGACTGGGAAGACTATATCGGGTCCACATGGAAGTAGAACTGAGAAATGGGGTCTGCAGAAAGCAAAAATGAAGCAGATAGCCAGAGAGAAGCAGATGAGAATATGCACAGGTCAGAGAGAGAGGGAGAGAGAGAATGGAGAGAAAGTCTTCCTGTCTGAGGGCTTTCTAATTGCTGGTTCCAGCCATTCATAAGACCCAGAAATGTATCCTTGGGTTCTTTGACAGACACACGTATCCTTCTGATGGCTTTCTCTTTTTGCTTAAATTAACTTGAATGGAGTTGAATGTTCCTTGAAAGCAAAGAGTCCCTGTAACAATGCTTCTTATCTTAGCTACTCACCCAATTGGGTGATGCCATCACCATTGCCACCAGCAATCACAATGGAACCCATTCCTCTTGAGGGCAGGGAGTTGGGAGCCAGCACCCCTTAGACAGCAGAGCCAAATGCCAAAAGCGCATCATACTAGCTTGTAGTAGCATTTGTTAGCCAAATGGTGTGCTGGCAAATGTCTAACAACCAACTCACCTGGAGAAAAAAAAAAAACCCAGTTTGAAAGATTTGCCAATTTCCGTGGTGTAAATAGCCCCACCATTGCCACTTCTCATGTTATATTGCTGAACACAGACTTTGGAAAAGATACTCACAGTGGACTCTTGGGGGTCAGGACAAGTGGCTATCTAGCCTACATTTTCTGATTTAGAAATACTTCCTGGCTCCCTTTTATGACTTGGTTCTTGTCATCTCACTCTTGGGTTAATGGTTTAGAGTGTTATTAGCTCTATGTCTTTTATTCTGAACCAATTTAAATCTCTTTTGGAGAAGGCATAGGAAAATCATTTTTAAAATACAGCCTCATTCTTCTCTGAGAACCATAGTTTTATGCCCTCTCAAACACTAAGAGAATAATAATAATACCTAACACTCATATAGCAATTCACAGTGTCTAAATTATCTCAATGGCATGCTATGGTGGCTAGAACATAACTTTGCCATCACACTGACCTACTTTGAATCCCTGCATAAAGGATGCATTTGGTAAATGTTAGATTTCCTTTCACACATAACGACTCATTTGCTCCAAGTATTCATCCAGCCTCAGTGTTGATCTTGTGCATGACAGCCAAAATCAGAAAAGACTCCTAAACAAAGGCTACAACTTTCTCAAGGGATCAGTTGTCCCTTTTAGAAAGGCAGAGCTGGCTCTTTAGCTGAGGCTGGAGGCAGAACACACCTGAGTCCAGTTTTAAGAAACCTCACACACTCCCTTTCAGAGACCAGAAGGAAAGCTGGACCCCAATGCTGCACTTCTTCTGTTCTACTTTGAGCTGAGTTTTTGTCCTCTGGTTCTGCTTGCAAGAGACAAATGAGACAAGACTTCATGGGAATCATCTCCCTCTGTAGACTGCCAAAGATGCACATCACCCTAGCAACCGCAGAGGGAGAAATGCCCTTTGCTGGTGTGCAGTGGGGGTGTCTCAGTGGTTCTCCTGTTAGGTTTCAGCTTCAGCTCAAACCATTTCCAGTTTTACCTTTCCAGTGATTTGATAACAAACACTGGAGCATGAACCAACTTGACCCATCATTCCTTCAACTCCCCTCACTCTTGACTATCCGCTACCCCTGGTTTGGAAGAAACCTAAATGTCCCAGGCCCCATTAGTCTCTGGGTCTTTGAGAACCAAGGAGGTAACTTTCCCATGAGCAAATGGCTCCCCAGACCCTGCCTGGAGAGCTTTCAAGTCAAGACAAAGACTTTATCTCATAGCTTCTTCAGTAGGGTCTTGTGTTTTGGACAACAGTTTTGAAAATCCTTAGCAACACATTTCTTTAAGTGGAATCTCATATCAAAGTCCTAAAAGAGATTAAAAAAAAAAGTAGATCTGTTTCTTTATGGCCTTTTAAGTCTTTTTATCAGATCTCAAAAAAATTAGAAGTTGAATTAGAAATTGAAACTGGTTGAATTGCAGTGAGGGCCCCAAGAGACTCCTGCAGGCCTGAGCCCTGGACCCTCGCTTATTGAAAAGGCCTTAACACATGGCAGGGAAACCCTAGGGCTCCTAGGGCTCAGTTTGAAAACCACTGCACTAGGAAGCTCTTTCTCTGCCTGTGTGCAGGATCAGGAGCATCCAAAGTGAGTTGACAGCTGGGGGCAAGGAAACCGGTTAGTAGTTTGCTACAGTTGATCAAATGAATGTTAAAAAGACCTGAACTACCTACAGGTCTTTTTAGGGGGAGACATTCCAGGGACAGAGTAATTAGGACTGGGCAACTAACTGGATGTGAGAGTCACAAGAGAGGATAAAGATGCCTCTGATTTTTCAAGCTTGTGTGACTGAGAAAATTATGGTAGAAATTCAGTAGAAATGGCACTCAGGAAGAGAAGGAAATAATCCATTTGGTTTGGGGCATGCCATGTATTTTGTCTGGACTAGTTTAGCTTCTCTCTTTGAAACATCCTGGGAGCACTTCTATCCTAGATTGAGAAGGTGACCTGTCCACAAGTTCCCGTAGGAAACCAGGAGGGAGCAATGGCCCCATCATGCCTCCTGGGCAAACATGCATAAGACACAAAGCACAAAAATATATGCCAGTTGCAAGGGAATAGGACTCCAGGCTGTGAAGTCTATTTACCCCAAAGTCATGGACAAATGGTCAAGATCAAGCTTCTAAACAAAAATGTGTTCTCTCTCCAGGCTCAGCCCTTCTGAGGACATGAGCTGGCAGCATTGCTCTCAGCCAGAATGCTGTCAGATCAGATAGTTGACAAATGTTTGCTCAGAGCCTGCTATGTTGGGGTTAGCCTAGAGAGGTGAGATTACTGGCTGTCCTCAGGATTCAAGCAGCCTAAGCACACAGATGGGGTCACCCAGACCACTGTTTATTCTCCAGAGTGAGTTCATTTGTTTATCTCAGAGTGATCCACAAATAGTGACTTCATGCAGTTATGACCAGGGCTTCTCTGTGCTCCATGACCCAGGCTGGATGCACTTGGCTGTCACAGTTAGAAAGCTGTCACAGGAAGATCTTCTAGTGCCAATCTCCTTTCTCCCTCTGTTTGCCACTGGATCACCAGAGAAGGCAGATGGTGCCCTGCAAACACATCCAGAAACCAGGCAAATGTGACTCACGTTGATAATGGAAATCCAGCAGTGGGCACACCATCGCATGGGACTAACCGCTGCAATGAGATCCCGCAGGGAGGTGGGAGAGGCAAACTTCAGGTCAACTCAAAGAAGAACGACCTTGATGGTTGAGAGCACAGCCTGCAGAGTCAGTCTGCCTGGGCTTCAGTCCTTCCTCCCTCCACCAGTTACCGGCTGTGAAACCTCTCTGTGCCTTAGTTTCTACGTCTTTTAGAAGGGAATAATGATTAATACCTCCTAAGCTGGATATAAGCATAAAGAGAGATAAGCCACATAGAGATTTCAGCACAGCAGTGTCCACATACCCAATACGTGGTGATCATTCTTAAGTCCCATTCCACAAAGGAGTGGGATGCACCAGGGGTAGGAGGTGCCCTACCATGTGGTTTTCCACCCAGCATTTGGACACCTTTGTCAATAAATAATGCAGAGAGATTTCAGTGTGGGTGGGGAGCTGACTCTCTTTTGCTTACTCTGAAGTCACTTTCACAGCTGAGACTGAAATATGGAGTCCAGACATAGCCTTTCTTCGTGAGCGCCTGCATCACCCCATGTTCATGCTGCCAGCATTCACAGGACACCTACTCCGCCCAAAGCATCATGCACTGTGTCAACAGTCGAGGAATTTTAACCCCAAAGACAAGGCAAGCTTGTGTACAGCCAGTCACTGTAGCCATGGCTCTAAAGACCCCAGGAGAAGGACGCAGACCGGGCTACGTGCACTAATCAAACGAGGACTTGTTTTCTATTTCTGCCTTTGGGATTATCTAAGGGATTGGCAGGTCTGTAAATCGCTCCAAGCTGCTTGACCACGCAGACACCAGACCTGCTACCGAAAACACCCTGCCAAGCATGACGCTGTTTATCAAAACAAGGTCTTCAAAAATCTTTTCTCTCAATTTCCACTCTATTTCCTAATCAAGAAATAGATAATCCCAGGAGAAAATCAGCTTGCATTTCTCTTCTTCTCTCTGTCTGTCTCTCAGCCTCTCTGTCTCACTCTGCCTCCTTCTCTCCCTCCTTTCTTTCCCTCTCTCCCCACCCCCTCTAGCTTTTATCATTTTAAGCTGTATGCATGCCATTCTTCAGGGGATTAAAGTCAAATTTAGTCTTCTGCGATTGTTATTACCTACCCCTCGGCTTATGAGATGCATTTGCCTGCATTTGTAATGCATCAATAACTTCCACTCTCCTCCACTTGTAAACAATGCATTATATTAAATAGCCTGTGTGTAGCCTTGTATTGAAACAGACGATAAATTAGGACTTCCAGTTCTTGGTTTTTACTGATTCCTAAACCTGCCAGTTACGTGCCTGTCCGCCCCACTGAACATTCTCTCTAAAGCTGAGAATGCACAAAGCCCTTGTTCACCGTTCCTCCTGTCTCCATCACTGCTGCCGGCTGTCAGTTTCACACCACCAAGCAGATTGTAATTGGCAGGATGAGGTGCCGAAATAGGGAATGGTTTGAATACGTGGTTCTCACCATACACACATGCACACACTCACAAAATCCAAAATTTCTCTCTCTCTCTCTCTCTCTCTCACACACACACACACACACACAGACGCACATCTTTCTGACTTACAATGTTCTGCAAATTTAGCAACTTGATTTGTGAAGCTTCTAATCAGAATCCACAAGGGCTGCCCTCGTTTTCTAGCCCATGGATTGGAAGCAAGCAGAGAAAGGAAACACAATGCAATCAACACCCAGTCCCATTCTAACACAGCCAGGCCTTCCCGGTCCTGGATGGATGTTGCTTTGGGAATGTGCCCTGCTGGGAGCCAGCCCTTATGTTTTGTCAGGAAGCTTCTCTGGGATCTGAAATCTGCAAACTTCTCAAGAACCGTAATCACCCTGTCCAGCCTTGAGTGAGGTCCCAGAGCAAAGAGCAAAAACTCTGGAAAGAGGAATCTAGCTCAAAGAATCTTGCGTCATTTATATAGATCTTTCCCCTCAGAGCAATGAAAACTCAGCATCAATCTTTCCAGTCGGTGTATTCCAACATCTACCAATCTTTTGCAAACTCAAATCTAGATGAATTGGATCATTTAAAGCAGCGTTTCTCAACCTGGGCACTATTGATGTTTTAATCCAGATCATTTAATTCTTCATCACAGGGAGGCTGCCCTGTGCATGGTAGGATGTTTAGCAGCATCTCTGGCCTCTATTTACTTAGATACCAGTAGTACCTCCTCCCAAGCGTGACAATCAAAAATGTCTCCAGATATTGCCAAATGGTCCTCGCAGGGCAAAATCGCCTTGGTCGAGAACCACAGTGACAGTTATATTTGGTCTTGATGTCTGCCCATCGTTACAGGATTTCACATCTAATAAAGCCCAGAGGGTTCCTCTAGTCGTGTGGTTCTCAGAATGTAGTCCCCAGACCAGCAGCATCAGCATCACCTAGGAACTTTTTGGAAATGCATTGAGCCCCACCCCAGATACGTGTAGTCAGAAATTCCAGGGAGGGGGCCTGACAATCAGTGTTTTAATGAGCATCCTGGGTAATTCCAATGCAAGCTACAGTTCAAGAACCGCTTCGCTCCTCCAACCTCTCATTATTACAAATAGAAAAATCAAGACCCAGAGAGGTAAAGTGACTTAGCCAAAGTCACAGAGCTTTTTTTTCTTTTTCTTTTCTTTTTTTTTTTTTTATACAGAGAGTCTTGCTCTGTAACCCAGTGGCATGATCTCAGCTCACTGCAACCTCCACCTCCAAGGTTCAGGCTATTCTCCTGCCTCAGCCTCCTGGGTAACTGGGATTACAGGTGCATGCCACCACACCCAGCTAATTTTTTGTATTTTTTTAGTAGAGACAGGGTTTTACCTTGTTGGTCAGGCTGGTCTTGAACTCCTGACCTCAAGCGATCCACCTGTCTCAGCCTCCGAAAGTGCTGCGCTTACTGGCATGAGCCACCATGCCCAGCCTCCCAAAGTCACAGAGCTACTTTGAGAGGCAGACTGTCTACCACCTGAACCAAAGCACTTACCACTCAATCACTCTCCCGTGCACCACCCTGGACCACTTCCCCATCTCACGCTTCAGCCCTCTTGCCCCTTTTCTGAATTGCACTATTCTTTGTGCTTGTTTTCCTGATCTTTTACCCTTTGTGAGATATTCTGCACTAACTAGGCTGAGATTGAGTTTAGCAATCTCTGTTTACACTTCCTGCTAGCAGTGGAGCGCATGGCAGTGTGTACGGCAGTGAGCACAGGTCTGCGTGGCTGTTTTGTGGGTGATCTCTGTTTGTGTGTCTATGTGTGCGCCTTTATGGCTGTGGCCATATGCATGCATCCAAGCATGTGTGTGCATGTGTTCGTTTTGTTGGGCTGCCATAACAAAGTGCCACAGACTTACACAACAGAAAGGTATTGTGGCTTACACAACAGAAAGGTATTGTCTCACAGTTCTGGAGGTTGGAGGTCTGAGATTAAAGTATTGGGAGGTTTGGTTTCATCTGAGGCCCTCTTCTTGATGCCTCATCACGCAGTCTGCCCTCTGTGCTGTGCCCCTGCCATCTCCTCTTCCCATAAGGTCACAGTCACATTGGAAGGGTCCATCCTAATGGTCTCATTTTGACTTTATCACCTCTTTAAAGTCCTTATTGCCAAATACAGTCACAGTACTGGGTGTTGGGAATTCAACATACAAATTCTAGGAGGACACAACCGAGCTCATAACAGTGCACAGAAAGGGGACATGAAAGTCAGAGGCTGTCTTTGAGCGGCCACGCTCCCCTCTCTGGCCCACATCTCCAAATGCAGGATCAGTAACCTGTGACCACCACTGGCAGCTTGTCCCTTAATTTGAGGGCCAGTGGCAGGCATGAATCTTGTCAGGCAGATTTCAGGCAGGCAGAAACTGACATGTTCCTTCTTTCAGATCAAAAGACTATAAAACTCATCTCTTGGGGCTTTCTGGATAACATAACATGTTAATCCAGGGTCACCACATTGACTATTTTTGATGAAAATTCAAGCAGACTTTGTGATTATTTTCCCCCTACAGTTGTCAGAATTAAAAATAGTAATTTTCACATCAGGTGAGCAGAGCCTCTGACCCCCTAGTCTTGTATGAATATTACTAATTTAAAAACACATAGTAAAATAAATAGACTTTCTAATTCAGAAGCAGCTCTGAACTACCGGCTGATTTCAATCCTGATTTGAGTCCAATGTGGATGCATCTGAGTCACTGTAGAAATTGTGTATTTAGGAGGCAGAATGACCCAGGCTGCAAATGAATAACAGAGCTTAAGTAAGAACCGGGAATCCTGACTTCAACCCACAGGGTTATGTTCAGCCAGGTTTTGTCCATTTCAAATGGCACAACAGGTTCTTCCTTGACAGATACCTTGGGGTCAGGGCAAGCCACTCCTCGGCCTTGGGTTCTAGTAGCAACTGACAGCTAGGACACAGGCAGGAGGAGATCACCAGGCCATCCTTCCCCATCCAGCACTTGAGGTTCCGTGAGCTCCTAGAAATGGGAGGACTTCAGTCCCTGATGAGGATTAGTCCACAGATCTGTGGGGAGAGTGCAATATACAGCCCCAGGTCAAACAGGTCAGACCTGGAAACCTAAATAGCAGATTGGAACATAGGAAATTGCCTTTTTTAAAGTCAAAATGGCCGGGTACAGCGGTTCACGCCTGTAATCCCAGCACTTTGGGAGGCTGAGGTGGGAGGATCATCTGAGGAAAGGAGTTAGAGACCAGCCTGGCCAAGATGGCGAAATCCCATCTCTACTGAAAATACAAAAATTGGCTGTGGTGGCGTGTGCCTATAATCTCAGCTACTCAGAAGGTTGAGGCAGGAGAATTGCTTGAACCCAGGAGGCGGAGGTTGCAGTGAGCCAAGATCACACCATTGCACTCCAGCCTGGGCAACAGAGCAAGTCTCCATCTCAAATACTACTATTACTGCTAATAATAATAATAATAAATAAAATAAAATAAATCAAAATGAGTAGAATGTTGGCAAGTTCATGTAGTTTCAACTTATAACATTCATGGGTCTCCCTACAGCTGTCTTATGAACCTTCCATAGCCCCCGACACTTAGAGGACTCAAGGCACTGCTGAAGAGAGGAGAGGATGCAGGAGATAGCTTCAGAGAGCTCACAATCTAATTCAAGACTCAGAAAATCAGACCAGGCACCGTGGTTCACACCTGTAATCCCAACACTTTAGGAGGCCCAGGCAAGAGGATCACTTGAAGCCAAGAGTTCAAGACCAGCCTGGGCAAAATAGTAAGACCCCGTCTCTATAAAAAAATAAAAAACTCATCAGGCATGGTGGTGCACACCTGTAGTCCCAGCTAGTTGGGAGGTTGAGGCAAGAGGATCAAACGCTTGAGCCCAGGAGTTTGAGGCTGCAGTGAGCTATGATTGCACCACTGCACTCCAGCCTGGGTGAAAGAGGAAGACCCTGTCTCTAAAAAAGGAAAAAAAGACTCAGAAAATTAAGTTGGTTCTTGTGTTATTCCTGACTCAGAAAAATCAGAACTCAGTTCTGCAGTTCTCTAGTCTTTACACGGAAGATTCCTTAACACCAGAAACTACTGTATCTGTGAGCTGGTGGATGTCCACAAGCTGTTTGCTACCAGTTCATGAAAAGTAAGTCTAGAAATTGAAAATAATCATTGAAAAACACTTATAACAATTTGACATCGTAATTTTATTTCTGTTGGCTCTAACAGTAAAAAAACGGAGTTTGAATTCTGTATATCTGAGTTTTTATTGCGCTTTTCTTTCTTTTCTTTTTCTTTTTTTTTTTTTGGATGGAGTTTCACTCTTGTTACCCAGGCTGGAGTGCAGTGGTGTGATCTCTGCTCACTGCAACCTCTGCCTCCCGGGTTCAAGTGATTCTCGTGCTTCAGCCTCCCGAGTAGCTGATATTACAAGCACACGCCACCACACCTGGCTAATTTTTTGTATCTTTAGTAGAGACGGGGTTTCACCATGTTGGCCAGGCTGGTCCTGAACTCCCAACCTCATGTGCGCCACCCGTCTCAGCCTCCCAAAGTGCTGGGATTACGGGCGTGAGCCACTGCGCCTGGCCTATTTCACTTTTCTAATTATTCAATGTTATTGTACTTTAAAAATTATCAGTCCACAATGGATTAGAAATATTTTTTAAAGGTCTTTCACCACAGATACCTGAGAAGTAATGATCTGCAGGAAGGTAGATATCAGCTTAATATAAATAACAATAACTATTGTCATGATGTTTATTATGTACAGGTCCCATTATAAAGTCTTGCAACATAAACTCATTTACTTCTCACAGCAACTTTCAGGTAAGAACTATTATTACTCCAATCTCACAGATCAGGAAACTGAGTCACAGAGAGGAGAAATTACTTTGCTAGTATCGCACAACCAGTCAATCATAGGGCTGAGATGGGAATCCAGGCAGTTTGGCTCTTGAGTCCATGATGGTAACCTCTGCAATGAAACATATGCGATAACTTGATTCATATGTCAGTGGCAAAATATAAAGAAAATCAAGGAGTGATTAACACCAGAACTTGGGAAGGGAGACATCTGTGGGAGGAAGGAAGGTAGGGGACGTAACAGGAACAGGAGGTGTGCGTGCCAGGCGTCAAAGGCCTGCTTGCATTCTATGCCTTAACATGGTGAGGAATATATACAGATGTTCGTTCTATAATGCTATCATCCTCCAACTGTACACACACATTTTACTCACTCTTTGATGTATATGATACGCCTCACAGTTTTAAAATTTTTTGGAAGGAGTAACTGGAGCTGTCAAACAATGGCAGCCACGGCCTCTGGAGAGGATGAGCGCCCCCTCATGGAGAGGACAAGAACAGCCATTCTCCTCCATCAGGCACAGGGCAGGTGCGAGGTAGAAGGACCTCAAAGTTTACTTCTATTCAGACTCTAAGCTTCTTCCTAAAGTCACATTCTAGAATTCACAGGAAGGAAGAAGTCCACATTACCTGAGACTTCGTAGCCACGCCTTTATAGAGTGATGCAGAATTAACATTTAAGGTTGACAGAAGTGCCCCACTTGAGAAAATATACCAGAGCACAGTTTACAGTGACAGAGGGTACTGAGGGAGTCCTTGGTATATTTCGAGAACTTTCATTGTATGTAACTGGTACATTAATACTGATGCAGAAAAAAATGGGGGCCACTCCAGGAAACAGGTGATGCCACTTGCCTCGGAGGAGACTGCAGTAAAATGCATATTTGTGCCGCACAATAACTTTTTTTTTTTTTTTTGAGACTGGGTCTCACTCTGTCACCCAGGCTGGAGTGCAGTGGTGCGATCACAGCTCACTGCAGCTGCGACCTCCCTGGCTAATGCAATCCTCCCACCTCAGCCTCCCAAGTAGCTGGGACCCCAGGCCACCACACCAGGCTAATTTTTTAATTTTTTGTAGAGACAGGGTCTCACTATGTTGCCCAGGCTGGTCTTGAACTCCTTGGCTCAAGCAATCCTCCTGCCTCAGCCTCCCAAAGTGCTGGAATTATCGGCATGAGCCCCCATGCCTGGCCTAAGAGCTCCTCTTGATGTGTAGACAGCTAGTGTTGCTAAGGCAAGTCTGGGTGTGAAAGGTTCAAACCATTTTGGGGTATCTTGACAACAGCTATGTGAGATGAAGACTTAGACCCCTAATCACCAAGAAAGCCAGGTTGATGCGCAAGGCAATTCAACAAGCATGTTCCTGAGAGGCTGTAGATCATTGGGTCCCACACCAAACCAGCTGAATCAGAATCTCTTCTGAGTCGAGCCTAGAAATCTGCATTTCTACAAATCGCATCGCCCACTCTGTGCTTCTGATTGAGGTATTCTGGGACCATGGTAAGACAACCAGGTAAATTAGGAACAAAGATTTGTAATCACACAAACCTGGATCAAATATGGTTTCTGCACTTACTTGTTGCATGGTCTTGAACAAGCTATTTGACTTCACTGAGCCCTAGTAGTCCCATCTGTAAAACTGGGTGATGATATTACTTACCTCTCAGAATTACTCGGAAGATTTAATTAGAGATTGTATATAAAATACAAGCACTTGGCTATAATAAGCACTCAAAATCTTTCACGACATTTATTCACTGTCATTTGTGAGTATCCATAATCTGGAAGACAACGTGGGGAAGAGGCAGAGGGAAGAATACCAAAAAAGAACAGCCCCCTCCCTTCAAGGAAATTCTCTCTAGTGGGGCTGCTTTTAAAGCTTTCCTAGGTCAGGAATGGTGGCTCACACCTGTAATCCCAAATTTTTGGGAGGCCACGGTGGGAGCATCACGTGGGCCCCGGAATTCAAAACCAGCCTGGACAACATAGCAAGACCTGTCTCTCCAAAAAATAAAAAATGAACCAAGCGTAGTGGTGTGTGCTTGTAGTCCCAGCTACTTGGGAGGCTGAGGTGGGAGGATTGCTTGAGCCCAGGAGTTCAAGGCTGCAATGAGCTATGCTCGTGCCACTGCAGCCTGGGTGACAGAGTAAGATCTTGTTGAAAAAATAAAAATAAAAATAATAATAATAATAAAACTTTCTTATAAACTTATCAGGAAAATAAATTCTCACCTTTTTTCTAGGGTTATCAAGGCATTACCAGCCTGTGTTAAAGACATTTTAAACCTTTGATCTTATTTGGGAGACACCTTTATAGGTTGGAGGTGGGTGGGAAATCTACTGAGACCGTGTATAAGCCAGAAAACACCTCCTTTGAACCAGACTGGGGACTATGAGTGACATTAAACTATCGATTGACCATAAGTTTACCAGCCTATGCCCTGTTTATCCTACTGACCCCTTTGTGCCAATTGATTTAATGCCAGAAAGCACTACAGCCTTAGGGAATGTGCAACAGTGCTATTGGCCTCTGTTTGTCAAACTCCCTTTTATGGGGACAGTGGCTCCCAGGACCCTATTCCCATCTATCTGCTCAGTAAGAGGAGAGCAGGGAAATCATGTCAGTCTCCTCTGACGCACTTGGACCATGCTCTTGCAAAGCCCATCCCCTCTAAAGGGAAAATGAGCCCCCGGTGAAAACACATCTGATTCTTCAAGTTTCTGTGAGCTAAGCATTTGTAACTACTATTGCTAATTCTCTGTGCCAATGAAGGAATATCAGTAGCAGCTTTATTTCAAAATGATAATTAATCCAGAAATTGCTACCTGGGGATAGCAAGTTCTAAGACTGCACAATTCTTCAAATAAATTACTCTATTCAAACTGACCCAGAGAAAGCTAAAAAGTTGTACACCTGCCCTAATCTGAACTCTTCCCACATCTGTGTCCATTCTAGAGCTAAGCAGCTGTGTCCATTCTAGAGATAAGCAGCAATCCAGGATTGATGGAAAGCCATCCAAAGCTGATTCTCCTTCTCTCTCATTTGAACCTGGTTGGGGCAATACACAAGGGTTTTAGTTCAGAAGACCTCTTAGTAAAACTAAAGACTGCATAGAAGCATACCTGTACATGAGAGCTAGTGAATTCATTGATGTAAGAATTTTATGACCTTGCTAATTATGTGGAGAAGAAATTTAAATCAAGATTTTTTAAGGAGGAACAATAGTTGGATAATCCATCATCAGATAAGTGGCAACTGATTAGTAGGAAAGAGTCATGATTGATAGTTATGATGCTTACCTTGGTAAGGTGGATCTCACTGGATCCTCTGGGTAGATATTTAAAATATTGATGCCAGATCCTATCCCCAGACCAATTACATCAGAATTCCTGGGGATAGGACCCAAGCACCAGTATTTTTAAAGATTCCCAAGTGGTTCTAATTGGCAGCTTGGTCTGAGAATGTTGCCTTTGCTAGCAGAGTTTACTTACCTGAAGCAGTAAATGCTGCTTTTAAAGTAATTTGACTTTTTCCCTTTAGCACCAGAGGAATCAAGTTGATTAATTAACATTTTCCAAACAACAGCAATGAATTAACTGCTGCTAATGTTCAGGCCATGGAATTAGACGTGACTCCCATACATCAGACTCATCTCCCCAGATAGAAGCTTGAACATAGGTTTCCGAGAACGAGGGCTTAGCAAACAACAATCAGAGATAGATTGACCTTAGCTGAGCAAGCACTATGTAGGGAGCAAAAAGACAAAATTACAAGCTCATTTCCACACTCACTCAAATATGTATTCAGTGTGTCAGGAACAGGACTAGGAGCTGGAGGTCCTCAGATTATGAGAATATGACCAAGGCAGAAATTGAAAGTCTAATGGGGAGAACAAAAGGTAGACAAAACTTTCCAGCCATGCAACAGGTGATCAAGGTACACAGCAAGTACTTCCCTCCAAGGGGGGAGCACAGAGGCCTTGAGGTGACAGATGAGGCTTCCTGGAGGAGGAGATGTATGAGTCGATTCTAGCAGGGTGAGTGGAAATCTGCCAGGTCAATGGGGACTAACACACAGGCAAAGGCAGAGAAGAGCTTGAGCAGTTCTGGGAACAGCATGTGTCACAAATGACACTGGAAAGGCAGGCAGAGACTGATTATAAAGACCCTTGTATGTCACCGAAGGATTTTTACCTTAACCTTAAAGGCAGATCATTTGAGTCCTGGAGTTCAAGACTAGCCTGGGCAACAAGGCAAATCCTCATCTCTAAAAAAATACGAAATCATTAGCCAGGTATGGTGGCACACACCTATAGTCCTAGCTACTCAGGAGGCTGAGGTGGGAGGATCACCAAGCCCAGGAGGTCGAGGCTGCAGTGAGCTGTGATTGTGCCACTGAATTCCAGCCTGGGTGATAGAGTGAGACCCTGTCTCATAAAATGTAAAATATAAATAAAGCAGGGAAGTGACATGATCAGATTCACATTTGGGATGACCACTCTGGCAGTTTCGAGAGCCTTGCTACTCAAGGTGTGGTGCACCGACCAACATCATCGGTATCGCCCAGGAGCTTGTTGGAAATTCTAAAAACCTCAAGCCCTATTTCAAACATACTAAATCAGAATCTACATTTTAACAAGCTCCCCAGATGATTCACGTGCACATTAAAGTTTGAGACACACAGTTAAGAAAGGATAAATTTTCATGAGAAAGAGGTGAAACTTAAGGAAGACCATTAAGGAGACCATGGCAGTAATTTGTTAAACCTTTTCTTTAAACAGTTCTTTAACAGTTACATATGGATGAGGACTCCATGTCCTCCAAAATACCCCATTGATAAGTGAAACATTTAAACAATAATTATACAGATAAGCTGAATTTTCTTCTTAAATTACCTTCATTTTCCACCAGATTAGCAAGAATCCCAGAGACACAGCCATAGCGCGAGAACCACATGTCATGTGGACTGAACTATGCAATATGTATTGCCGAATTTCAGAGAGAGATTCAACAGAAGGGAGGGGAGGTCTCTTTGTCTAGTTTTAATGATAGGTAAAGGCATGAGGCCATAGTCTTTCCTTCTGTTATCCCAAAGCCCGTGAGTGGTGTGGACACAGCCTTGATAATAGGGACCCAGAGACTGAGACTAAAGTCAAGTGTGAACTTTACAATTGCTGATTGTGTGTTCTGAGAGACAGAGAAAGAGACAGAGATCTGAAAAGAGAAATGGAAGAGGCTGTGTGTCTTGGGGTAGTCTTTAGTGAAGAAAATCCCCTCTCTCTGATCATGGACAATAGTATTGATGGGACCAAGTTGATTCTCTTTTTCATTAGAAAATAGGCTTCTCCTAGAAGTGAATCTTGAAGAATTTGAAAGAGGGAGTGTGGTCTACTAGGCAAGAAGTAGGAGGTTTAAAAAAACAAACAAGCAGTCTATAAATACATAGACTATAAATACATAGCACACATACACCTCATCTCTAACAATCAGCACGTTATTGAACAGGGTGTACAAATTGGACTTGGGTTAAATTAAATCTATTTTAAGCCCATTCTGGGAGTTTGCTATTTAAAGAAATCCTTTGTAAAGTGGATAATCACCCACTAATTAAGCTTTTGTTAAATCTGGAGTTCTACGAAGCTAAAGTTCCCAAACTGACTGTGCTGGAAAGATCATCCCACAGATATCTGGTAGAGTACAACTTGTCTGTGTGCCAGAGAACCAACCTCTGTTAGGAAACCCACCTTCAAAAAGAAATGGAATCCTGTCCTTGCGGAAAATGAGTGATGGACAGGGAAAAGAACCCATAACGTGGTGACTAGAAGAGAACCTGGGACCCAGGGGTCAAGTGGAGCAGTGGGAGCTGGTAAAGAAACAGCAGATGAGTTTGTTGGCAGCAAATGGGACATAGACAGCAGAGAGAGTGAATGACCACAGAGGACAGGGAGATTATACTTGGATTATTACTAAAACCTTCTCTTTTTTTCTTGTGACAGCATCTCTTACCAATACTAAATCTTTCTTGTCTCTAACCTCCGGATTTCTAAAGCCGATATCCAGAATGTTTCAAAATACATTAATCCAGTTACCTTTGTGGCATCTGTGAGTTCTTAACTAACTAGAGAAACATTCTGGTTGGGTGCAATGTAATATACGAGTAATTTAGTGTTAATCGAGTGATCTTGCATATCTTGACTCTAAGCACCGAAAGGGGACAGCCTTCTCGCTGGCCTCCTTAGATCGCCCTCACAGAAAAGAGGGAGTTTAAATGAAAAACTGAAAGATGGAGGAAGTTTGGTAATTGGGAAAGGGAGATAGGAAAAGGCAATCAGAGTTAAAGCCAGAGGCATAGCTACATAAGACCCTCTCTTTTAATTACCAAGCACAAGTCGTGGGCTCTCCAATGGAAAGACCTACCCAGACATAAGCCTGGAATGGGACCCCAAGAAAGGACCCAGGGTGAGGAGCTGAGGACTGAGCAGTTCCACTTCCCAATAGTGATCTAGGATCACCATATCCTCCTTAGCCACTCACACAGTCCATACACTGGACTCCCTCTGCCTACATCCCAAGACTGAATGAGAAGGAAATTGTTCCTTCGTTCAATAAATATGTATTGAGCCCCAAATAATATTGGGGCAGGAGGTTTGAGAATTACTCCTTTGCCTTCACAAAGAGTTTGCATGGAATGAGAAGGAAATTGTTCATTCGTTCAATAAATATGTATTGAGCCCCAAATAATATTGGGGCAGGAGGTTTGAGAATTACTCCTTTGCCTTCATAAAGAGTTTGCATGGAGTGGGAAGATTATGAGAAAGGCTAAGAAATAGTTCTGTAGGTCAAAGAAAAGCAGGTCTCAATTTAAGTAAATTGGATGTTAGAAAAAAGTTTAGTTGGGCCGGGCGCGGTGGCTCATGTCTGTAATCCCAACACTTTGGGAGGCCGAGGCGGGCAGATCACTTGAGGTCGGGAGTTCAAGACCAGCCTGGCCAACATGGTGAAACCCTGTCTCTACTAAAAATACAAAAATTAGCTGGGTGTGGGGTACACGCCTGTAATGTGAGCTACTCAGGAGGCTGAGGCAGGAGAATTGCTTGAACCCGGAGGCGGAGGTTGCAGTGAGACGAAATTATGCCACTGCACTCCACCCTGGGCAACAGAGCTCACTCAATAAACAAAAACAAAAAAAAAAAAAATTTTGACCCCAGGGCTGTTAAACATTGCAGCGGGCTCCTTCTAAGGTCATAGAGATAGAGGGATTTCCAAAGAAGCCTTCCTGAGTGATGTGTGATTTGGAGGACAGGATAAATACTTGGTAGCTTCCTCACAGGTGGAGGTGAACCGGATCAGAGCCCTTTTTCTGAGACTGTCATCTGCACAGCCCTCCTGCTGCATCTGCCCCTCTTCACCTCACCAGGTCCTGCAGAAGAGAGAGGCTGGGAGGTCTCAGAAAGGTGGGAGATAGAGAAGCACTGGCCCAGGAAATCAAAAGAGAAATCAAGGGATCAAAAACTCCAGTAGATGGACCAGTGAAAGGGTCAGAAAGGGGTTAAGTAGAGTCGAAAGAAGCTCCATTTAGATTTCAACCAAGATCAGTACCAGCTATTTCTCAAAAGCTTTTAAGACAGCACGTAACTTAGCAACTGACCTATGTTTGTTTTTTGTTTTTGTTTTTACCCATGTCAGTTTCTCAGTAGTTACTATCAGCAACAACAACAACAACAAAAATGCTTGGAATTGTGCATTTACTGAGAGATGGGAAGCAAGGAAGAAAAATTATGGGCTATGTCCTGTTTGGCAAGGTTGTGTCAAGACAGGACACCAAAAGAGATGAGCCAAACATCCAACCCTTGGGATTCTCAGAAGAAAAATTAAGGCCTGAAGGCTGTCCCTGAGCCCAGAAATGCTCTTAGGAGAGTACATCCCAGAAGAAGGCCCTGGTGGCACATTTCCTTGAGATGCTTCAGGAAAGAAGCACTTGCAGGTTTTACTTCTCACTTACCTAAAAATCAGCACCAAACTAGGCAAGTTGTCTACACAGACTCCTTTGTTGTATTCCACATTTCCCAGACAAGTCATCGCCCTGGACCAAAGAGACTAGGAGAGAGTTCAGACTCTTTTTTTTTTTTTTTTTTTTTTTTTTTTTGAGACGGAGTCTCGCTCTGTCGCTCAGGCCAGACTGCGGACTGCAGTGGCGCAATCTCGGCTCACTGCAAGCTCCGCTTCCCGGGTTCACGCCATTCTCCTGCCTCAGCCTCCCGAGTAGCTGGGACTACAGGCGCCCGCCACCGCGCCCGGCTAATTTTTTGTATATTTAGTAGAGACGGGGTTTCACCTTGTTAGCCAGGATGGTCTCGATCTCCTGACCTCATGATCCACCCGCCTCGGCCTCCCAAAGTGCTGGGATTACAGGCGTGAGCCACCGCGCCCGGCCCCAGACTCTTTTATAGCTGACTTGAACCGCAGCCCTCCATCCTCACCAGACTCAGCTCTCCCCTTAGTGAAGAATGTTTTGAAAGGCCATAGCCTATGAGCTCTCCCAATCGTCAGGGATGACTTTTCACTGGAATGATAGAAATAGCCACATTACTTGCAAATTACACACATGTACACACACACACACACACACACACCTTGACCTCTTTGCTGTGCGGCAGAGTCAAGCAGCAGGAGTTCGCTGTGGCTGTTGCAGGGACAGCTCCCCGGCTCCTCAATAGCTAGGTGGCATAATGTGCATATCAGCACCACACTGGCGGACAGCTCATAGCAGACCCATCCTTGCGCTTTTCCCAGAAATTTGTTCAAAACTCTCAGTCGGTCATGGGAGGGAAGCAAACTTCCTAATTGTCCGCTCAGCCACTCCTTTCACTATGCCTTGAGGCAGAGCAAAGAAGTTCTGTGACTCTAATCTTAAGGAGGGCTCTCACGCTTCCTTCCCCAAGGACAGCCACGTACCTTTGAGAGAGTTAGGCGCCTCAAGGCGGGTGGTTACTGCACTGGTTTAGACCTCAGTGATGCCATGAGGAATTCAAGGCCTTTCTATCTTTCCACTGTGCCTTCATTTGCTAATGATTTTTGTCATCTAACAGTCTCAGGATAGCTGACCCTGCTCCAGATGCCACGTCCATATTTAGGAAAGACAGACAGACGGGAGAAGGGAAGTCATTCCAGCCACATCTGTTCCATTTTATTAGTTCTTGAAACACCCAGAGAGTTCCAATTGGGCCTCAGTGGTTAGTACTGTCAGAAGACCACTTCTAGCTGCAAAGGAAGCTGGGAGAGGGAATATTTAGGTTTCCCAGCTTTTGTAGTTAAAGGACATGGCGGGGGCGTGGGGGTTTCATGTAATCATCTAATGCATCTGCCACAAACAAAAAACATCACTGCTGTGAGGCTACTTCCTCATCTGTAAAATGCAGTCATTCTAGCATTTATTTAGTAGGGATGGTGTGTTCTCTACACATGTGATTCTCATAGGATGCAGGACACACAGGCCCATAGATCCCAGGACAAGCGCTGAGAAGTCCCTAGGCACCTCAGGAGATGAGCAAACAAAACTCTGGGCCACAATGTGGTGCTAATGTCTATAAAGAACCTTTGAGGCTACAGCAAGGCACGTCAATATAAATGTCATCAAAAGTGTGAGTCCTTTCTATGGGCAGGAAGGAAGGAAGCAGGCAGGAAGCAGATCTGGGAAGGGCACCTTAGTGAAAAGGAATCAGGATCTTGCTTACCCACTAGGTATTATGAAGTATCCAAGTGAAATGCAGAGCCAATATTTTGGGGAGCAGACCATTAGAGGAGGAGGTTGGTGGGGGCAGATGCAATGCAGGGGGCTGTGATCTCGCTGAGAAATCCAGGCATGGCCCATCCACCTGCATTTCACGGTGTGGAGAAAATGGCAGTCTGTCTTTGCAGACATCCAGCCCCAGTGCCCCTTTACATGGTGACGTGCATAGCCACCGTGCCCTTTCCTGGCCAAAAAGTACTCTTCACTGAGAACCGTTTCTGAACAGCCTGCTTGTTGGTATAGCCAACAAAATGAAGCTTCTTTATTCAGCCAAGAGACTGAACTCACATCAACTTTCTACCAGGCACCGTGGGAGACACAGAGAAACCTGGAAGAACAGATACTGACAGAAATGACAACTTTTGTTAAGTACCAACTTCCTGTCAAGCCCAGTGCTAGGAGCTTTGGGTCCGTCACCCTATTTGGATTTCAGAGATCACTGTCACAAAGTGAAAAGCAATAAATTGCCCTGAGAAATGCAGATGATAATGAGGATAGTAATGATCACAACAGCTAACAGATGTTGAGTGTTTACTGTGCACCAGCTACTGTCCTAAGCATTTTGCACGTATCGCCTCCTTGAGCTAATGTACTATACAGAGGTCTCTTAATGTTTCCCCCTCCCTTTCTCAGTTTCCCCCTAATCATCCCAGCTTCCCCTTCCTAAGTTTCCCTCCAGGGCCTCTGAGCCTGTCTTTGGTCTCAGTCCATAAAGTGATTCTGGGAAAGAGAAGAGGTTGGTGGAACTCCCAAAAAGCTGAGTACCCCCCAGGGTGGTGTGGGTTGGTGCCTTGGCCCAAACGGAATTGTCCAAGGAGAAGAGCAGGGAAGAGCAGTTCCCCTGGAGAACAGAGAATGGATGCATTAAGGAAGAGGCAACCTCAGGAAGTGATCCATCACCCGTGTCATCTAAAATGGAGGTGGGAAGAATCAGAGGACAGCGACAGACAGAAAGCAGCCCCCTGATGAGTGCCCAGAAAAATGAAACGATGAGCTCTTCACAGTTCTCCCCACCTCTGACTCGCCGGGTTCCACCCACAGACTCAGAGCCCCTCCCAGGAGCCGGGTGGTGAGGTCAGCCTGGCTCAAGGCGAGGACTCCAAGTTTTAAGCCCAATTAGACTCTCTCTTTGCTACTTGACCCTTGCTCTCTTAAGTAGTGTCTACACAACCCCAAATCATCTTATCAGTCGAATCCGAAAATTCAGCCAGTCATTTACCTAGAGGTCTGGGCTCCAAATCTTTGGACCAGTTTGAAAGGATGCTTTTATTGGATTGATTAAATTGACCAGATGGTTTTTTCCTTCATTTTGGCATGCCCTCAGGTCCATATCTGGTTACAGCATTTGAGCCTGAGGGTAGGGATGAATGAGGAGTGAATATGCATCTTTTAAACACAGGGTTCTGCTTACTGCACTTTGCTTTAATAAATTAGAGTAAGCCCACTAGGTTGCTGTGAACCACATCTATGGAAACAGACTCCTCCCTGTTGATGAGCCTTCTTTAGTAACAACTGCAATTTTTTTTTTTTTTTTGAGAGGTAGTCTCACTCTATCACCCAGGCTGGAGTGCAATAGCCTGATCTCGGCTCACTGCAACCTCCGCCTCCCAGGTTCAAGTGATTCTCCTGCCTCAGCCTCTCAAGTAGCTAGGATTACAGGCACGCACCACCACGCCTGGCTAATTTTTGTATTTTTAGTAGAGACGGGGTTTCACCACATTGGCCAGGCTGGTCTTGAACTCCTGATCTCAGGTGATCCACCCGCCTCAGCCTCCCAAAATGCTGCGATTACAGGCATGAGCCACTGTGCCTGGCCAGTAACAACTACAATTTATAAAGTATTTTACAGTTTATAAGGCCCTTCCACTTATCTATTTCTGCTAAAGCAGAACAATTTCTGAAATATATGCAAGAGGATTGTGGGATGAAACAAGGGGATTTTTCCAAGACTAATAAGGGACTGTTGGTATAAGTTAGAATTGGAACAATATGCCAACTGTAGCAAGCAGCCTCTAAAACAGCCCCCAAATGTCCCCGCCTCCTGGTATTCACACCCTTGTGTAATTATCTCACTTTGAGTGTGGGCTGGGTTTAATGACTCACTTCTGAAGAACAGAATATGGCAGAAGTGATGGTATGTCACTTCCAAGAGTCAGTTATAAAAAGTCCATGGCCAGGTAGAGTGGCTCACTCCTATAATCCCAACATTTTGGGAGGCAGAAGTGGGAGGATTACTTGAGTCCAGGAGTTCAAAACAAGGCCAGGGCAATATAATGAGAACCTTATCTCTCCAAAAAAATTAAAAATTAGCTGGGCACGTTGGTACATGACTGTAGTCCCAGCTACTTGGGAGGCTAGGGCGAGAAGATCCCTAGAGCCCAAGAAATCAAGGCTGCAGTGATCACACCCCTGCACTCCAGCCTGGTTGACAGAGTGCGATCTTGTCTCTAAAAATAAGTGTTTTAAAAATTTACAAGTTAAAAAAAGCACTATTGGCTGGGCAGTGACTCACACCTATAATTTCAGCACTTTGGGAGACTGAAGTGGGAGGACTGTTTGAGGCCAGGAGTTTGAGACCAGCCTGGTAACATAGCAAGACCCTGGCCCAAAAAACAGGACTGTTGTTTCCTTCTGGGGTTCATGCTTGCTCTCTCTAGAGCAAGGCAAGCACCACGTCACGAGGCAGCCCTATGGAGAGGCTCACGTGGCAACACCTTGAGGCTTGCCAACAGCCAGGAGAGTGAGCAGAAAAGCAGACCTACCCACTTTGGGCTGTGAGCCCTTGGCCAACACCGTGACCCCCTGACTGCAGCCCCATGGGGGACCTTGAGCCAGAGTCACCAACTCAGCTGCCCCTGGCAACCTGACCCACTTATAAACTGTGAGATAATAAATGTTTGTTGTTTTCAGCTGCTATATTTTGGGTAATTTTTGATGCAGCAATAGATAGCTAATATCCTGATTTTCACATGTATCAACCCCCCAGCTATTAGATCTCTATTAGATCTCCCCACATTCACTTAGATGTTAGCACACACATTCATTCAGTTCAACAGACACACACATGTAGGTATTTCATACACATTAGGATGCTAAACATATCACTCAACGATAAAATGTTATTTAAATGTACACAAAGGTTCTCAGATGGCATCTTACCCCAGGCTCCCGAAAAAGCAGAGCTTGATGTCAACCTCTTTTGGTAGAGAGAGAGTCCCACTGTGTTGCCCAGGCTGGTCTTGAACTCTTGGCTTCAAGCTATCCTCCCTCCTCAGCCTCCCAAAGCACTGGGATTACAGGCATGAGCCACCATGCCTGGCCTGAAGCAAATCGTATACCAACTCATTGCTATGATTCATTCCCAGAACCACAGCAGTGAGGTGGGGGAAGGGAAGTGAGGCAGGGAAGACAGAAACAAATACAAAGTTGTGTGTTACCGAGGTGGCTACAGGGTCACAAAAAAACACAGCCAGTTGTTTAGTCACACAGGAAGTCTCCAGAAAGACCATACTATGGTCTAAATGCTTGTGTCCCCCCAAAACATATGTGTTGACATCTTAAGCCCCAAGGTGATGGTGTGGAGAGGCCTTCTGGGAGGTGATTAGGTCATGAGGGAGGGGCCCTCATGAATGGGATTCGTGTCCTTATAAGATACCCCAGAGAGCTCATTGGCCCCTTCTGCCATGTGAGAACACAGTGACAGGACAACCATCTGTGAACCAGGAAGCAGGCTGTCACAAACGCTGGATGTGCCAGAACCTCAATCCTGGATTCTGGCCTCCAGAACTGAGAAATACATTTCCATTGTTTATGAGCCACCCAGACTATGGTATTTTGTTATAGCAGCCAAACCAACTCAGACAGTCCACATGCAGCCATGGCACCTTACACAGCCCAGGAGAGCCAGACAAAGTGAGTCATGTATTTCCTGGCTCTTTCCTGTCTCTTGTCCCTTCTTGGTCAAAGTTCACCCCATAGGATGTTAAAATTCCCTACACTTCCCAGTGGCGTTCCCCACCTCCTCCGGGCAGCCACTGGGGAAACCATGTCCTATGGCAAGTGGTCAGGTCGCCCAGCTCGGAGCTGTCGTGGCTATCCCCACAGCAGACATCACGGAGGCTTCACCAAGGTCTGGCCCTCGCTGGGGAGGCTGAGACAGATGGCAGTGTTAGGAGGCAAGGTGACAGAGAAAGCAGCTGGGGTTCTCTGCTGATCAGACAGCCAAGAACCAGAGGGAAGGTGAGACTAAGCAGATCGGGGCAGAATAGAAACTGGATCTGGGGAAGATGTACACACAGATGAAAACCTACTCATTGGGGTGCATGGTTATATTTGAATTGTGCATGGGTATGTATACATTTGATGTTACACGCATTGGCTCAGACTTTCTTATTTGTCCCTGAGCACAGAGCTGAGCCGCCCTGCATGGAGGCTTAGGAGAGGGGTTCTGAAGCTCTCAGCAGCCTTGTCTCGTGGAGCCACCCTTCTCCCTCGGGGGAATGCTACCTTCCTGGAAACTTAATATTGCTAATTCCATTGTCTGATTTCATATCATGATGTCACCAAGAAAACAGGAAAACGGGAGCTGACTCAGGATGCTGATACAACCTGGACCTGAACCACACCTACCATGCTCTGGTGCTGAGATAGCCCTCAGAGTTGCCCCAGATGGAGGCAAGGGGCCAGGCCTCTGTATTCCTGTATCAGCCGGTCACTGTCAAACCAACCCCTGAGAGGGATGTGAGGGAACAGCCTTGGAAGAAACAGTTCCCCATTGCCAAGAGCAAATCCCAGCTCTGAGCCACTTGCAACCAATATTCCCAGGAGCCTGGGGATGGGTGCATCAAGCCCACAAACAGAATCTGGTGGAATGCCACAGTAGCCACTGCAGTTGGCCACCATCTTGGCTAAACTTCCTATGTTAAGAATGACAACTTTGGGCCAGGTGCGGTGGCTCGTGCCTGTAACCCCAGCACTTTTGGAGGCCAAGGTGGGCGGATCACGAGGTCAGGAATTCAAGACCACCCTGGCCAACACAGTGAAACCCCATCTCTACTAAAAACACACAAAAAAATTAGCTGGGTGTGGTGGCGGGCACCTGTAATCCCAGCTACTTGGGAGGCTGAGGCAGGAGAATCTCTTGAACCTGGGAGGCGGAGGTTGCAGTGAGCCAAGATCGTGCCACTGCACTCCAGCCTGGGCGACAGTGCAAGACTCTGTCTCAAAAAACAACAACAAAAAAGTGACAAATTCATCTAACTCTGGTTTACCTCCAAACTTGAACACGCTGGTTCAGCCTAGACTTTTACCTCAGGGTCAAAAAGTCTTCCAATTAGGCATCACAGAAGATTCCCTAGAAGTGGCTTGATTGATCACATGAGGTTTCCCTCTGAGCTCAGTTGACTTCCTGATTCGCTAGAGCTACAGGGACAGGAGCACAGATAACCCCAATTTCCAAAAACATTTTCTGTTACAAATAATCCAAAATACAGGTTGTACTTCCGTAGCCACTATTCCTGGATTTGGTTGTACCTCCCGGAGCAAAGGGACAAACCCAGCAATTTGCCCCAGGCCAAGAACACTCCGTTCCTCTCGTTTCCCTAAATCTGAAGGCACTAGTAAAATAAAATAAAATAAAACAACCATACTCCTAGGTCAGAAAATCTCACAAAATCCCCCAAATGTGGTCAATCTCCTCTCATCACTCTCCTTCACCTACCTTTTTTTGTTGTTGTTTTTTTTTAAATAGACAGGGTCTCACTCTGTTGCCCAGGCTGGAATGCAGTGGTACAATCACAGCTCACTGCATCCTCAACCTACAGAGCTCAAGCGATCATCCCACCTCAGCCTCCAGAGTAGCTGGAACTACAGGCATGTACCATTGCACCCAGCGATTTTTTTAATTTTTTGTAGAGACAGGGTCTCACTATATTGCCCAGGCTGGTCTCAAATTCCTGGCCTTAAGTAATTCTCCTGCCTCTGCCTCCCAAAGCACTGGGATTACAGGCATGATCCACCATGCCAGGCCCCCACACCTACCCTTTATCCTTGCTCCTACAGTCCATGCTGGAACAAAGGCTGCAGGGCCCTGTCACTGTGCTCATGAAACCCCAAACCTGCACGCTCACCAGGCCTCCAGGAGTCTCCTGCTGCCCTAAATCAGAGCTTCTCGCAGTGCAATCTGAGGGCTTTGGGGTCTGACATGGGAGGAAATACATTCCCTATCCTGGATTTTTGCAGAGCAGCTGTTTTGGTGTTTGTCTTGCTGTTGGTTGTTAATCTGTTTCACATACTGGTCTGTATGTGAAACATAAAATGTTTACTGAAGAAAGGTCAAGAAAATACATTTGAGAACTGTTCCTCTTATTCAATATTCAAGTGATCACCATCCACATCGCATCGACCTCTGTTTCAGTAACTGGGCTTCCTTTCTATGGGCACAAGCTCATCTCTCTGATACTTGCTAATCACCCATTTTAACGCATTTAGACACTGCAAAGCCTCAGCAGTGTCTAGCCGGATTGCGTGGCTGTTTTTTTCATTGCATTCCTTTTACAGTTGCTTTCTAGCATGGCAAGCAGTATTTGCTCCCCATCAACATTTATGCCATAGTCTTCATTTCAAATAAATATATTTCAGATGTTTAAGTGAAGGAATTTAAAGAAAGCTATTAAGTAAATAATAGAGCAGGCTCACAGTTATAGCAAAAACCATGCAGGTGGTAGAGATGAATGCCATCCTCAGTGGAGGAGTTACTTCCTGCTGGGTGTTCCATCTGCGGTCCATCATCCAAGGACGCACTGTGACAGTTCTCCACCTGTTGTGCATAAGAACCAGAGACTTTAGTTCAACACGTTGGAAGTGAGGACCAGGAATCTGCATTCTTAACAGGTGCCTCTGGTTATTCTGATACTTGATTATCCTCTTCCCAGAATATCAATTCCCCAAGTCCACCAGACCAAGAGCTCCTTAAAAGCAAAGACCATGCCTTCCTCATACTTAGCTGCAGAATTTACACATGGCAGCTGTGTTAGCCTGTTTTCACGCTGCTGATAAAGACATGCCCAAGACTGGGTAATTTCTTTTTTTTATTATTATTATACTTTAAGTTCTAGGGTACATGTCCACAAGGTGCAGGTTTGTTACATAGGTACACATGTGCCATGTTAGTGTGCTGCACCCATTAACTCATCATTTACATTAGGTATGTCTCCTAATGCTATCCCTCCCCGCTCCCGCCACCCCACGACAGGCCCCGATGTGTGATGTTCCCCTTCCTGTGTCCAAGTGTTCTCATTGTTCAATTCCCACCTATGAGTGAGAACACGCAGTGTTTGGTTTTTTGTCCCTGCGATAGTTTGCTGAGAATGATGGTTTCCACCTTCATCCATGTCCCTACAAAGGACATGATCTCATCCTTTTTTATGGCTGCATAGTATTCCATGGTGTATATATTGCAGCACTATTCACAATAGCAAAGACTTGGAACCAACCCAAATGTCCATCCATGATAGACTGGATTAAGACTGGGTAATTTCTAAAGAAAAAGAGGTTTAATGGACTCACAGTTCCATGTGGCTGAGGAGGCCTCACAATCATAGCAGAAGGCAAAAGGCACATCTTACATGGCAGCAGGCGAGAGAGAGTGACAACCAAGCAAAGGGGTTTCCCCTTATAAAGCCATCAGATCTCGTGAGACTTATTCACTACCATGAGAACAATATGGGGGAACTGCCCCCATGATTCAATTATCTCCCACCGGGTCCCTCCCACAACACTTGGGGATTATGGGAGCCATAATTCATGATGAGATTTGGGTAGGGACACAGCCAAACCATATCAGCAGTCCTCAAATAAATATTTATGAAATACAGTCAGGCAGGTAAGACAGAATTTACACGAATTGCAAATGTGAAGCTGGGAAAGGTCTTTCCAGTTTGCAAACAGAAAGTGAAACTCAAAGAGGTTAAATTCCTTGGGTATGGCCCTTGGCTGGTAAAAGGCAGAGCTGGAACTGAGGCTAAATATCTGAGCTGCAGGCCAGCATTCTTTCCCTTACGGTCCTAGAGCACTGCTTCTTGAGTCAGTGATCCTCCTAGGTTGGAGATGGAGTTGACAGGACCTTAGAAGATCATGGGGACATATTCAGTTAGCTTGGTCCACTCTATTCTACAGCATAATTTTAGCACTGAATTTTGCATAAGTATAAGGGAGATAAAGTGAGGCCCCCTAGAGAGGTCTGCATGACTGGAGGATAAAGAACAAGCAAATCTACTCTAATGGGTCAGTAGCAAATTCAAAAAAGCATGTACCAGGCACTGAACGCACCCTGGAACCAAATGAATGCAATACCTTAGTAACGTAAAGAAGCTGCATCCCTCCCCAGCTTAGAAAACGTGAGAACCTGTGTAGCCATCTTTATCCCCACCGATGTCCTGAGTTATTGCTGTAATTGCAGGGCCTCATAAAACACATCCCCAGGAGACAGCACAGTGCAGTAGTGAACATGTAGGCTCTAGAGCCAGATGCCTGGGTTCAAATCCTGACTCTGATTCTCACTATCTCAATAATCTTAGTCATTTTTTTTTTTTTTTTTGAGACAGGGTCTTGCTCTGTCACCCAGGCTGAAGTGCAGTGGCGCAATCTCGGCTCACTGCAACCTACGCCTCCCAGGTTCAAGAGATTCTCATGTCTCAGCCTCCTGAGGAGCTAGGATTATAGGCATGCGCCACCATACCCAGCTAATTTTTGTATTTTTAGTAGAGATGGGGTTTTGCTATGTTGGCCAGGCTGGTCTCGAGCTCCCAACCTCAGGTGATCCACCTGCCTTGGCCTCGCAAAGGTTTAGATTACAGGAGTGAGCCACCGCACCAGGCCAATCTTAATCAGTTTACTTAGCATTCTCTTTACCTCCATTCTCTCAAGTGTAAAAGTGGGTAAATAGGAGTTCCTACTTCATAAAGTTGTTCCTACATCAAGGGTCAGAACAGTGCCACCTAACATGCAGTAGGCATTTGGTCAGTGTTAGCAACTATAATCACCAATCAATCAATAATCAGCAATCAAGCACCTATGTTAGGCACCATGAGAGATACAGAGCTGCCCTATAGGTACATGCAGTCTGAAGGAGGAGGTGCAAAGTCTACAAAAAATTACTGTAATTCAAGGGGAGACAGTAAGCATCCTAAGGTTGTGCATATAAACAGTTACCATGTAGGAGCATCTACTTTGAGGTAGATAGTCTAGGCATTCCCATTTGATAAGCCAAAGAACTAAGGCATAGTATGGTTACTTTACTTACCCACAATCACACAGATACTGAGTAGCACAGCCAGGCTTTGAAGATGGGCTTCTCTTACTGCAAAGCCTGTCCTCTTAACCGCAGTACAGGATACACATTGCCTGATAACATGCTATATGGTCAGTGCAGCTGTGACAGGTTCTAAATAAACTCCATCAATAGACCAACACTCCTCAGTGGTGACCTCACCAAACCCAATAAATCTCCAATGATGTGCTAAAAAATTAGTAATTCAATTAACTACTTAATTAGCTAGCAGATACGCTAATGCATTAAGAAGCCCATAATACCTAATTATACCTATTAGTACCAGCCTAATACTAATACCATTAGGCTGAGATTGGCCCAATGCATTCCTTGGTACCTAGAACAATGCCTGGTACATAGTATAGTATGCATTCAATAAATATCTGTTGACTAAACTTACTCCTGGTTTATGCTCATTTTTATGTTCAAATGTCTTTAACATTTTTATTATTAGAGTTAGTATTTTGTGTGTAATTAGGTGCCAGACCTTATAAGGACTACAAGCTTCCTAATATTAACACAACATCTGCCCTTTCCTAATTCTTCCATCAATTGATGAAAAACCAAGGATCAAAAGAAAAGTTTATATCTTGTGCAACTCTACCAGAAGCCTAAGAAAACACCTAGTCCAGGCAAGAACAAGGCAGAGACCCTTGGACGGGGCAGGGGCAGGGGCAGGGCCAGAGAGAAGGCTGATGGACTCTGAAAAGAACAAAACTTCCACAGCAAATAACATTTCAGCAGCCTAATTAAGAAAAGTGGACCGGGAATTAGAGATGGAGCCATCTGCCAAAAGATAAATTAGAACAGGTATGAAACCACTGACCCACTTTTCGTGTGCTATGATGTTTAGTAAGCACAGCCACAGTGCAACTTATGTTCCTATCAGCTGGTACGCAGAGAGAAGAAACCATAATAACAAACCATGCTCTAAAATGTGTTCTGGTCTCTTCTACCTTGCAAGGATGTATCTAGTCTCTGCACAACATGAACAGTCAGA
This sequence comes from Homo sapiens, assembly GCF_000001405.40. Classification (NCBI taxonomy): domain Eukaryota; kingdom Metazoa; phylum Chordata; class Mammalia; order Primates; family Hominidae; genus Homo; species Homo sapiens. The sequence continues at coordinate 3,410,012 of NW_018654717.1, forward strand.
ATCCTGGCAGGAAATGGATGACAGTGCAAGCCGGGTAAAAGAGGGGAGATAGCAAGAGATTATTCACAGAGGCGGCAGCAAGACTAGAAGAAACTAACAAGGGATGGTGCAGTACCCCGGGGCTAGTAACATGGAGGGTGCCTTACCACTCCAGGATCCAAAGGCACAAGGGATGGTCTTGGTGTCCAGAACCTGGAGAGAGTAGCTGTGTGGGGAGGGGCTCCTTAATAGGAGCTGTGACCTTTGGTTCTTGGGCATGGGGTGCAGCAATACAGCGAGGATAAGCCAGAGGAATAAACACCCTGCTACATTCCTCCTGGTGGTGCCTCCTGTGGGCCAGACCTAACCAGAAGCCAGAGGCCAGGGTGACCCAGAAGCACAAAGCAAGGTCAAAGATGGAGCATGGTTTAGGGTGGGGGCAGGTGTAGATGTGACATGGGTCTTGGTGTTCACGCACCTCCCAGGTATGTTCTCACCTTCTCCGTCCTACTTTCTCCTTATATAAATCACAACAAGGAGAGACCCCATGATCTCTGGCTTCTAGTTGGGTTTAGCCAATGGCAAAAATGAGAATGTGATCACGGTGTTGATTTTTCTGTTGTCTCTAGCTGCCGGTGCCCCTCCATGGAGAGAGGCTGACTACATAACTGTTTATTGAGGTTATGTACCTCTCCCTACCCTAGTCCCTTCCAAGTATCACATGATGTCTTTTACACGGTATATTAGTCTGTTTTCACACTGCTATAAAGAACTTCCTGCCTGGTCAACATGGTGAAACCCCATTTCCACTAAAAATACAAAAAATTAGCAGGGAGTAGTGGTGGGCGTCAGTAATCCCAGCTACTTGGGAGGTTGAGGCAGGAGAATCGCTTGAATCCGGGAGGCAGAGGTTGCAGTGAGTTGAGCTGAGATCATGCCACTGCACTCCAGCCCAGGCGACAGAGTGAGATGCCATCACACACACATACACACACACACACAAAAAAAGGAAGTTCCCTGAGTGATATGGTTTGGCTGGGTCCCCACTCAAATCTCATCTTGAATTCCCACATGTTGTGGGAGGGACTTAGTGGGAAGTAATTGAATCATGGGAATGGGTCTTTCTTATGCTGTTCTCATGATAGTGAATAAGCCTCATGAGATCTGATGGTTTTATAAACAGGAGTTCCCCTGCATAAGCTCTCTCTCTCTCTCTCTCTCTTTGCCTGCAGCCATCCACGTAAGATATGACTTGCTCCTCCTTGCCTTCTGCCATAATTGTGAGGCCTCCTCAGCCATGTGGAATTGTTAAGTTTATGTAACCTCTTTCTTTTGTAAACTGCCCAGTCTTGGGTATGTCTTTATAAGCAGTGTGAAAATGGACTAATACACTGAGACTGGGTAATTTATAAACAAAAGGGGTTGAATTCACTTACTCACAGTTCCACATGGCTGAGGAGGCCTCAGGAAACTTACAAGCATAACGGAGGGGGAAGCAGGCACCTTCTCCATAAGGTGGCAGGAGGAGAAAGTGAGCAGGGCAAACTGCCCCTTATAAAATCATCAGATCTTGTGAGAACTCACTCACTATCATGAGAACAGCATATGAGAAACTGCCCCCATGATCCAATCACTTCCCACCAGATTCCTCCCAGAATACGTGAGGATTGCATTTTGGATTACAATTCAAGATAAGATTTGAGTGGGGAAACAGCTAAAGCATATCACAAGGCGATATTTTTCTGCAATAATACATTCTGATTTTCATATATCTTCCATTTTCAATGGAAGTTAGTGAGAAGCTAGAATTTATTTACCAGAACTCCATTTTTACATTTTACAAACCCTGTTGGAATACATACTTTCCAGTACCTAAATGATACCTGGGAAGGAGGAGAGTTCACAGTAATACATGTTTATGATATTATACAAATGGGGAAAGATGTGAGCCAGAGAGAGAGCTTCCTTTCTCCAAGAAAGGAACTCTGCCATGGGCTGGCTCCTGACTTAAAGCGTAAGTAAATGTTACCCAGTACAAACGGTAAAAGCAAACTGGTCATCAAGCTTAACTATTCAGTAAATACGGATAGAGGGAAAGTCAATCCAAACAGGATTGAAATCTTATTGTTCTTTCCCACCTTAAAAAAGAAAATTTGCATGGCTCCCAATTGCACATTGGATGAAACAAAGTCTTAAGCATAAGCTCCAAAGTCCTCTGAGATCTGAGTCCAACCTGCTCTTTCTTCTTCCCTTGCTCTCCAAATGAATATCCTAAACCCCAGCTACCTGGACCACTACAGCACTGTTCCCTGTCGGTATCCTGGGCTTTACCTCTCTGTGGTCATGTAGTCCCCCTCCCTTAAATTATGCTTTCATCTTTGGCTGTCCAATTCCTACTTGACATCCAAAGACTTGTACAAAAATTTTCACAGCAGCTCAGTTTTTAATAGTCACAACCTGGAAACAACCCAAATGTTTATCAGTGGATGCATGGATAAATCATGGCACATCCACACGATGGAATTCTGCTCAGCAACAAGAATACACTTTTGATACGTGCAATAACATGGATGAAATCCAAAATCATGATGAGTGGAAGAAGTCGGATAAAAAAGAGTATAGACTGTATAATTCTGGGACCATACAACTCTAAAAAAATGTCAACTAATTTATGATGGCAGAAAGGAGCTCAGTTGTTGCCTGGAGATATCAGTAGAGAAAAGGATGGACTTCCAAGGGACTCAAAGACTCTTCTGGGGGGAGATGAAAATATATGTTATTCTGATTGTGATCATGATTTCAATGGTGTACACAAATTCCAAAACTGATAAAATCAAACACTTTAAATATGTGTGGTTTATCGTTTACCAATTATACCCCAATAAAGGTGTAAAAAAAATTATAAACAAAGTTAAACCACAAACTGCAAAAACCACTGCAGCGAACCAATAAAGGGGTATTATCTACAAGGTAATGAGGGCCCCAACAAATCAATTAAAAATACAGATGAAGCAATGGAAAATGGGTATAGAGCACATGCTCGAAAAAAACTGTTCTGTCTCAACAAAATGTAAAAATTCACCTTATTTACCGATGGCTTTGAAGGAACAGCAATAACTGTAAGGATCACCGGTGAGAATGTGGTCCTTCAGGTGGGAAGAGCACCCCTCACAGAGCATCCTAACCACACCTCCATCATCCTAATCACACCTCCATCATCCTAACCAGACCCCCAGCGTCCTAACCAGACCCCCATCATCCTAACCACACCCCACATCCTAACCACACCTCCATCATCCTAATCACACCTCCATCATCCTAATCATACACCCAGCATCCTAACCACACCCTCAGCATCCTAATCACACCCCCAGCATCCTAACCACACCCCCAGCATCCTAATCACATGCCCAGCATCCTGGCCACACCCCCAACCCTTCTAACTCATCCCTCCAAGCTCACCATCCTAGGTGCTACCTGGCCTGTCAGATCATCAAATTCCATATGTGAAACAGAAGTCCCACCCCACATGTACATATGTCCTTGAACTGTATTTTTTCAGTCCAGTCGTTTACTAACTTTCCATTTTGTTGAGTTGTTTTTTTTGTTTCTTGGTTTTTTGAGTTTTTTCTTTTTCTTTTTTTCTTTTTTTTTTTTGACAGGGTCTTGCTCTGTCATCCAGGCTGGAGTGCAGTGGTGCAATCATGGCTCACTGCAGCTTCCAACTCCTGTGCTCAAGTGATCCTCCAGCCTCAGCCTCCCAAGTAGCTGGAACTACAGGAGTGCACACCAGGCCCAGCTAATTTTTAAATTTTTTGTAGAGGCAGGGTCTTGCTCTGTTGCCCAGTCTCATCTGGAACTCCTAGGCTCAAATGATCCACCTGCCTCAGCCTCCCAAAGTTCTGGGATTACAAGCATCGGCCACTGTACCCGGCTTCATTTACAGTTCCATTACTCAAACCCAATGCAGAGAAGGGATTATTATAACCCTCAGGCCAGGATAGAGCTCCACCGAGGTTTGGACCACAGTGTGCATTGCTATGGTGAAGGCATACCTATCCTCCCCGCTGTGGAAACACAAACTCCTTGAGGCCACAAGGGCATCTGTTCCTGCCTAGCCCCTCCAAACGGAGCACATGACTTCCTGCCCTGCATCCAGAATCATATCTCGAGTTTTATTACGGCACTTTGCAAAACACTTCCAAATACTTTTTTTTTTCCTTTTTTTTACTTTGTTGTTGCTGCTTTCTTTTCTTTTTGAGACAGGGTCTCCCTCTGTCACCCAGGCTGGAGTGCAGTGGTGCGATCATAACTCACTGCAGCCTAGAACGCCTAGGCTCAAGCGATTCTCCTGCCTCAGCCTCCCAAGTAGCTGGGACCACATGTGAGCACCACTACACCCAGCTAATTTGTTTTATTAGTATTATTATTGCTGTTGTTGTTGTAGAAATAGGGTCTTGCTAGGTTGCCCAGGCTGGCCTCGAACTCCTGGCCTCAAGTAATCCTTCCGCCTCCGCCTTCCAAAGTAGAGGGATTACAAGTTTGAGCCAACCCTCTGGCTCGAACATTTTTCTTATTCAAGTTTCACAAGAACCCGGATCTGGTATCACAGTTAATGTTATTATCACCCGTATTTCGAATTTGATGACTGCAAAGACTTGCAGTTGAGTGACTGTCCCCGAGGTTGTCCGGTTCATCGGGAAGGGGACCTGAGCCTCCCGCCTCCTGCCTCCATGTGCATCGTTTTCGCCAGAGCCCCGACCACTTTTGGAAACCAGAGCTGCAGGCGAGTGCCGCTTTGTGGAGGGAGCTGAGGCGAGGCGAGGAGAGGCGTGCCGGGGTGGGCGCGGCCGGATGCAGGGCTGCAGGGTTCCTTCTCCCTCTTCCGTCCCCCTCTGCCTGACGGTTCCACTCCGCCCGCCCGCAGCGGACTGAAACTGACAGGCCCTCGGGCGAACTGGAGCAGAGGCGGGAGGGGGCGGGGACAGGAGGCGGAGCCCGCCTGGAAAAATCCCAGGTGGCCGTGGAAGGAATAAGGGGGAAACAGGAACATCTATAGGAAAAGAGACATTATGTGCACATTTTGTGTCTCCTTGGCTCTCCACCTTTTCTCCCTTTAAGCCTTTATTAAAGGGAAAAAAATGAACAGATAAATAGTTCGTTTATTAATTATTAACAAACAAGTGGCACTAATGAATAGCATCATTAAAGGGCATTTTGTGAATATTAATGTGTAGATATATTCTAAATAAGGTCAGCCAAGGTCTTTCCCATTCTTGTTCAAAAGTCATCTATCTTAATTACACCCCGTCCCCTAGCCCCACAATCACAACCCCGATTCGGCATTTCCTGTAGTCCTTAATCACATAGGACAGTATTAACACATGATTTTGACATTTATTTTCATTGTCTGTCTCTGTGCACTAGAGCACACGTTTTATAAAGACACAAATTTCTGTGTTTTGCACACTGATGTGAACGAGTACCTGATGATGCCGTAGGTGGGCAATAATTATTTGTGGAAAAAATAAAATAGACCGGGTGCGGTGGCTCATGCCTGTAATCCCAGCACTTTGGGAGGCCGAAGCAGGTGGATCACTTGAGGTCAGGAGTTCAAGACCAGCCTGGACAACGAGGTGAAACCCTGTCTCTACTAAAAATACAAAAAATTAGCCGGGTGTGGTGGTGAGCTACTCAGGAGGCTGAGGCAGGAGAATTACGTGAACCTGGAAGGTGGAGGTGGCAGTGAGCCGAGATCGCGCCACTGCATTACAGCCTGGGCGACAGAGCGAGACTCTGTCTCAAAAAAAAGAAAGAAAGAAAGAAAGAAAAGAAGAGAAAAAGAAAAAATAAAATAACACTATAAGTGACAGTGAGAGGGGTTCCCTCCATATGCCACCACCCACGTCCGGTATTCTTCCTTTCTATCATCAAGGGCTTGCGAGAGAGGCGAAGGGAACCTCGCCTCAGCCATGAGCTATGTCCTTCCCTCTGAGCAGGCTCTGGAATTCTCCACTGCAGAGCTCCTGGCTGCTACCCCCTGGCTCTCTGATGCCTTGGGCAGCATCCTCCCATGCAGACACATAGTCAGTTTCACAGTGGAAACAGCCCAGTGCTCTTATTTTACAGGACCTGGTGAGACAGAGTGGCCTTCCCAAGGGTACACAGTGAGCTCCTGAGTTCCTCTCTCCCTCTCTACCAGTGCACAGACACTTTGTCGGTCGGTGGACAATGGCCTGGCCCTTGGCAAATGCTGGAAGGTGGAAGCTGTATTGAGGTCTGGCAGCCTCCGCTGTCTGTGTTCTCTTCTCCTCTCACCCCAGTGCTGGTCTTTCCTCTTTCAGCCTTCCCAGAGCCATGATGTACTCAGTGATTCATCAGTGATTGCATTTGTCCAAGCAGACAAAACCCTTATTTGACTCCAGACTCCAGGGGAGGAGGCGCTGGCATAGAATTGCAGTCATCAGGGAGCTAAGTAGAAAGATATTTTGCAGAGGAGGATCATCTCATCCAAACTCTAATACGTGCTTTTTCTAAAGAGCTTCCAACTTTTTAAACCCACAGGACAGAGCAGAGTCCAAAGCCAGCGAGAGGAAACGACTGGCCCAGGATCTCTCTGGGAGTCAGGGCTGTAGGAATCCAGGTATTCTGATTCCCAGTTCTCCATCTACAGATTTTCTCTTCCCTCAATTATCAATATATCTTGAGCAGAGAAGAGCCGCATAAACAAGGAAAATTTCCGTCAGGTTTTGCCTGGATCTTTCTAGCTCGAAGTAAGCCTGACATATGGATGCTTATTCTCACTCCTACCTCGAACCTCATCATCAGAGGCTGCCAGAGTGAACTTACAGCAAGAGATAAAAAAAAAAAAAAAAAAAAAAAAACAGTCTTTAAAACAGGCCAGATCCTTTTGTGGTTCATAAGCATGATGATTGGGTTTTCAGGCGATTGTGTGAGATGTGCCTCATTGAAACCTTGTTACGATGTCTGCCCATTACCCATCTGATGGGAAGAAAAAGAAAAAAGGCCAGGGACAGCAGCTCACGCCTGTAATCCCAGCATCTTGGGAGGGTGTGGCAGGAGGATCAGTTGAACCCAGGAGTTTGAGACCAGCCTGGGCAATATAGCGAGACCCCATCTTTAAAAAAAAAAAAAAAATTAGCCTGGTGTGGTGCACACACCTGTAGGTGGGAGGATCACTTGAGCCTGGGAGGTTGAGAGTATAGTGAGTTATATTTGTGCCACTGAACTGCAGCCTGGGCAACAAAGCTCGACCCTGTCTCAGAAAAAACAAACAAACAAACAAACAAACAAACAAAACAGGCCACAATGATTTCTATGTGTTGAGCATCTAATATGTGCCAAGCACTTCCAAGTATCCATCCTCTGGCATAATCTACACAACAATCCTGCAACATCGGCTCAGAGACCACAAAGCCAGGAAGGATCAAAGCTGGCATTTACACTGAGCACTGCGTGACACCAGAGCCCACGTTTTTTGCTCCTTAAAATCTTAGCTGCAGTGGGCAATGTCAAAATGGAGAAAAAGGCCTTCAGGGAGATGACCCTCTTGTTCCTCAGAGGCTGCCAACTCCAAAGGAGTCCCTTCCATCCCACATTTCTGGGTTAGGTTTTCCACAGCTTCTGTTGCCATGGTATTAGGGGCTCTTATCACCATTTGAAAGCCCAGAAGAGGAAAATAAGAGGTTCAGCTCTTTGATTCAAGAGGTGACCAGTTCAGTGGCTGAGCATGGTGGCTCACACCTATAATCCCAGCGCTTTGGGAGGCCAAGGCAGGCGGATCACCTGGGGTCAGGAGTTCAAGACCAGCCTGGACAACGTGGTGAAACCTTGTCTCTACTAAAAATACAAAAATTAGCCAGGCGAGGTGGTGGCCACCTATAATCCCAGCTATTGGGGAGGATGAGGCAGGAGAATAGCTTGAACCTGGGAGGCGGAGGTTGCAGTGAGCCGAGAGCCGAGATCATGCCACTGAATTCCAGCCTGGGTAACAGAGGGAAACTCTGTCTCAAAAAAAAAAAAAAAAGAGCTGACCCCGACCAGTTCTTTTAAAAGATCAACTCGATCTGGTCTTTGAATGAGGATTAGAAATTAGAGACAGATGATGGCATTTGCAGGCCTCGAAGTTATTCAGCTTCTTGCTCTAAGAAGTTCTGTTTACTTTTCAGACATGATCTCATTCTCCTCCCCAGGATCATAGTGGGAGAGCAGAGAGGGGACAGGGACAGTTCTCTGTAGGGTCAGACAAGGAGTGAGGCTGATGCCTCCACCCCTGTGGCAGAACCTGCTCCCTCTCTTCTCTTCTCCTGCCTGGCGTGAAAGCTAAGGCTATCACACCACTGGCACTGTTACAGGTAAGTTGGAATTTACATGAGAGCCATGGTTTGCCCCATCAAGTTTAAAAGATCAAGAAAAAGGGTCAGGTGTGGTAGCTCATGCCTGTAATCCCAACACTTTGGGAGGCAGAGGTAGGTAGATCACTTGAGGTTAGGAGATCAAAACTAGCCTGGCCAACATGATGAAACCCCGTCTCTACTAAAAATACAAAAAATTAGCCAAGTGTAGTGGCAGGCACCTGTAGTCCCAGCTACTTGGGAGATTGAGGTAAGAGAATCGCTTGAACCCAGGAGGCAGAGGTTGCAGTGAACTGGAATCTTTCCACTGCATTCTAGGTGAGGCAACAGAGTAAGACCTTGTCTAAAAAAATAAAGAAAGAAACAAATAAGCCCCCAGGTCTCTAGACTATTAGAGCTGAGAAGGACATCCCTGTTCTAAGTTTATCCTCCTACCCAACACCCACCTGGCATCTTCCACAGGGGCAAACAGTAGCCCACAGAGATGAAGCGAATGGAAGGGAAGGAGTTTCTGTTCAAAACAGCCTCTAGGTATCATGTCCCCCTTTCCTGCTCCAGTGAGGAACATTTTCCATGCCCCTTATAAGATGCTCAGCGTATGCTTTGTTTCATCATTCTCTCATTTGATTTTCTCCATACTGTGGTCTGTGTCCCTCCAAAACTTCTGTTGAAATCGTAACCCCCACGGTGATGGCATTAGTAGGTGGGGTCTTTGGGAGGTGATTAGGTCACGAGGGTGGAGTCTTCAGAGTGGGATTAGTGTCCTTATAAAGGAAACTACAGAGAGCTCATTCACCCCTTTTGCCAGTAGGGATACAGCAAGAAGAATTTGCCATCCATGAGCCAGAAAATGGGCCCTCACCAGACACCAAATCTATCTTGAGCTTGGACTTCACAGCCTCCAGAACTGTGAGAAATAAATTTCTGCTGTTCTTCAGCTAAGCTGCTTATGGTCTGTTCGTCAATTTCCCCATCTGTCACATCTCCATTGGTTACAGCCGCCCAAATGGACTAAGACCCTGTGTGACGCTGCTTGCTCTTAGCACAATGATACAGTGAAAAGAAAACGCCCTTTGGAATCAGACAGACTTGGGTTTAAAGCTCAGCTCTCCTTGCATTGAATAGCTGTGTGATTTTAGCAAGTTATTTAATATTTCCTCAAACTCAGGGCTGAGAACAGTCTGGACAGGCCCATTTTAAATCCAACACTCTCTGGTTCTCTGTCCTAGATTACTTAAAATAAGGTACTGGAGGACTCCGACTCTTTGCTTTGTGTGTTGATATTCTAGTACTTGTATTTCAAATGTTTTTAACATTCAGCTTTGAATTCCATGTCTCAAATTTACCACGTTTTTATACTTAGAAACTGCGGTTTACATCACATTGACCAGTTCTCAATACAGAGGGATCTGTTGGGAGTTCTGAAACAGAGACACGTACCAATTTCCAACTTGGCCAGACCACTCAAAGATGAAAGGAGAAGAGACAGAGCTCTTGCTTATGGAGCACGCTTTTTAGTAATCAGCTTCCCATTTTGTAGGTAAGGCCAAGGATGTCAAACGGTGTTTGTTTAGGCATCTGTGAATTAGCACTCCCAGCTCTTAGCCCAAACTGCAGAGGAAAATTCATTTGGAATTTCCAGTAGTCCCAGCCTTTGGCAGCATATAAATTAAAAAGAAAGAAATGGCCTGGGGGTGCAATTCTAGAACATCCTAGCACAATCAGTACACTCAAAAATTGAGCACATTAGACACTATTTATTTATTTATTCATTTATTTATTTACTTATTATTTTTTGAGACAGAGTCTTGCTCTGTCGCCCAGGCTGGAGGGAGGGGCACGATCTCAGCTCACCGCAACCTCTGCCTCCCAGGTTCAAGTGATTCTCCTGCCTTAGCCTCCTGAGTAGCTGGGATTACAGGCATGCGCCACAACGCCCAGCTAATTTTTGTATTTTAAGTAGAGATGGGGCTCCACCATGTTGGCCAGGCTGGTTTCAAACTCCTGACATCAGGTGATCCATCCACCTCGGCCTCCCAAAGTGCTGGGATTACAGGCATAAGCCACCGCACCCAGCCTAGACACTATTTAATAAGAATTCATCCAATACTTTATTCATATGTTTAGACTAAACGCTCTACTTACCTGTTGTCAGAATCACTCTCAAACTGGTAGGGTTTGGAGAGCTAAGTAACATTCTAATAATTCAGCAGCTGTAAGTTTTCACACTTAAAACCTTTGGTGCCCAACAGGCCTGAGTTAAAATCCCTGAGCAGGCCGGGCGTGGTAGTTTCATCGTTAAAAGTAACTTTGTTCTTGTTTATATCATGGACTTCCCCAACCCTGAAGGAGAAGGAAAATATCTATCTCACAAAATCTTGCACGTGGGAAGTGCTTCGCATTATTTCTGGGCTGTATGTTATTATTGGATCTATTTGAAATATGGAATTAATCTCCTTGTAGCCTCTTTTGTTCCTCAGTTTCCCCATCTGTCATTTATTTTCTAGTTTCTATCTAGTGGTGTATCAGTCACCTATCTACAGGTGTGAGGAATCAAGCAGTCTCTAAACATGGCTTCCTCCATTGTCTGTCACTCCTGTGAAGCAGGCAATACCCCAGAGTCAAGAGGAGGAAATTATTGTTCCAGCTGAGAGGTCATAAGTTAAAGAGCCTTGCATAGAACGGTAAACATGATATCCTCTCAAAATGCTCCTTGCAGGAAGACTAATAAATGTCACCCCAAGGAACCCTTTATACACAGGATCTTGGGCTTCAAAACTGGATTCCAAGGAGTTTTGAGTCCTTCTATTAAGTTGGCGCAAAAAATAATTGCTTTTAATGGCAAAAACCACAATTACTTTTTGCACCAACCTAATACTTGCCAAAGATCTCCTTCCCCGGTAGGACCTTTGTTCAATGTCACTACAGGACATCCTTCCTACCAAAGCAAAGAAAACAACACAAATCAAGCAATTAAGTTATAAAATAAGGCTTGGCACCTAGAGGAAATAGGACAATGATTAAGAAGGAATCCGAACACCTAATAGAATCCACAAACTGGCAGACTATGTCCTCAACCTACTGCCACCGAATGTCATCTGACACAAGTGGCTAAGAATGGCAGGAGTGAGTTTTCAAAATGCTGTTGGTTGAAGAAGCACCATAGATTATTTTGGGGTACTACTTGTGGGGTTCAATAGCAGGTCAAATTTGCTTTGTATCTCTGACAAATGACCTAGACCCATCTCCTGACAAGCAACTGAGTCTATCAGAATGCGTTTAGCTGCAAGTAACAGAAACCCCTGTTCAATCAATAAAGAACTTTATTAGCTCACATAACAGGAAGGCCAGTAGAAATGCAGGTTTTCAGAATTGATTGATTTGGTGGCTTGGCAGTGTCATCAAGGACTCGGGTTCTTTTCATCTCTCTTCCCTGTCATCCTCAGAGTTGGCTTTAATAATAGAATGGCAGGAATAATTCTTAGCATCTCATCCAACCCTTCATCATCCTTTAGAGGCAAGAAAGCCTTTTCCTGAGACCTTGCAGTACTAACCACCAGCCAAGGGGAAATATACCCTTTCCCCAGTCAAAACCACTCTGGAGCTGAGGGTGAGGTCAGCTCTCCACAGGCACATGGTTACATAGGGAATGGAGGATACATGAACAAGATTGGGGTAGTGTTAAAAAAAAAAGAGGGGGGAAATAGAGTGATCATTGCACAAACCATGCTAGGACACAACGGAATGACTACTGAGCGATTAAAAGCCTGTAGGAGCATATAGGCAAGAATTGCATTGTCCTCAGACTGAGTAATGATATGGCTTACCCTCCTTTCGAGGCAACACAAGGCAGTCTGTCTTAAGAATGCTAAAGGAAAGTCAAATCATCCCAAAGATGTGACAGCAATGAGTGGAAGTGACATGAAGGGAGCTGGGGGATGGGTGGAAGCACATGACAATTACTCATACAGACCCACAGGCTTTCTGCAAGGTCCTGAGCTGTCTCCCTGCCCATGGGGAATGGCGAGGAGGGGATGTGTCACTGGCTGTTTCCAGCAACACTGTGACTGCCTGATAAACCAATGGTGTCAGTGTGAGTGTCTCTGGCTTATTAAGTTAATGGAGGAAGTAAACTTTTTTTCTGAATATGGAATGGACCAAAGCCAATCACAGGCAATAGCCAACTCAAAGTAGGATGACAAGTTTCCCTTGGAAGTGTCCTGACATCACTATCTGCAGACTCCGTGATGGGCATGATTTGACATTTTTCTAGCCCACAGTGATTAAAAGACAGAAATGCGTATTCCTTCCCATCAAAGACTTTGTAGGAATGATTATTATTAATTATTATGGCTCACTTTACAGTTAACAAAACAACTTCCCATACATGATCCTATTAATTTCATATAACTTAGGTATTTGTTGTTATCCTCCTTTGTAGTTGAGGAAACTGACACTCAAGGAAGTTAAATAACACACTCAAGATTACACAGTTGGTGAATAACTCAACCTATACCCAGAATGGCCTTTCATAGAGGTAGAACATCTACTTGTCTTTCTTGCACAATGTGTGGCATCTCTGAGGTCCTGAAGGGTTGTAGAGGCTATCTTCCACCTTGATCTGAAATTGAGCTTGACTTTCCTACTAGGAGGAACATCCCATTGAGCTAAGGCACCACGTCTCCAAATGAGTCCTACCGAAAGGTCCACATACTGCCTGGAAAATGGAAAAGAAACTGGAATCCTATTCTCTGCCAATTATACTTTAGTGGGCTGCCATGCCTTCCCTTCAATCCAGAGCTATGTAGCCAGCTCTCACATGGAAATCAGAGGGCCAGGGGTCCATGGAAAGAAACAGTTACTTAGATGTAAGGGAATGAGATCAGTTATGAGGAGAAGAAAGAGATGCTACAGGATTTTATCCTCCTTCTCGTAGGAGTGACGCAGGCTGCTGGAAAAGGAAAAGGGAGCCTTAAAACCCAAAGGATACACAAAAGGGAAATGATTCCAAGCCTGGAGGAAAACCCACAGGAATCTGAATTACACCTCTGGGTGCTGAGCCTTCCTTAAGGCCCCGAGTTTCAATCATCAGCACAGCTTGCCGAGGACATTGAATCAAACATTCAGAACTTCCCAGTCTAAACAGCGGCAGGCAGAGGTCCCAGCTTTGTCTCCAAGGGGACCCTCTGGGCGCTGTCTTCGGTACTGAAGCAGCACAGCCTGATGCCTGGAACACGCAGAGGCATCAAGGACCTTTCCAGGCTGCTCCATGCTCTGCCTCTGATTTAGCTTCAAGGTTGTAGCAATCCCTAAGCCTGGAATTCAGCTGCTTAAAAGGCAGAATTGGGACAACGTGCCTAAATCTCTACCTCTAGCTTTACTCCCATCACTGACACCAGCTTCTTGAAGGCGTAGAAAAATTTTTGAAGCTTCAAGAACTGTACCAGCCAAACTGCCAGGTCAGATAATTTGCCAATAACATTCCAAAAATCCACTTTTCTAGTCCCATTTTCCCTCTCAGTGGATCTTCCTTTCCCCATCTCAAATGCTGCTCTCTTACACTGGGCCTCTTCCACATCGCGCTTCCAACCTCCTCTTGGAAGAGGATCGGGGAGATATCTTTTATAAACCAGAGAGAATTTAAGTCAGTGTGGGCCTCCGTTTAAAACCTTACATTCAGCCAGGTGCAAGGGGTCACGCCTGTAATTCCAGCACTTTGGGAGATTGAGGCGGGAGGATCACTTGAACTCAGGAGTTCAAGACCAGCCCAGGCAACATGGCAAAACCCCATCTCTACAAAAAAAAAAAAAAAAAAAAAAAAATACAAAAATTAGCCAGGCTTGGTGGTACATGCCTGTGGTCCTAGCTACTTGGGAGGATCAGATGGGAGAATCACATGAGCCCAGGAGTTTGAGGCTGCAGTGAGCTATGATTACACCTCACCACTCTAGCCTGGGTGACAGAGCAAGACCCTGTCTCTAGAAAAAAGAAAAGTAAAAAATGAAAACCCTTGCGTGCCATGGAATGAAAAGTTATGCTGCCACTTGGGAAATGTATTTTGAAGGCAATAAAAAGGTATTTCTCAAGGCTTATAATGCCACACCCATGGGCAGCTTCCTATTGTCCATACACATGACCAATGTTCATTACTCTCATCATTGCACAATGTAAAGGGTTTTGGTATTATAGGGAGAAAACACATTTAATTTACTGTCAACCAAGAATATTTAGTTATTCAAGTGAAACACAAGAATGACCAAGACACAATCTCTGTTCTCAAGGCATTCCCAACTTAGTTGGGGGAATGAATGGTGGATTGCAAACTAATAACTTACCCACCAAGACATAAGCCAAGTTTCATAGGAGTCCAGTGACCTGCCTAGAGGACCTAGGCACAAATCTTGAGAAGGAATTTACTAGGTTAGCAAAAGGGGAAAGAAAAAAAGTACAAGTTTTGAGGTTAGAAGACCTAGGTTCCAATCCTAATTCTGCCAACTAGGATGTGATCTTAGGACAGTCATTTTAACTTATTTTTCTTTATCTGTAAAATGAGAATAATAATAATATCGAGTTTCCATAGAGATGAATTGAGGTAATAAAAAAACATACTTTATAAACTGCAAAGCACTATTAAATAAAAAGTTAACCATTTCTGACTGTTCAAGTGACAATGCCTAAGCTTGTATGTAAGTGCAGTGAAGGTAGGGCCAGGTCCCCCTAGCTAGTTACAGTGCCTGGCATAGCATCATGTTCTCAGGGACATGTATCAAGAGCCTTTTGATTGCAAAAGAGCTCTGACTTGGGGAAGAAAAACTACAATGTTTGTCCTCAGTGGCCAGTTCTGCCCAAGCCACCCCTGGGGTGTGGGGCAGAGAGGTGCAATGGAAAAAGGGCAGCTTTCACAGGAGGAGTTGGCCTACAACAGTAGCTCCAGATGGAATTTCAGCTGGAAGCATACAGAAGCAGCTGAGCTCAAAGAAACGACTGAGGTTTTCTGGACCTCCTCTCTGGCTAGTGGACGAGATGCATCAGAGAGAAACAGAGGACAGGTGGTGCAGGCAGAAGGTAAGGAGAAGGGATGAGTAGAAGCAAAAGAGAGGTCACGATGGAGGGTCACATTCCAAATCTTTTGCTTGGGTGGAAATTTTTAAGGAATACAACTGTCACTGTGTATCTCCCCATCCTCATGAAGAAATACTTTTTAAAAAGAAGATAACCACAGATTATTAAAGTTGGATGAGACCTTTAAAATTATCTAATCCAACATCTTCATTTCACAAATAAGATTAGGGCCAAGAGAGGTGAAGTTCAAAGTGAAAAAAAAAAATGAGTTCCTGATGAAACAGAACAAGGAGTCAAATCTGATCCACAGGTCACTTTGTTTCTCACTACTCAATAATTGAAAGAAGGTAAAGTTTGAGGTGCTGTAACAAATAAACACAACACTGTGGAGACCTAATAAATAAATAAATAAGGGTTTTTTCCCCACATTAATGTAACAGTCACAATATGAGTAGCATATTGGTTTGGATTGTCCAGGAAATAAACTAATTAGGAGACTTGCATGCTAGAGGTTTACTGGGGAGTACTCCCTGGAGCAGCAACTGGGCAGAGAGATTGTTGCAGTTGCAACAGAAGCTTCAGCCAATGCCCCATGGGGCTCTGATGTCCCTTTAGAGTTGTCTAAAACTGAGGCATGTCCAATTTAACTTAGCACTGTCCAATCATTGGATGTGGGATGCTCCTGGGGGAGGGAGTGCAAATTCTGGTGACGCAGCTCTCTTTGGCCAAGAGCAATTCCTAAAGATGAATTCAAATGTGACCCATCAGGTGCTAATGCTCCCAGAATCTGGGAGGATGAGTGCTTCAGGACTAAAGGGGAAGACCTGGGAAGCCCTACCACAGTATCAACTACAGTAGTCCAGGTTTGGGGTTGGAGATAGGACAGCAGCTTTGCTCCACATAGTGATTCAATGATCTAATCACTGTTCAACCATCCCTTAAGAATCATCATTATCCACATGTCCAAAGCTGGTCATCATCATGTCTAGGTTTATGCCATGGGAAGGAGAAATACAGCACGATAAGAACACACTACTCTATTAATAAACAGACCTGGAAATGGTTTGGATTCCATTGACAAGAACTCAGTCACATGACTACACTTAATAGCAAGGTAAGCTGGGAACTGTAGTCTTGCTAGGCAGCATGCGCCCAGCAACAGTTCTGCTGTTATCAGAGAACATACTAAGAAAGAAGGCCCTAAAGTGCCGTTTATTTTTCGGGGACTATATGGTTAAAATGATCTCTTCCTGTTTTAATTCCTCTTTTTGGAGGTGGAGAACACATACTCCTTGAGCTTCTTCTACCCTGTTATTCTTCCTGGAGCCAAATTTACTCCAGAGATAATCACTACCTCCAGTGGCCAAGCCAGACTGTTCTCTGGATGGGGGTCTTTCTTGATTGCCCTTAGAGTGACCCAGAAAACTATCAAAGAGTCCTTTAGAGACTATCACTCTATTCCAGAGAAAGCTGGGGTTCTAGATTTCTCCAGGAAAATCTGCAGGGCACAATGACTTCAAGTCTGTGTCCCCACCACCCCCGTGAATGTCATCCCAGGGTGAGCTACAGAGACTCGCCCTAGGAAGCCTGGCCTAAGTCATAATTTATGAATATTCTGTCTCTCTCTCTCCCTAAGTCTGTCTGATCATAAGCAGCATCTCTTCTGCCTCAATACCCAATATGACTTGATCCCATTTATTTCATATCAGAACACTGTAACTTAAGTGCTGTTGAAGAAAGAACTGATGTTTTCAAGATCCAGAGAGGGACTTCTGAGTCTTCCATCTAAACTCCTAGAACTGTTTTGATAGTTCTGGTTCTCTGCAACTCAGCAAAGCCCACTGAGAATACAATGTGGAAGCATTTTTCATTCTTCCGGTTTATAATCCTATGGTCATACTAAACCCCAGAAGGCATCCTTCTCCTGGGTCTCCAATCTGGAGAATGAGGAATGGGAATCTGCATTTGAGATGTTTGTAGCAGTCATGCAGGGGGCATCGCTGGAGTCAGAAATGTCTATATATGACCATGTGACCAGCCTACCCTGCCCAGGACTCCAATCACAAAATAGGAATAATCAGGCCTATTCTTTTGTGTTTTTTGGTTTTGTTTTGTAATGTTTTGTTTTGTTTTTGAGATGGAGTTTCACTCTTTTTGCCCAGGCTGGAGTGCAATGGCACAGTCTCGACTCACTGCAACCTCCGTCTCCCGGGTTCAAGCGATTCTCCTTCCTCTGCCTCCTGGGTTCAAGTGATTCTCCTGCCTCGGCCTCTAGAGTAGCTGGGATTAGAGGCGCGTGCCACCACGCCCGGTTAATTTTGTATTTTTAGTAGAGATGGGATTTCACCATATAGGCTGGGCTGGTCTCGAACTCCTGACCTCAGGTGATCTGCCCGCCTCAGCCTCCCAAAGTGCTGGGATTACAGGCATGAGCCACCGCACCTGGCCTATTGGGCCAATTCTTATTGTGAGCACCAATGAGATCTATCCTTCCTGAAAGTGTCCTTAGAGCTGTAGGTGAGTACAGCTCTACACATGAAGAAATTCTTCCAGATATCAGCATCCTCACTTTGGTTTAGTCCATTTTGGCAACTTACAAAGCATGTTTATATCCATTAACTCAGTGGTTTTGAAAAAAAACAACAAAAAAGGTGCAGCTACCCCAGGAGATATGCAGAACCATCCATGGAAATGCAGGAAGGAAAATATCAGAGCCTACCTATAATCTAAAATATCAGAAAGGGAGTTTTATTAATATTCAATATGTGGGTTGACACTGATGACTTTTTTTGTCTGTGTGTCAGTAGCCCAAGTGTCACTTCCAGGAAACACATTATCCTGAGGGAAGAGCAAGAGTTCCACAATGTGAGAGGGGTAAACGAAGTTCCAGATTATACATACTGGTTTTAATTAAACTCACCCCCAACAAAGAGGATGCTTGGCTTAGAAAGATTCCTGCAAAGAAATCCCTAATGAAAGTGAATACTAATAACACGAGCAACCTGACAAGGTAGAACTGACAGGTCTACTCCTGGTTAGAGCTCTTTGCAACCACATTACAAGATTACAATGACGGCTTATTCAGATCCAATATGAAGTTGGCCAAAAAATTTTTAAATTATCACATGGTTAAAAATGTGATTTAATATCTACTATTATTAATAATGAACCTTACCCTAAATGTATATTAAGACTTGAGATAGTTGGCTAATGGTATAAGTGCATTATATAATTTACAAATATATAAATATACATACATTGGGAGGCAGAGTAAAATTTTTACCAATGGGGATCATAAAAAGATTTAGAGAGCATTGTCATAAGTCATCTAAACAATTCTTTTTCTAATTTATATTTTTACTTTAAGTTCTGGGGTACATATGCAGGATGTCCGGGTTATAATCACACCGTGAGTCATATTATTTTGCAGATGAGAAAACTGAACCTAAGGGTGGCAAAAATGCCCGGAGACCATCGGCTACAGGATTTATGTGGAAGCGAAGACTAGCCAATAGAACTGGTACCCCAAAAGCTGAGTGAGCAATTCAGGGAGACATCTGTGGAAATTAAAACACAAACTCCTCCCCCAAAGCTAATGAGTCCTAGGCTCTGTCCTGTTCTACTCCAAATGGATTACGCCAGGAAAGCCAGCACCACAAAGAATAGCTCATTCTATCACCCCTGAATGATGTTGCTCTGAACCCTAGAAGCCTGCAGAAATGTCACCCTTTAAGAGAAAAGCAGGCATTTGCCCTAGGATGCTTTAAAGACCCTGTCATCATCACCATCAACAAACACTTAGAAATGTTGCCTTACTATGCAGGTCTGGAGCAGGAAGAGAGATCAGAATCCCAAGCGATTCAATCTGACTGCAAAAAGGGCTCTGATCTGGGCAAAAGCCAAGGTTTCTCACATTCATCCCTTTGGGGCTTGCAATGTTTAAAAGTAAATTTCCCCCCACCACTAGTACCCACTGTGTGGAACTAGTCATGAGAAGAATGGATACCCATTTCCCTCTGCAGCAATCCGGTCTGCCTCCCGAAGCTCAGAAATGTGCTGTGCTCAGCATTTCTGTGCTGATGCAGCATCCATGGTAGAAAAGGCAGGGGCGGCCGCAGCGCCGCAGCAGCAGTTGCTCTAGGGGGTGGAAATCAGATTGCACCATTCCTACCTCATTTGGCAGCAGAAGCATCGAGTCACAAGGAGGATGAGGTTCTAGCCCAGAAGCAGCTGGGCTATGTCATTCTAAAGGTGGTGAGTAAAATGGCTATTCACTGGGGCATCAGGTTTTCTTTCATGCTATTTCCCTGAGTGGAGAATCTGGGTCTAGAAGGGTGTGTGTGTGTGTGTGTGTGTGTGTGTGTGTGTGTGTGTGTGTGTGTGATGGTACACATGTATGGCACTTACATTTTCACTGAGCAGCAATACTTGCAAAGCTGTGAGTGCAATAACTAAACAGATCATGGTGTTTTCAAGCGGGAAGGGGTCAGAAATCACGTATTCAACCCCCTTGTTTCACAGAAGAGGATTCTGAGGTTCAGAGAGGTAAAGCCGTGAGATTACAAAGCTTGTAAGTGGCCACCTCTAGAACCCAGTGCTCCGATTCCTGGTACAGGATTCTTCCTATTGCTCTACATGGGTGAGCAGTGACTGCCTGTGTGCCAAGTGACCTGTGTCCCCGGGTATGAGACTGAAACCTGCATTTGCAGCATTAGTGTCACTGAGACAGGTCTCGATGTTTCCAGTAAACATGGGAAGCCATTTCTGACTAACTGCAACCTGGGGTGCCGCAGCAAAACAGCAGCACGTGTTTGCTATAAAGTGCTCCATCCTAATGGCTACCTCCTCCCCCGAGGTTATTCTCCAGGTCACGTTGCAAACAAAGTGTATACGGCACCAGCAATTCTTCCCAGCAGAGTCAAGTGGGCTGTTGATAGGGCTGGAGAGTGTGTTTCATCAATGATATCCTCCTTTTCTTGCAACAAGTATTTGCTGAACACCACCCATATGCCAGGTTGTGTGCAAGCCACTGTCACGTTCTTTATGTTATTTAAAGCTCACCATGCTTTGCGAGGTATTACTATGCATACCTGACCAGGAAGCAGACTGAGCCTAGGTAAGGTTAAACAGTGCAAGCTATTTGAGGTCTCTTAAAAATTTCTAGTTTCCCTAAGAATTATGGTTTTAAAACAGTTATTTTCCATGATCTTCCTTACTAGAATCACCATTGCTCCTAAACTGGAAGGGGATGTTCTTTCCTTAACAAAAAGCAATTATCTGCAACACTTTGGATCAGATGTGCAGTCGGAGAAGGGAAAATGACATTGAACATTGGAGACCTTGACTCTCAGTTAGCAACTGCGTGAGCTTTTGAGGTTTTCTCCAGTTTTTCTCCCATTTCTCTGGGTTCTCTTTCAAGTTAAGATTGCACAATATGTTCAGGAATCTTGGCTTTTTAAACCGGCTCTACCCCTAATTATGTGATCTTGAATAAGTCACTCTACTTATTTGGGTCTCAGCCTTCTCACTGACAAACTGACGACTAAAAGAAAATGATCTCCATCCTCCCTTCAAGCACTGAAATGTATACGTAGGCATTCACTCATTCACTCACTCAAGCATTATCTTGCGTTTCCATGACATGCTAGATGTGACACTGGTGGTGGAAGGATTTTAGAAATAACCTCCCCCAGCCCCACACCTTTCAGCTCTGGAGAGGTTATTTGCCAACAGTTATAGTTCCAGTCAAGCCCCATCAAAACTGCCCAGCATGCGTTCCAGGAACTAATCATTAGTTCAAATCATTCAGAGTTGGGAAAAAATTTACTGTGTCCCTCTGCTGGCTCTAAATGATTTAAATTCTCGTTCCTCTTGCCATTTCCTATATTAACATTTATTCAGTGCGTAGTCAATAAAACACAGTGCCAGGCACTATGTTAAGCAGTTTTCATGCATTACATCATTTAATCCTGACAATAATCCTATTCAGTACATAATATGATTAGCCCTGATTTACAGATGAAGAAACTGGCAACTTGACCAAAGTTGCATAGTCAAAAAAAAAAAAAAAAAAAAAAGCAGTGGGGATAGGGTTTCTGTTTGGGATGATAAAAAAATGTTCTGGAAATGGATGGTGGTGGTGGTTGCACCACATGTGAGTATATTTAAGGCCACTGAATTATACAATTTAAAAAGGTTAGGATGGCAAATGTCATGTATATTTTACCACAAAAAAAGAAAAATGTAGTGGGGGAACTTCAGCCCAGATTAGCACCCAACTCCAAAATCACCTACCCTACCCTTAACCACTCCTCAGCCAGTGCTACCAGACAGGACTCAGAACTCAGAAATAGAGTAGGTGCCTCTACAAAACCAACAGCTGAAGGGATGTGTTTCCTCTCCAAAGAAGGGCTTAAGAAATTTTTCTTTCAATTATTCTTTCTTTTTTCTTTAGTTTCTTAGCCACAAAATCATGGCCCACACATCAGGAAAGCCCTCCTTGCCGCTGAAGGTAGCTTATTCCAAACGATCACCAGATTCCCAAGTCTGGGAGATTCCGAAATCACTTCCACTCTCCTTCTCCCATGTCCTCCTCTCCCTATAAGCCGAAGCTCTGTCTACAAACTCAATTCCACTTCAAACACATCTAGATGCCAGGTCGCTATTTTGCATGAGGTCCTGGCTTACATGTTGTGGGGGAGCAGAGATGAGAAAGATACCGTTTCTACCTCAAAGACTTTACAATCTAGCATAAAGGGCAAAATACGCAAATAGCTACGGAAGGAGAAAAGTCATTCAGTAAAATTGCAGAGCACCTGGGCTAGATGTGAAGGCTGCAGAGAGGAAGAACACACCAAGCTAGTCCCCTGCAAAGAGAACACAGAGTCAGTGAGAAGGGCCCTCAGAGGAAAGGCGACAATCAGCTGAGAGGGAAAGATACTTGCAGTGGAGGATGTTTCTCCTCATCAATAAAGCAGCTATGGTCTTTTTCAGGTGGTATTAGGATCGAAATCTCACCATCTTTTCCCCTTTTTTTCTTCCTACCTTTCTATTTCTCCTTCTCTTTTTTTTTTTTAGGCTTAACCTGTTCTTTTTTTAACTTCTTTTGTTGAACACTTAAATCTTCAATCTTTAGTCTTTCTTCTTTACTAATATAAGTATTTTAAGACTGTCAGTTCTCCTCTGAGTGTTACTATAACTCCATGACACAAAGTTTTAAAATGTAGTCATTAAATTAATTAATCAAGAATTTACAATATAATTTCTTTTTGGAATTATGAGTTATTTAGAAATGTCTTTCCCTCCACCCCCAGATTTATGGGGAGAAGTATGTGATTTGGGGGGAGGGTTAATTATTTCTAACAAAATTATATTGTAGTCAAATGACACGGTTTGTATGATGTGACATCACAGATTTGTTGAGACTACTTTAGTGGGCTAGAACACAATCAAGTTTTATAAATGTCCCACATATGCTCAAAAAAATGTGATTGTTTTAATTATTGAGAAGAAAAATTCCAAATGTGTCTGTTAGAGTACGTTTGATAGTTGTGTTGTTCCAATCTTTTATATCTTTTCCAATTTGTCATTTTCTCTCCAATGTTGCTTCTATTTTTTGCTTTTCTATTTTGAAGCTATGTTTCTAGGGGCATACAAGTTTAGAGTTGTTCTCCTAAGTAGTTTTTCTTTTTCATTGTTTATTATATACAGCCCATCTTTGTCACCAATAATGTTTATTGTCTTCCAGTCTATTTTATCTAACATTAGCAAACTGTATCAGCTTTCTTTTGATTAGTGTTTACTTATCATTACTTTTCCATCATTTTTGTTTCATGTTTTTGATGAATCTCTTGTAAACAGCATATAGCTAGATTTTCTTTCTGACCTAGCTATATTTATTTCCTTTAAGCTCTATGAGGCAATTAAAATGATACTCTAATATCTTGTCTAAAATTTTTAGCTACTAATTTCCAGGAGGTTGTCAGGCTTCTTATTGCCAGAAATGAAGGGTTTTGGACCCTATTTTTCAGAAGCTTCATAAGTATTTTTTTGACATTCTGTCCCTTAGGATGTTAAAAACTGGAACTTTCCCTCATTCAGCCTGTGTTGTTCCATCACATCAAAAAAGCTCTTAATTTCATCTTGTCTCTCCCAGACATCTCCAAAGAATTCACATTTATATCTAAATTCTTCTCTTTTTCTTCTTGTAATGGTTCATGCTAATACATTGTACCAGCAATGGAATGATGATAAAGTGGCTACTGTGGGGTGTACTTCCTTGAAAACAGACATTAACTTTAAGGATCAGGTCCCCCAAAGGAAAGAGAGTTTCTTAGACCTTTGGAAAACATGATGACAATCAGCCTCTTCTGCTAAACTATCACCCACAAAACATCAGGGAACTTCTCTGGCTTTTATCAAGAATAAAGCCAATGATACTAACAGCCTTTATTTGCCAATGGCTGCCTTTTTCTTTTCTTTCTTTCTTTCTTTTTTTTTTTTTAAGGTAAAAAATATCTTCAGCTAATATTTGTTGAGCACGTCCCAGGACATGGCACTGTGTTAAGTATTTCTTTATGCACTGTGTCATTGTATTCTGACAATGACTCTAACATAGGTGTAACTATTACCTCTCTTCAAGGGAAGCTCTAAACGTTTGGGGTTCTAGCAGGGCCGGGCTAAGGCTGGGTGAAAAAGAAAGGCAACAGACTCTCCAAGTTACCTCAGCATAAAACTCTACCTCTTCTCACCGGTCCCTTCCTCTGGCTTCCTGCGAGGTCGTGCAGTGCTTTTGTTTTTGATTTCTAGCTACCTAATCAATAACTCTGCGGCCTTGGGCTAGGAAGATACTTCACTTCTCTGGACCTCAATTTCCTCACCTGCCAGCTCTAAGATTCTCTCTGGTCTCCCACCACCCCACACACAGTGGGGTCAAGACCGCCAATCAGCTGAGAAAGTCAATGTCCCCCGCTCCTGTTCAAGCTCCATTTCTGTAGGAGTTTCTAAAACCCTGCCTCAGGATTTTAAAAGCTCCTCCTGGAATTCTGAAAGGAGCGGTAGCAGTGCCTCCCCATTTCCTTATGTGCTGTTCTGACAGTGCTTGTCCAGTCATATGGTGGGTCAAAGATGGGATCGATATGAAATAATCTTTCCCCGGGCTTCCGTCTGGCTCAGGCTGGGGCCAGCCATGGACCACACAGGCTGGAGAACGGCATGGAGCATGGCAGTTCACTGCTGGCCCCTGCCGGCTCTTCTTCTGGGGCTGGGAACCACTGACAGGAGCTGCAGTCCTCAGGCTCACCTTGGTCCACCAATTTTTTTTTTCTTTTTTTTTTTTTGTTTGAGATGGAGTCTTGCTCTGTCGCCCAGGCTGGAGTGCAGTGGCGTGATTTCACCTCATTGCAACCTCCGCCTCCCGGATTCAAGCAATTCTCCCTGCCTCAGCCTCTCGAGTAGCTCACTTTGGTCCATCCTTTAGAGAAGAGGCAGAAAGATGGAGAAACACAAAATTGGGATTCACTGGGTGTTCTCTCAGTAAACGACAGCCCTATGGTGTCGAGACTATCATTGTCCCCATACTGCACATGGAAAACTGGCCCAAATCACCGAGGAGGTAGGGCCTGGAGCTGGGATGTGGATTCTCATCTGTCTCGGCTCTGAGACCCATGCTTGTTCTCTCACAGGGTGTCGCGTCTACAGCAGAAGGGGCCAAGGAGCCACACAAAACCAGCACCGTTTCAGCATTGCCCAGAAGGCATCCGCTGTCTCCCCCAAACATCCATGGCTCATCTGCTTAGGGGTTCTCAAAATGTTAACTGATGGTCCGGCCTTTTAAAAATTCCCTTAAGAGAGTAAACATAGTCAGGTGCCAGTTGCTGAGTCGAGATCTTGCCCTACAAGCAGATTGGCTGAGGAGTCCGGAGGGATCCTCATGAAGGGGGAGCAGGAAACAGAACAAAGAGGAAGGTGGAGCAACAGGGTAGGCAGAAAGAGCCCCTCCACTCTTCATTTACCTGGGAGGGAATAATTTAGCCCAAAGTTTCTGTCTGTGGCAAACCTAGAACTAGAATCCAGGTCTCCTGCCTCCCAGGCCAGCAGTCCCACACCACATAGCGTTTTGCCAGCGTGCTGGCTCCTTTATTGGACAGGGAACTCTCTTGCTAATCTTCTAGTTGTAGACAAATGACTAGTAAGGAATTTGTAATGAACGCCATCTTTTCCTGTCCCCCGGCAGCTCCATCATTTCGAAGAAAAAATATATATATTAAACAGAGAAGCAAATCCCACAAAAATGAAGTTCCCATCATTTAGAAAAAAATTTCTTCCTGCTTTTTCTATCCCTTGTGTTCTGTTGTTTACTATCAACTCAGGGTATCTGCCCAGGCACCAAAAACCAGGGAACATCTTTGCCAAGCAGGGCGTCTTGCCTTACCAGCCCGGCTTTAGGGGAGACTGGAAACAGGATTATCATCCAGAAATACATTCATCCTGATTTACAGCCTGCCACCCCAAGAATTTCTCCGGGCAATGTGCCCCCAAACGGGCTGCTAAGTCCTCAATTTCCCAACCTCCCTTTTCCGCCCCAACCCAGGTGGCCAAACGCTGTGACTGTTAGGATGCTGTTTAAATGCAGAATGCTATTATCACTATATATCATTCCGATCGGCTTTCTAGGTCGTACTGAGGATATCAGAATGATGCAAGGCAACATTTTTATTATTTAGGATACAGTATACTAAGTTTATGTTGATTACTCTGAGTATCATCTTTGAAAGATAACTAGCATTAAAGTGTTGATAATGTTCCACTTTTGCAATCATATTTGCATAGTGTACAACAGAGTTTAGCAGGAAAAAAACGATCTTAAGTGATGTTTTTCATCTGCTCTGTCAGCCTCACCCTGCTTATTTCAACTTGGTACATGAGGCAGGACAAATACTTAGCATCCTTTATATCAGCTTTACATTATATAATGTTATTCTTGTTCCTTCTGGGAAGACTTCAGCATGCAGTTGTAATGGAAAAAGGAGAGTCTTTGGGGCCAGTTATATCTGGATCCCAATGCCAGCTTCTGCACTTGAGAAAGTCACCTCTTTGTAACATGGGGTTAGTGTGGATCTGAGATTGTAGATAATATAAGAAAAACATCTAACTAGCCCTGTGGCTGGCATGGAGCTGCCATACAGTGGCCCTTTGTCTTACGTACAATGTTTTTAAATGCCTAGTTACCGCACTTTGAAATTAAAGATTGAAAGTAAGCCAATGTTCCCCACACTGTACTTCCAGCTGACGACACTCTCGCCTCCCAGCAGAGTTATATATGCAGATAATCTGTTTGATGCTGCTGAACACAGAAGGGACACTGATTTTATTTTATGAACAATAGTTAAATGTCTCCTGAGTGTCGGCTACTGGGAAATAAATATTCTAGATTTCATCTCTTCATTCATTCATTACAAACAAGCTATCCTGCAAACGACCCCCTCATTCTTCCTTTTTCCTTTTTCCATCTCCTTTTTTTTTTCTGTTACAATCCCCCAGGCCTACCACAGTCTTTTTGCCCAATTAGATGCTATTTTTCTTTTTTGTCTTGTCACCACCTAATGTCCAAATTTATTTAAATCATCCTCAGACACAAACCTACAAGATCTGAGTCACATTTGAGGGGTTTTTTCCCCCTTCTAACTTGTCAGCTGCCTCATTTATGATTGACAAGATTTCCATTTCAGTCATCGCTACTAATTCTGCTTCAAATCTGTATATTTAATGAACACACCAATCGGCACTTCATTATTAGTCAAGGCCATTTTGTCAAGTGTAATCCTCTGATTTTATAATGTATAGTACATGGTAGCTGCTTCTAAATGAAATTCAAAGAAAGCCTTGTCCAGTTTGCATTATAACAATATCTGGCATCTGAATACGAGCACTCCATCCTCTGCATGGTCTCATGCTTTATGCATATAGAACATCGTTTTCATGCTCCCATCAGACTCAAACACAAGCAAGTCTTTTCTCCTTGTAAAGGTATGTTGAATTGTATATCTCTGCACAAAGAGGAAAAGAAAAGCAGTTTGCCTGCACCAAAACACAGTCCAAGTTCTCTAAGGCAAACACAATCTGACACATGCTAAAAATTGCCTGAAGCACTGGTGAGTTATAGTTCGCCTCCCTGGGGCAGATAATTCATTAAGAAATAGCCTCATGCCCTATGTAGCAACTGAACAAAAATATTTACTTGTGGTAATATCAGATGATAAGGGTAACAGGGTTCCTTTCGGAACAAGGAGGGGAGAGGGAACCCCTGCAGTAGATGCCCATCATGAGCATTGCAAATGAATCATTAGCCTTCATCCTGCAATCTAGGTCAGGATGGGCGCTAAAGAGGAGGGCTTTTAAATCTGCTGCAGGACTCAGGTTGAATCTGCTTAGGTGAAAACACAGAAAGCATTCAGTTATGCTGTGCCGGGCGCACTGAGGGGAATAGAAAAATGCTTTCACCTGATAGAAAGACCTTTTCCTGACCCAGAGGGTAATCAGAAATAAAGATGGCGATACTTTCAGATGAATGCCACTTAAATGCATGCGCCCACACACACACACTCTCTCTCTCTCTCTCTCTTTCTCTCTGTCTCTACTTTTCTCAAAGCTTTCCATGTTCAACTTTTCAGACCCTGAACACAATGTCTGCCAGATAGATTTTAAAAGGGAGGCAATATCTTCCAGACTCAGAAACGTGGATTCTGTTGAAAAACAATAGAATCACACACTGTTCGTGTTGAAAGGGACTTTAGAAATCATTTACTCATGTTGAGGAAGAGGATAGAAAACAAGGAAAGTGACTTACTTGCACAAGATCACACACGTGTCCGAGACCACAGCTTATTTTTCTTTTGGGTCTTTTAAAAAATATATTCCTTTTTTGTGCAATATGAATAATTTATTAAGTAATCCAGAAACAAAACAAATTGACGTGGTGACTGTCACCTGATAGACTGAATTTGTGTCGCAGACTCTTGCCCCCAAAATGACTGTGAAAGAACACTATGTTTTCCATAGCTGTGTCTTGGGCTGGGGGAGTCCTTCCTCAGAACCCCAGTCCTAGCTTTAACGTGATTATTTTCTAGACACGTTGTGGCTCTTAAGTCACTGGGTCAAAGGCTCTGACACTTCTGTGTGGCTCTTGCCCTATCCATCCAGGGTCACAAGAGGTTGGCTGGGTGTGTTTTCCTAAATACCTCCTGAAATATTGCTAAAACTAGAGACATTTAAATAGAAAAAAACTCAAATTTCAAAATTCAACCCAAGCTAAACACTACATGAACACACTAGGGTCCACTATTTGTTTTATTTGCCAAAATCTTTAGGAAGCTTTTCATGTTCAAATACATGAGGAAAAAATACATACTGGCAAGAAATGAAGAGACTCAGGTTTTGCTCTTAACTTCACCACTGAAATTGCTACAAACCACCCACATGATCTCTAGAAGCTCTTTTTCCGTCTCTCTGGGCCCTGCTCTACTCTTTTATAGTAGTAAGGGGGGCACCAAATGATCTCCAGGGTTCCATCATTAGTTATGCTATGCAAATAATACCTCCAAAATTGTTTTTTTAAAGACACAGTAACTGCAGAACTCTCTGTAGCTATTTCCAAAAACGTGAACTGACATTCAAGGAACACAAAAACACTTCAGTACCTGCTACTGTACATAAAGGTTTCAAATGAGGGAGTTTCAATATTGAAAGAATTTTCCAAAACAATGTTGACTGACTTGGACTAAAAGCTTATGTATCTAACCATCTAACCACTATTTTCCCCTCATTTCACTTTCCAGATTGATTTGTGAGAGTTTTTTTCTCTCTCTTTTTCTCTGTCTCCCTTATTTTTAAAACATTTGTTAAGGCCTGGAGAGACTGCAAGGGGTTATGCACAAACAGATAAGTAAGAACAAGCCCGGTCTTATCTAGACTGAGCATTGCACTAGGAACAGAGTTTTGTATCCCGCTTCTCCAGCCACCACCACTGAAAGGTTATAGAATATTCTATTTCAGGACACCTTTAAAAACGAGAAGCGCATTTAAAAGTACTGCAGAATGTTATTTTGATTTCTGCCACAGAATGAATCACTCCTCCTGAATGCAAACACCAGCAAAGAATGCGTTAGAGGATCCGCCATCATATTAAAAATTAAATCCGGCCGCATTTCATAATGGGCTTTCCTTTTTAAAGCACGGTTTCATCTTCTCACCATGGAAATTACACTCTGATGGCTGTTCTTTATGGTTAACACAGGCATCGGCTGAGGTCAGAACCCTGCTTCTCTGAACAGGGAACCACAAATGTCACTGACACATGGTACGCTTGGCAAATAATATATTTCTTTCCTGTGTCTTCAGTTTGTCTAACGTCATGCTTGTGGTAAGCTAAAGAGAGTTTATTTCTCGGGTTGTCCTTCCTTCCTTTGGTGGGACCAGCGGGAGGCACGCAATATACAATGAATTCAAAAGTGCATCTCTTTTGATTTTTGTTGTTGTCTTTATTTTAACCTCCAAGAAGTGAGAGATTTAACTCAGTCTTCACCCCAGGCTAAGCTAATACTTAGGTCATGTCTGAGCTCTCTGGGGAACCCTCGCTTTATACCATCGGAAGGGCAATGATGTCTTTTCACGTGGAGCAGCACAGCTGTCCGGCCATATGGGCCCCAAACAGCCCAGTCAATCGGATTTGGGGAGGTTTTACAATATAATTTCTTAACATGTTAGTATTTGGGGTGAGTTTGATCAGGAGCATAGACTACTCTTAAGCCCAAAGGTTTAGGTTTTAAGAAGCCATCACAAATGTCCCAGCATCCGATCAGGCTGGTTAAAAAGAGATATGAAATCCGTGACTGGGGGAGGGGAAAGGACTTCTGACCCCCTGGTTGGAGCAAGCCCCAGGGGTATGCTCTAACTATTAATTCAGCATCAGCTGCTTTTTTTTTTTTTTTTTTTTTTTTTGTCTTTTTCTTTTCTTTTTTAACCCGGGGCTCATCATTTAAGGCGTTCCCACTCAGGCCTGCAGAGCCTGTTACAAAACCATTCTCTCCTCCCCTCCCCCCATGCCGCAAGATGAGCGGCAAATACCCTGCATTGCAGCAACGGCGAGGAGGGACTGCCAGAAACCGTCCTCAATCTAAACAAAACCAGGCCTTTAAGAAACACTACGGAAAAGGGAGCAGCAGCGTGTCCTACTGTCCTTCAGTCCAGGCCAACTCGGGTCACGGCCCCATCCCTCCATATACAAGGAGTTCCGAAACTATCTGCGAAAGGAATTCTTAGTGAATAGGAAACAAATTGTCCTGAAGCTAAAAACCCTTATCAAAATGGTGGGAGTCTTGAACCAAGCCACTGCCAGTGTAGTTTTTCCACCACAAAAGTATTTTAGTTTGAGGGAAACGTTATCAGAATGGTAAGTTTTTCCCTGAAAGACAGCCCAAATGATGGCTTTTTCCAATCAGGCATGGTCTTCAGAAATTAAACATCAGTTGCAGGCAATGGTTTATTTCTTATTTTTCTTCTTCTTTTTTCTTCTTCTCCTCCTCTTCCCCCTCCTCCTCCTCTTCCTCTTTTTTCCTTCTCTCTCTGATTAAACCAAAGCTTTCTGCTTCTTGAAATTCACAAAAACTGCTTCTTTTCTAAGCTTCTAGTGGTGCATTGTTGGAAGCAAAGGCTAGTGCTGAAAGGGTTTGAGATCGCCATTCTACTTATATTGGGACAAACACCCAATAATTGACAAGAGCCGAAATGGCCTCGAAGCGAGAAGGGCCTCGCCCGGGTCACCCTTCGTGCAGCCACTCCTGCTGGGTGGGCGCCTCTGCTGCGACCCTCGCGGGCTGTGTGGTTTCAGCAGGGCTGCTTTTAGCTGGCGGGGCTTGTTCTCCCCATCTCTAGTTGCCCTGAATCCAGCAGTGCCCAAGAAACACTTAGACCTCTCTCTCTCTCTCCCTCTCTCCCTCACTCACTCTCTTTTAAGTCATCAGAGAAGAAAAGCCGGAGTAGGGGAAGCAGATGGGCCCTGCGTGTGCGTGAACCGCGCGGGTCAGGGCTGCCCCTCGTGGCTGAGGCACTGACCCCTTGGAAAGTCCGAAGGTTTCTCATGGCAGGCGTTGGGTTATGGTTGGGGGGCTGGGGCGGGGGGTCGTCTTTAGTTTGGCTCTTATAGGCGGATTCATTCTGAGTCATTCCTGAAGGCCAAGCTCACCCTGTGCTCCCGGAAAGACACAAACACCGCCACGGCCACCACAACAAAAGGCGCCTCCCCGAAGTAGGTCTGATGTCCGCGGGACGGGTGGGCCCGTCGTGGAGCGCACTTCTGCGCCTCTAATCTCGGGCGTCCATCTGGCCCGGGCGCGCTGGAGGGCTCCGGGAGGGGCGGGGCCGCGCGCCTCCCAGACGCGGGCACGCGCGCCGGCTCTCCTTCATGTTCACCTTGACTGCGGGGGGGCGGGGGATGGGGCGATCGTCCCCCTCTCCCCGACTCCTCTCCCAACCCCCCGCAGCTGTCCTGCCCAGACGCCCGCCCAGGCGGGGTGGGGGAGGCTGCACCGGCGCTCAGGTCGCCGCAGCGGCCCGGCAGCCGCCGCAGTGATGTCAACCGCATCCGCCGCAGTCCCCGGCAGCCCTAAAACGCGCCGCGGCCCGCGGAAACCCCAGCCCGGCTCCTCCCGCCAGGGCCGAGGAGGAGAGGACGCGCGGGTCCCCGGAGTCCCCCACTCCGTCTGCCTAAGCCGTGGAGACCGGGAGTGGACGCACGGCGGTGCCTGGACCCCCGGGGAGGAGGAAGAAGAGGAGAGGGAAGGGAGCTGTGGAGTCAGGTGTCGATTTGACGCCCGCGGCCGCCGAGGGGACTCTGCCCGGCACTGGTGCCGCCTGGGGGGCGTTCAGGGAGCGTGGGGCGCCGACCGCTGCAGATGCGGCGGCGCGCGTGGGCTCGGGCAGGCGCCCCCTTTTCCCGGGATAGAAACGGATAAACGGAAGCGCGTGTGAGTGTGGGGGTGCGAATCGCCACCTCCGGCCTTGGCTTTCCCGCTCTTCCGAGCTCTCCCACTTCTCACTTTCCCCAAATCCGCATTTTCCTTGGCACAGCTCTCCCCGAGCACGAAGGAGAGGGAGGTACCCGGGGGCAGTGAGAATGACGTGTGCTGGTGCAGAGGGGGTGGGGGTCTGCGGGCCTGGATCTGTGGACGGGCTCCTAATCCTCTTGTTTTCGGAACCGTCAGCAGATGCGGCTTCCTTTACCTGAATAATCCTTTAAAGGAGTAATAATTTTTAAAAAGGAGCTCGACCTCAGCCAAAGAGGACGGCGCACGAGATTAGGGCTTGGTAAGGAAAAATTAAAAGGCTCCCAATTCTCTCTGTCCCTCTCTGCCTTCCCCTCTACCCCTCCCCCTCCCTCCTCCACCCTCCCCTCCCCTCCCCCTTCTTCCTCATCCCCTGCAATCCGCGCTCGACGCGAGTTCACGCGAAGGGCTGGATTTCCAGGCGGCTCCGCAACTTGCGCGGCGCGGTGTTATTATTCATCCGAGGGTGCTGCCTCCTCAACCTTTGCCTCCTGCGCCGCTCTCCTTCCCCCGGCCGCCGCCGCCAGCAGTGCAGTCCCTCCGGCACGCATGCTCTGGTTCACCAAGAGGGAGACTGATTTTTTTTAAATCATGCTCATCATCATCATCATCATCATCATCATCATCACGTTCCTTATCATGGTTATCATTTCCTCCTGCCAGGTGGAGCGACCACCAGCGCCGGCTCGCCTCCTGCGCCTTCCCCAGCGAAGGCAGCAAGCAGTTCGGGCTTGGCCGTGGCGGCCGCTCCCAGGATGCTTCCTGCACCTCCAGCATCCCCCCCCTTATTCATCTGCCTGTGTATTATCTCGATCCTTTTCATTTCAGTAGATCCACTGCCTTTGGTTGGGCCGGCTGAATCGCTGGGGACTGCGGCCAGTCTCTTAAAAAAGGAGAACAAAAAGCCGAAGACCTTGTGTGGCCGCCGGGACAAAGCACCTTGGGTTCGGCGAGAAGGGACGCGCAGGAGCGCTGAACCCAGAACACGCGTGGCCGCTGCGGAAGGGCGTCCGCCCGGCGTGCGGAACGCTGAGGGTATTCGGATTGTCTTTTATTTGTCCCTGTGGCTTGCTTTCACAGTGTCTACGTAGGAGAGGGGTCGGGGTTGTTGGGGTCTCTTTTTTTTTCTGGGAGGGGTAGCTGAATTGTGGGAGACCTAGGTGGACTTGACTTGGCTTTCCTGCTACTCTGCGTCTCCTTCTCAAGATGCGGGGGTTGGAAAGGGGACAGGGGACTCAAGGCTTAGAAAAGAGAAGGAGCCCTCTGCTGCCTGGAGGGCTAAGGGAGTAGAGAGTGGAGATGGAGGTGAGTAGGGATGGGCCAGCCCGAAGAGCACTGAGGAGGAGAAGGGGTCTTCTCCTCCCTCGGGTCCAGTGGATGAGTTTTGCTGGGAATGAGAATTCGGGTGTCTGTCGATAGGAGCGCTGAGAAATTGATGAGAAATTGACATGTCCGTGCACATGCATGAGGCGGCGACAGGATTTGTGTGTAAACAGTGTGGAGAGGTGGAGGAGGGCATGGGGGTGGGGGCTTAAAATGATGTCTTATTGTCCTTTTGGCTTTAGGGACTCTCATCCTCTGTCTCGCCCCCTTTTTTTGACCCGGGGATCCAGCCGCATTATACACGAGTGACCTTTTAAATCTACGTCCACCCTTTACCTGGTAAAGCCCGCTGACAGTTGGGGGTGGGGTGGGGAGAGTGTAGGGGTGCTCTCTCCCTCTCTCCCTCCCTCCGCCTCTCCTCCCTCCCTCCCCCCTGCACTCCTCTCTCTTCCTCCCTCCCACCTCCCTCGCTCCCGCCCTCCCTGCTGCATTTTGCATGAGCTATCTAGGTCATTAGCATTTTAGCGTATGCAAGACTTGACAAAGCTGATGAGGGGCCAGATGGGCCTCGCTCTTATGGTTTTTTTTTCTTCTTCTTCTTCTTCTTCCTCTCTCTCTCTCTCTCTCTCTCTGTCTCTCTCTCTCTCGTCTCTCTTCCTTTCCCCCCTCCACCACTTGGGACCTGAGCGAGAGGACTGCAGCAGGCGAGTTCCGGAAGGCTGAATCCCCAGGTCCCAGCCCCGGACCGCGGCAACTCGCCCCTGCGGCACGCCCGGCCCGGCTGCGCCCCCACTCAGCGATGGAGGTAAAGAGGCGGCGGCCGCGCGCCCTGCCCCGGCTGCCGCTGCCGAGTCCCCGCTGCTCTCCTTGTCCTTCGCTCTCTTCTTCCTCCTCCTAGTCCCCTTCAGTTTCCTGGGCGAAGCAGAGGGCGACATGGGTGGGTGGGTTGCTGCGCTGGGGCGAGGTGGGGTCGATGTTGTTTTTTCATTGTCTGGAGCTGCAGGGGAGGCGAGGCGCGGGGAAAGGGGCGAGGGGAGCCGGGGTAATTAACACGGGGGAGGCACCCCTCCGTCTCCCACTTCCACCCACACCCCCATCCCTCCACCCCCTCCGCTTTGCAGGAAAAAGCCTGGATGCGAAAGGATGGGGGAGAACAAAGAGCCTTTGGAAGACGTCGCTGTTATCTCATTGTCTGTGTGATTGGGGGAGCTGCGGCGGGGAGGATGCTGTGGTCCCTTCCTCCGGCGTTCCCCACCCCCATCCCTCTCCCCGCTGTCAGTGCGCACGCACACGCGCCGCTTTTTATTTCTTTTTCCTGGTTTTCTTATTCCATCTTCTACCCACCCCTCTTCCTTTCTTTCACCTTTCCTTCCTTCCTTCCTCCTTTCCTTCCTCAGGAGAAAGGCCTCTCTCTCCGTGTTCACAGCGGACCTTGATTTAAATGTCCATACAATTAAGGCACGCGGTGAATGCCAAGAATGGGGCTGGCTGAGCACCGTGGGTCGGCGAGGGCCCGCCAAGGAAGGAGCGACCGACCGAGCCAGGCGCCCTCCGCAGACCTCCGCGCAGCGGCCGCGGGCGCGAGGGGAGGGGTCTGGAGCTCCCTCCGGCTGCCTGTCCCGCACCGGAGCCCGTGGGGTGGGGAGGTGTGCAGCCTGTGACAGACAGGGGCTTAGAGATGCAAACAGACTCAGGGAGAGAAACAGAAGCTGATTCTGTGACAGAAGCAGATCTGTGCAGCACAGATGCGGTGTGCGTGGGGAGGGGGTCGCCTGGGAGCGCATTGCGGAGTGCTTGTGTGTGCAGATTTTTCTCTGGGCTCAGGACTCATTGTATGTGGGTCAACACCTTCCTCCGTGACTGTGTTTTTGTTCTGAGCTGAGTTTTTTGGTTTGCCCTTAAAAAAATAATAATTTGGCATCCAGAGACTGGCAGACTGCCTCAGGGCCTGGACTGCGGATATATTGTGTTCTGCTTGAGGTTTGGGGAGGAGGGCAGGCGGTAGGAAGGGAGAGGGGGAGCTGTTTGTCACACTTTGCTGTAGAGCTGAGAGCACCTGACAAGCTTAAGGAAGTCGTTGGGCTATGTGGACAAGAAGGAGCCAGCTCCCAGCGGGTTCACAAGCTCTATCGGAGTTGAAAGCGTGGTCATGGCTCTAAGGAGCACCTCACGCCCTCCCTGTAGCTGTTATTGCAGTTTCAGGCAGAGATCCAGGAGCTGCAGAGGAAGGGAGAGGCACAATAACCTACATGGACCCAAGGGAGACATGTGTTCCTTTAAAAATGTGAACAGAAGGAAAAACAGAATGTGTGCAACTGGGGGTCTGAGGAAAGACTGTTTTGAAAGAGGCTGTCAGGGAATGGAAAGGGTTAAGCTTTTCATCCTGAAGAACCTGCTTCCCAAATCAGGCCTTCCTCCCATCACTAGACCCTGAGCAGCAGCTGGTCCTAGAGACCCCCCTCGTACTGCGCTGCCACAGTCTCATCCCATTTCCAGCTCTGTATTAACCACCAAGCTGCAGCGGATGGGGCAAGACCTAAGCTCATTAATTTCCAGGTGGAGGAAATGGAGGAGGGGCAGGTCCCTGCAGTAGAGGGAGGAGCAGAGAAAGGAGGCCAAGAGCTGGATCCTTCTGCCCAGGAAGCCTGCTGCATCCCTTCCCCCGAGCATGGCAGAGGCCTGGCTTTGCAAGGCCAAGGCCATAAGGGATGCTTAGGAGATTAATTTGATTCCTGACACAATAATCAAGCCCTAAGAGTCTCCACTGAAGCTTACTGAGGACTTCTTTCCTCTCCAAAGCCTCAGTCTAGCCTGCTAAATAAATTAGTATTCAGTGATGCCTTGGATCAGGGCCCCTCCCCGGCCTCAGTTTCCCCAAATATTTATTAAGTACCTACTGTGTGCAATCCTTGTGTAATTATTACCTCTTAGGCTCTTCATTTGCCCTCCTAAAGCAGTGTTTAGAGTCAGGCAGAGGTTAAGTGTGTTGCACCTCACCTAGATACTTCCAGAACCTTCTCTGGGTCTGCAGAATGTGGCACAACCTGCTTGCCCCCGCAGAGAGAAAGCTGCAGTGCACATCCTGCAGACTGCAGGTGCTGGGCTGCCTCTGGAGTCCCAGAAGGCAAGCTTGGCTGCAGGACAGAAAGGGAGAACAGCTTCTCTCACCCCTGAGCCTTCACAAGCCCTTGTCTATTTGCCGTTGCCTTCAAAATATACCTCCCCCGAAACCAGTAGCTTTCTGAGTCCTGGTGTCCCCTCCGCCCTTTCTGGACAGGTTTGGGAAGAAGAAAGCAGTCAGTGCTGGGCCTTATTGGGGTGTGAAGCGCCTTGCTCTGCCCCTTCTGCTCACTGTGAAGGCCGCTGGATGCTTCTCTTAGGCATGGTTTAAGCCTCCGATTACTAAACCCCTTGCCCCACAAACGTCCACATTGACGAGCCTCTTTTTAGTAACTGCTTCCCCGTAATTCCTTCAGAGGTTGCTGTACCCTTCGCTGATGTGCTGCCCTCCTGTAAAACCTCCAGATGCCTTCCCACGTAATGCCCCTTTCAGATGCTTTAAGCTGAGAGCTTAAACCACAGGTACCATGGCTGACGCCTGCCAGGTTTCTGCTGCAGATAATCTATGATGGGAGGGGCATATTTTTTACTTCATTACTTATGTAAACTCTTGTTCCAGAAAGCTTTAATGTGTGTGGGAGTGTTCTGGGTCTATTAGGTCTGTGCGCATGGGTGTGGGCATTTGCCTGTGTCCACCGGGTGGGTCTCATTATGAAATGTATGTTTATGTAGGGCTTTAATGGCTGAAAATGGCAAAGAGATGAATAGACCACTTGGCCCCATGTGTAATTGCCAGGCCCCTTCTGTGCTCAAATGAGGTGTCCGAGTGAAGGTCAGCCCTTCCCTTCTGTATTTGGGGCCTATTTATGCCACCAGTAATTTTATAAGAAATCTGAATAGTTCTCCCCTTTGAGTGCATTTAACTCTTTAGTATCTTCTCTCTTACCTATTTGAGCCCCTCTAGCTACAGTCTGGCTTAAATGAAAGGGGAATTATATGCTTAAGAAAAAGTAGGACACGGTTGAGGCAGTTTGCTGACTGAATACGCGAAGAAGGACCTGATGGGCTCATATGCACCACTGCCATCACAGTCCCCATCGTGATGCAAGCTTATATGATTCTTGAGGTAACTCTACCAGATACTTCCAGATTTAGAAATGTGTCAAAGGAAAAATTGGTGATACTCTTCTTTCCCCTGCCAGAAACAGCCCAGATCTCCTCTTAAGCGGAAAAGAGATTGACCTTCTAGCAGAGGCAAAGGTAAACTCCTGTAAGTTACTTCTGTTACCAAAGGGAGGGGGGCGGCTTTTGTGAATGTATGAGGAGCTTTTGCCAGAGAGATATTCGGAGGAGGGGTGTGCCCATATGCACACATATATTTTCCCGCATAACCGTATCCAATGCTAGCATTTAGAGGAAGGCATTTAGCCACCAAAAGTCCATCCATCTATGCTGCTTCCACAGAGAAAACATTTTCTCTTTCCTCCTCTTGAACTTACATAATATCCTCCTCCCATTCCAACCTTAGAATGGAGTCTTCTGGGGGCAGCTGCAAAGCGTTCTCCCTAGGACAGATGGAGCCTCCCTTTCCTCATCTACTCTGTGGGTGGTTTCAGGGCCCACGAGTCAACATGAGGAGTTGTGCTGGTGGTATGTGTGTTGGAGGCTGGGCTGGCTGATTCACAGTGACGAGGATGTCAATAATAACAAGAATGAGAATGATGATACCTAATAAAGACTTTTTTTCCCAAGTCCCATCTACAATTCTTTCATTGGGTGTTTTGCCAAGTCTTTCTCAATCTCATCTCAGCTTTTTTTTTTTTTTAAAAGAAAATGTATTCAATACTTAATTGCATCACAAATGTAGACATAGAAGAAAGGACTTCAAACGGAATTTATGGGAGGCAATGTGTGCGGCTTTTTGCCTTATAGAGCTGTGTAGAAGGTCTGGAATGATCTTCCAGCACCAAATTTAGATGGCCTCAAAAAAAAAAAAAAAAAAAAAAAAAAATCAGGCCTTATTGAGGGCAAGGAATGTTCCAGGTCAGAAATAAAAGTGTCAGCAACTCTCAATAGGTTCATCTTTTTATTTCCTGTCCTTCTCCCTTTTGTCTTAAAATAGAAACGCTACCAAGACCTGAGGGCCTGGGTCAGGGGCCGGGAAGCCCAGAAAACAAACTTCCAGAATCACTAAGGGCTTTCTCTCTCAAAATTACAGTGGGAGGGTTCTTTTGAAATTCAAATCCAACCTATTTGTTGCTTAAGCACACACAAAATACTGAGACCTGGGGTCCAAGAGGCAATACTTCCGCTGCAAGTGCATGTTGCAACTTCGCGTGATGTTCCCAGGGCGGTTCTGCGGCAACTTGCGGCTCCGCGACTGTGGGCGCGGGCCCCATTTCGGGCCCCGTCGGCCGGGACCGCGCCCAGGGCTTCTCAAGTGACTCGCTTCCCAGCACGCAAGAGGCATTCTCGTCTCTTTCTCTTCGAATGCACCCGAGACTTCTCCATGAAGCAAGGAGAAGATGAGCAGGCGCTGGTTTCCCTTTTCTTTTTTGCTCCCATTTCCCAGTCTTGATTTTTTTTTTCCCTTTCTCTCTCTCTCCCGAATCATGCAGACCTGGAACTCCTAAGATTCGGGTCCTCCTGCAGTTCCCAAAGCTTTGGATCCATCCGAGGTGTGGGTAGATGCGGGTTAGTCTCAGGGTCTTTCTAGGATGAGCCCCAAGCCCAAGTTCTAAGGCGAGGGGGAGGCGAAGAGGTCAGGGCTACAAACGCCAGGGACTGTCCCCGGAGAGGTCATTTTTCCATTTTCCATGCACATCGATTTCACTCTAGCGCCAGATGGACACTCGACGGTCAACGTTAGAGATTTTTACGGAGTCGGGGGCAGGAAGCGGGACGAATTGAGACGAGGGTACATCCTTTGCTTCCAAGGGTGGCCGAGCCAGACCGAAGGCCTGGGCGGGAGGTCACGTCCTCCCCTGGCCACCCACAGCGCTCCCCAGCCGCAGGCCTGGGCCTAGAAGCCGCGCCCTCCCGGCCGTGCAGCCGGTCAGCCTGTGCGCCCGGCGCCCGCAGTGCGGCTCCGGGCCTCTCTCTGATCCACTTCAGTACCTGCGGCCTCGAGGACCCCACCGTGCATCCCGGAAAGCCTCAGAACTTGCAAGAAAGAGGGGCTGGCAGGTGCAGCCTGGGAAGAGGACCCCGCCGCGAAAGCGCTTGGGGGTTGGGTTTTATTTGCTGGAGTGGGGGGTCCGTCTCAGTGCATCCTCCTGGATTCCCCATTAGGACGCCCCGCCCATACATCCAGCCTCCTCTCCCGGATACCCCCAGTGACCCGGCCAGGGAGCGGGCATCTTCCCCCAGGACCCAGAGACGTGTCCTCGCCATCCCCAAACACCGTCCTTCCCCACCCCCGCAACCCTCTCCACAGAAGCCAAAACCACAACAAAAATCTTCAACCCACAAAGAAAAAGACACATTCCTCCTTCGGCCTTAGTCAGCGTTAGTTCCAGATCCGAAGCCGGAGGGGACGGAGCCGCTCGAAGTCGGTTGGAAGGAAGGCGCAGAAGGCTCTTTCTGTCTCCATGAATCTCCTTGCAAATGCAACCGCTGCTGCCATTAGGACGCGGTCTCTGTTTGCAAAAAAAACTCAATTCCTTCCATTTCCTCATCTGTTGGGTCCATCAGCGTGCAGTGAGTGATGCAAGGTCCCTTTGGGTCAACAGGCCGTCCCCTGAAATAACTTTCAGAGCCCTGGCCTCAAGGTCATGGGCCGGGTGGCCTCTACAGGCCACAGGTCAGGACCAGGATGTGCCTGACTGAGGCTGTGCCACCGAGAGCTTCGGACGTGCAGAAAGGTGCCCTGAGCTGCACGGGGGGCTTCTGTC
Source organism: Homo sapiens (assembly GCF_000001405.40). NCBI lineage: Eukaryota > Metazoa > Chordata > Mammalia > Primates > Hominidae > Homo > Homo sapiens. The sequence continues at coordinate 3,450,803 of NW_018654717.1, forward strand.
AGCCCCCTCCCACTCTACACAGATTGATGTGGCAATATTTATTCCCATTTAATTGAGACACTGGTTTAATTTCAGATTGCTTCGGCTTAAGGCCCAATGGGGTTTTCTGCAGCTCTTTTCCCCAGTGCCTCTACAGAAATTAATTGCTGTTAATATCCAATTTTGGCTTTATTATTCGTTAGCCAATTATGTATCCCATAGCCCAGGCCCCTTGCTGCTCTCAGCCTTTGCTGGAATCAGCTCACACTATGCCGGGCTTCTGCTTTTCTGCCTTCCCCTCTATTCAAACTCTGTCCTCCCAAGATGATTTACCGGCCCGTCAGGCATTTTGCTTGTGTCCCAGCGCTAGCTGAGCTGGCGGAGGTGTCTTTAAGACGTTTTCCCCCTTTTGAGGGAAATGTCTTCTTTGCAGTGGAAATAATTTCCATTTAAAAAGGAATCTAAGCTTCTCCACTCTCGCTTCACTATCCTAAGATTTGCTTTCTCTGGAGCCATTTTTGGAGAGCAGTTTTCCATCAAAAGCAAGCAAGGTGCCCCGGCATCAGGGCTCCCCTCCCCACCTCCCTAGGAGCCCCTCCGAGACTGTCTTAAAGCCACCACATATACATAACACCATAGATTCAAACAGGGTGCTTGGAGGATGTCATTCCACATTTCAAGGAGGGAAACTTGAAAAAGCACTATTTTCAGAGATGAGGAGGGCAGCTCTCCCCTCGTCCCCCACAGAGGCCCTGGAAACCATTCCAGCCTTGCACTGCGCAACCCTGCTTGATGGAGCTGATGCAACTGGGGGCGAGAGCCTTTAAAAAGTGTTCTTTTGCCTTGGTTTTTTGTGCCTTGAGTTCACAGAAGCAAACACTTCCCATCACTGGTGCTCTGGAAACAGAAACATACAAGTGAGAATCCTAACGACAGCAGAGGCCCTTCTTTGTCTGCTTCCTCTCCTTCCCCCCTTGGAAAGAATGCCTCCCATGCCTTAATGTGCCCTCACACTTATCTCTAGCAGTTCCGTAACAACCTGCGCAGTGTCGGCATCAGAACCGAATGCAGAGAAAACAAAACGTCAGAGCCGCTGGCTTGGACTGCGGCCCCTACAGATGAAGCCCGAGGTGGGAGGTTTTCTTCTCCGCCTGGAAATCCTATGGTCAGATTTGTCGTAGGGGGGAGGTGGGTGGTGACTGTGGTGGAGGGCTGGGACATTGTTAAGAAGGTGCCTTACGCAGAAGGCTCAATAAATACCACCCAAATTGGATGTAATTAAATTAGCAGCAGCTGTCCTGCTTTTCCTGTTGAAAAGCTACAATTAGGCATGAAGGCCTCCTGGGCAAAGGCTAGTTAGAGTGGCGTCCTAGGAAAGGAGGGGGCTAACAGTGTTTCTGGTTCATCTTCTATCCTCAGCCCCTGCCTAGCTTGTCCAGAGGCATGGAGTTTCTTTTCTTTTCTTTTCTTTTCTTTTTTTGTTTGCTCGTTTGTTTGTTTTTGAGATGGAGTCTGGCTCTGTTGCCCAGGCTGGAATGCAGTGGCATGATCTCGGCTCACTGCAACCTCGGTCTCCCAGTTTCAAGAGATTCTTCTGCCTCAGCCTCCCGAGGAGCTGGGATTACAGGCATGCATCACCATGCCTGTCTCATTTTTTGTATTTTCAATAGAGACAGGGTTTCACCATGTCGGCCACGTGAATTGGTAATATTCCAAAAATATTACCAAAGGACTGCCTATGGTCTCGAAATCCCGACCTCAGGTGACCCACTCGCCTTGGCCTCCCACAGTGCTGGAATTACGGGCAGGAGCCACCGCACCCAGCTGAGTTTTATTTTTAAAATAGTCCAAGCATAAAGACCCCACATACCGTGCCCAGTCCGAGACAGAATTTCTGGGAAAACAAGAGGGAAAAAAAAAAAAACAAAACTCTTTTTTAGAACCCTTCTATCGTCCTTCGAGAGCACTTTAACTTTCAAAGATCCTCATATTCAAATCTCTCTTGTCACCACTCCAATTCACATCTCAACCGAGGCCTTTCCCAGTGGGGTATGCCCTCTAAACAAGACTAACAACAACAACAACAACAACAACTATAATCAACTTCTATTTCCTTCTACTCTCCTTCCCCCAGCCCCTTGAAAATATCTATACTCTCAATGCTCAAGAGGTATTAGGATAAAGACAGTGAGGTTAAAGCATTTCATACTAACACGTGAGCCACTTGAACAAGTCTTCTAACTTCCCCAGAGATATTTAACATTTTAGAAGAGGTGGGCATGGTGGTTCATGACTGTAATCCCAGCATTTTGGGAGGCCAAGAAGGGAAGATCACTTGAGCCCAGGAGTTTGAGGCCAGCCTGTGCAATATGGCAAGACTCCATCGCTACAAAAAAAACAAAACAATTAACCGGGCGTGATGGGGCACAATCCCAGCTACAGTCCCAGCTACTCAGGAGGCTAAGTGTGGGAGGATCGCTGGAGCCCCAGAGGATGAGGCTGCAGTGAGCTGTGTTCGGGCCACTGTGCTCCAGCCAGGGAGACAATAGTGAGAAACTCTCAAAAAAAAAAAAAAAAGAAAGAAAGAAGGAAAGAAAGAAGAAAGAAGAAAGAAAGAAAGAAAGAAAGAAAGAAAGAAAGAAAGAAAGAAAGAAAGAAAGAAAAGAAAAGAAAAGAAAGAAAGAAAGAAAGAAAGAAAGAAAGAAAGAAAAGAGGCACTTACCTACCAAGTCTAATTGTAGGAGTTTCTTATAAAGGCTCCCAAAAGCAGTAAGGAAGAATCACATCAGAGCCTCCACTTTCTGCTTGAGGATAACATCATTGTTCCTTTGTTCCAGACACATGGGTGCTCAACCTTTTAAACATAACACAACAGGAAAACACATGTAAAGAAGCCTAATGAATCCTCATGGCTTGCTCTGTCCTCTGCCTCCTCTATTAGTACCAACTGGTAGGAGCACCCCAAGCTTTTGGCAGGGACATCTGTGATGTCGATACCTGTGATGACAGGTAGATATCAGTCTAGGTCAAGGCTACTGCATCTTTGCAAATTTGAAGCCAGCCCTTTGCATAATCGTGAATTCTGATTTTGCTATTTCCAAGAGTTGTTTTTTTTTTTTTTTTTTTTTTTTTTTTAGACAGAGTCTCACTCTGTCACCCAGGCTGGAATGATGTAGTGGTGCAATCTCGGCTCACTGCAAGCTCCGCCTCCCATGTTCAAGTAATTCTCCTGCCTCAGCCTCCAGAGTAGCTGGGATTACAGGCGTGCACCACCATGCCCAGCTAATTTTTGTATTTTCTAGTAGAGATGGGGTTTTGCCACATTGGCCAGGCTGGTCTCGAACTCCTGACCTCAAGTGATCCACCTGCCTCGGCCTCCCAAAGTGCTGCGATTACAGACATAAGCCACCGTGCTCGGCTTCCATGAATTATATTTAAGGAATTATTTGATTAAATACCAGACTATGTGACACAGTAAGCCCACTTCAACCTGCTAACCCAAGGTAGATGCAAAGTGGCTCCAGGCAAAGCTGGAACTTGGGACTGGACACTTCCCTGGGTTGGTTTTGGTCACTCTCCCATCCTCAGCCAGCTCCTTCCCTTGCTTAACCGGAACTCTCTCATGTCCTTGCAGCCCCGGCTCTCCAAGCACCCTGTCCCATGTCCCATTCTCAGTGCATCTGAGCTTCCCGCAAATGGCAAAGCCAGCACCCAGGAGCAAGTTCTCGTGGGGCAAGAAGCAGATGTGTTAGGACTTTCAGGGAGAGTGAGAGCCTTCCCAGCCTCCAGCCAGCCTCTTAGAAAACTTTGCCTTTGGAAATGTCAATTATCTCTCCCTTCTTTCCAGCCTTCTACTCCTACCTCAGCATCTTGCCGCCTTCATGTGGACAATTAATCAACAGCAACAGCATAGTGTGAAGGTTGGTAGCCTCGCTTTTTTTTTTTTTTTTTTAGATGGAGTCTCGCTCTGTCACCCAGGCTAGAGTGCAGCAGCATGATCTTGGCTCACTGCGACTTCTGCCTCCCAGGTTCAAGGAATTCTCCTGCCTCAGCCTCCTGAGTAGCTGCGATTATAGGCGTGCGCCACCATGCTTGGCTAATTTTTGTATTTTTAGTACAGATGGTGTTTCACCCTGTTGGCCAGGCTGGTCTCAAACCGCTGACCTCAGGTGATCTGCCCCACTCAGCCTTCCAAAGTGCTGGGATTACAGGCATGAGCCACTGTGCCTGGACTGGACTGCTTTTCTATTGTACTAAACCTGTCCTATCTGATTCCCGAATCACTCATCACACTATTGACCAAAACCTATCCAAGACAGCATGTGGGAGCAGCTAGGAAAATTATTTAATGTGATCCCAGGGCCTCTCAGAAGCCCAGACAGACTTGGTACCTTCCTTTTTTTTTCTTTTTGAGGCTTCCAGTACATTCAGAAATGCCAAATCAGAGCTATAAAAATTACTGTATGTATAGCATCTTCCAAAAATATTACCAAAAGGAATGCCTATGAGAGCCTTTGAGACTGTAACACTCTGTGTGATTCCGTGAAAAGCCCCTGGATGTTAAGGCCTCAGCCCCCAGAGAAAGCGAAGCCCGCTATGACCGCCAGCCTGGTTATCACATTACGTCTGCTTGGTCCCCGGCGCTACCACCAGGCTGTGTAACTGTGCGTAGGTTGTTAAACCTCTCTGAGCATCCTCTGTAAGAAGGTGATATAATGATGCTATCTACTTCAAAGGGTTATTGTCAGGAGGAAATGAGATAATGCATGTGAAAATATTCAGCATATCACGGAGCGCTGTTCAATAGAAATAAAACACAAGCCATATGTGGTGTTTAAAATTTTCTAGTAGCCACACATTTAAAAATAAAAAAGAAACATATGACATTAATTTTAATCATATATTTTATTTAACCCAATACATATAATCAAAAATGGCATGATGGTGCACACCTGTGGTCCCAGCAGCTCAGGAGGCTGAGGGGGAAGGATCACTTGAGCCCAGGAGTTTGAGGCTGCAGTGAGCCATGATCACACCATTGCACTCCAGCCTGGGTGACAGAGCAAGACCCCATCTCAAAAAATAATACATATTAATGAGAAGTTTAACATTCTTTTATTCATACTAAATCTTCAAAATCTGATGTGTATTTTATACTCCCAATGCATCTCAATTCAGATGCTAAATTTTCATCAGAAATACTTGTTTCTTATTTAGATTTCATAAGATTTATATAATAGTTGAAAAAGTACATTCACATACCCATGTTAGTTCCAACCATTCTTAAATATTTTCTAATAACTGAATAGAGTATCTGTTTTCAAATTTAAATTTAAATTTAAATTTAACAATTAAATTAAATTTTAATTAATTTAAATTAAAATTTAATTTAAATTAAAAATTCAGCTCTTCAGTTGCACTGAGCATATATATGCTATGTATATATTATATATATATTTTATATATATTTATATATAATATATTATAAAATATATTATATATTATATATATTATATATAATATATTATAAAATATATTATATATTATATATATTATATATATATTTTATATATATTATATATATTTATATATAATATATATATTATATATATAATATATAATATATATATTATATATATTTATATATATATAATATATAATATATATATTATATATATTTTATATATATATATATATATTTTTTGAGCCAGAGCCTCACTCTGTCATCCAGGCTAAAGTGCAGTGGCGTGATCTTGGCTCACTGCAACCTCCATCTCCTGGGTTCAAGCGATTGTCCTGCCTCAGCCTCCCAAGTAGCTGGAATTACAGGCATGTGCCACCACGGTCAGCTAATTTTTGTATTTTTAGTAGAAATGGGGTTTCGCCATATTGGTCAGGCTGGTCTCGAACTCCTGACCTCAGGTGATTCACCCACCTCGGCCTCCCAAAATGCTGGGATTACAGGCGTGAGCCACCACCGCCAGCCCTGAGCATATTTCAAGTACTTAATAGCCACATGGTTAGTATCTATCACACAGTGCAGGTGGAGCATACTATTTGGCACATGGTAAGTGCTCAGTAAATACTCACTGCCATTACCCTTAGGCCCAAGGAGCAGCTCCTTCTCTTTTTTCAGATGCCAAATCTGAAGCCAGGCCTGTCATTTGTTCTGTGCATGGCCTGTGAAATGGATGAGTCCAGGCTCCGCATGTTCAGGGCCTCTTTGGAATATGTCTTAGTCCTTTCTGGGTGCTGTAACAAAAGACCACAAACTGGGTGGCTTATAAACAACAGAGGGCTAGGCATGGTGCCTCATACTTGTAATCCCAGGACTTTGGGAGGCTGATGTGGGAGGATCACTTTATCCCAGGAGTCTGAGACAAGCCTGGGCAACATGGAGAGACCCCATCTCTACAAAAAAATAAAAATTAAAAAATAAGCCCGGTGCGGTGGTGCATGCCTGTGATCCTGGTTACTCAGGAGGCTGAGGCAGAAGGACTGCTTAAGCCCAGGAGGTCGAGGCTGCAGTGAGCCGTGATTATGCCACTGCACTTTAGCCTGGGCAACAGAGTGAAACCTTGTCTCAAAAATAAAATAAAATAACAGAAATAAATTTCTCACAATTCTGGAAGCTGGGAAGTCCAAGATGAAGGCACTGGCAGATTTGGGGTCTGATAGGGTCCACTCCCTTGTTCATAGATGGCGCCTTCTCACTGACCTCACATGGCAGAAGGGGCAAAAGAGCTCTCTTGGGCCTATTATAAGGGGACTAGTTCTATTCATGAGGGTTCCACTTTCACAACTTCATTGCCCCTCAAAAGCCTCCACCTCCTAACACCATCACCGCAAGGGGTCAGGATTTCAACATATGAATGGCGGGGGGACACAAACATTCAGACCATAGCAGGGAACAATTTTATTTATGTTTTGAGATAGGGTCTCATTCTGTTGCTCAGGCTGGAGTACAGTGGCACAATCACAGTTCACGGCAGCCTCATACTCCTGGGCTCAAGGGATCCTCCCGCCTCAGCCTCCTGAGTAGCTGGGACTACAGACATGCACCATCACCCCTGGCTAATTTTGTAAATTTTTTTTGTAGACAGGGGATATTACCATCTTGCCCAGGCTGGTCGCAAACCCCTGCACTCACATGATCCTCCTACCTTGGCCCCTCAAAGTGCTGGGATTACAGACATGAGCCACCGCACCCATCCAGGGTAAAATTTCACAGTCCCTGAAGGGGCCATTTTCCAGGAACATCTTCCTGACCTTTCCCACTGGGATTCTAGGAAGGCTTTCGGGCTCTCCAGGATTGTCTTGCCATGCATGTGTGTGTAAGGAGCAGGGATAACAAGCCTTTGTGGAGGGTTATTCTTTGAAACAATAACCCAGTACATCTGTGCAGCAGAAATAACAAGACTAGCATGGTCACACTAGTGACTGATAGCTGTTCCTATTCACAAGCCAAATGAGGAGAAAATAGACATGGGTGTGGTACATGTTCCTAAATTTAATTCTGTGCTAATTTCTCATTCCATTAATAACCAGGGTTCTCATCCTCCCCTATAGTCATGTTTTTCAACTACTCTTTATTGAAATTGTGCTGCCTGTCAATCACCAATGTTAGCTAGGTGGAATTTGTGGATGAATAAGGCTCACGCCCTTCCTGCCCTCAGCAAGCACACAGTCCAGTAGATAAGACAAATACATTAGCAATTATGACAAAGCAAATATGAGCAGTCCCATACAAGACAGACAGTCAAAATGCCAGGAGAGTTCAAATGAAAGAGCCATGTTTTCCAATGAGAGGGCTGGGGAAACCTCAAGAGGCAGGTGGGATCTGGGGTGGAGGGAACACCCTAAGTGGTAAGATTAGCATCCACTCCATCCCAGATGTGAGGAAGTTTTGCAGAATTAAGCATAGGTACAATGACAATATAGGAGAAGGAAAGTTTGGGGCTAGATTGCAGGTGGAAATTGCTGGGTCATATGGCAATTCTGTTTTGCTTTGTTTTATTTTGTTTTGTTTTTGAGACAGAGTCTCACTCTGTCACCCAGGCTGGAGTGCAGTGGCGCAATCTTGACTCACTGCAACCTCTGCCTCCCGGGTTCAAGTGATTCTCCCGCTTCAGCCTCCTGAGTGGCTGAGATTACAGACGCCCACCACAACGCTCAGCTAATTTTTGTATTTTTAGTAGAAATGGGGTTTCACCATGTCAGCCAGGCTGGTCTCGAACTTCTGACCTCAAGTGATCCACTAGCCTCCGCCTCCCAAAGTGCTGGGATTACAGGTGTGAGCCACCGTGCCTGGTAATTCTATTTTTAATTTTTTGAAGACCCACCATACTACATCATTCCATATACCCACCAACACTGTACAAGGGTTCCAGTTTCTCCACATCCTTGCCAATCTTTGTTATGGTGTGTGTGGGGTGTGTGTGTGTGTGTGTGTGTGTGTTTATAGTAGCCATCCTTAAAGGGTGTGTGGTGGTATGTCATTGTGGTTTTGATTTTCACTTCCCTAGTGATTAGTGATGTTGAGCATCTATTCATGTGCTTCTTGACCATTTGTTTACCTTCTTTGAAAAAATGTCCAAGTCCTTTCTTTGCCCTGTCTTAATTGGGGTGTTGGTTTGGGTTTTTTGTTGTTGTTGATGCTATTGTCATGACAATCATTACTTTGGCAAATTCCAAGGCAGTTTTCTTGTTTGTTTTTGTTTTTTTGTTTTGTTTTGTTTTGAGACAAGGTCTCTCTCTGTCACCCAGGCTGGAGTGCAGTGGCAAAATAATGGCTCACTGCAGCCTTGACCTCCGGGGCTCAAATGATCCTCTCACCTCACCCTCTGAGGTAGCTGGGACTACAGGGGCATGCCACCATGCCTGACTAATTTTATTTTACTTTTCATTTTTAGTAGAGATAGAGTCTTGATATGTTCCCCAGGCTGCTCTGGAATTCTTGGACTCAAGCAATCCTCCTGACTTGGCCTCCCAAAGTGCTGGGATTACAGGTAAGAGCCACCATGCCCAGACTCCAGTGCAGTTTTGACAAATGAGGTAGAGTCAGCAGCCCATTACCCACTGAATAAAGCCTAACTCTCCTAAGTCCTGCATTGGGTGGTGCCCTGCTCACCTGCATGCCCAGTGATTGTCCTGTGCCTCCCCACCACCTGGTTTATTTGCTTAAATCCTCAAAACTCCCTCCTTGGTTGGGTTGCTGAAACCCTTCCTACACCTTTCCTGCCTCCGATTCCTGAGAGCTACATTTAACCTCCACAGGCTCCTATTCCAAATCGGATGAAGCACTGAAAACAAAGCACTTTCACATCCTTCACCCTGATCTGTAGCATATTCTTCAGAACTCTTATGATTTCAAGTGACAGAAACCCAATCTGAACCAGCTGAAACACTCAGAGGCATTTAGTATCTCATGGAACCCAGTGCCCCAGGGACAGGCGGAAACGCTGACTTGAACATCTCTTTCTGAGTTTCTCATCTCAGCGCCTCTCTGCAGATGTTGAAATCTTCTTTTTTTCTGCTAACTGGCCTCTGCTTCCCAGGTTCACAGCAAGAAACATGGCCATTGGGATGTCCCAAGCTTTGCATTTTATAGCCCAGCTTAGGTCAGGTGGCCACCCCTGTGCCAGTCAACTTGACCGAATGGATGGAAAACCTCAACTGATCAAGCTGGAGTTAAGTGCATGCAGGGAGCACCTATGGTAACTGCGGATGGCAGGGAGGGCAGCCACCTAGAAAAAGGTACTGCTGGCCAGGTAAGACCACAGGTATCCACAACTACCACCAATCTGCTGTGAACAGTTCCTCTGAAGTTGTGCAATAAGCAAGCCGTGTGATGCTGGTCTTGGTAGAATATCTTATTTCTAAACTCCAAACCATCAGATTGGCCTCTACCTCCCCATTTGCCCTCCTCAGAAGATCTTGACACCCAAGTTCACCCCATCCTCTGGAGTCCTGTGGTTTGAAATACTGACCATTTGTCCCAATCCTGGAGCCAAGGTCCCAGCATGCTCTGTGTCCAAGTTCAGATTACCACAAAAGCTGGTTGTGAAGACCACAAGTTGTTACCTATTTGTTTTTTAACCAGTTGTATATACAACATTTGGTGCTTTTCACAACACCACACTACCTCTGTCTTACTGTACTGTTTCTCTCCCTAGCAAGCTACCAACATTTCCTCTCTCCTCCCTAAAACATGAAAAAAGGAGAGAGAGAGAGAGAGAGAGACGCAGGTAATGCCTATACTCTCATCTCCTAAGGGGTCCTTGAGACAATGGATTCCAAAGAGCAGTTTGGAACATGAAGAAAACCCCAATGGGGAGGCCCTGCTCCCAAGTCTCACTAATTCTGGATTTAATTCTCCCCTGTGGGCCAGGTGGTGAATTAGTGGCCCTCCCACCCTACCTTCTGTTTTCTATGATCTCGTCTCATCTAATAAAGGCTCCAGATCTGAAAGTCTCTGAGACCAGAACCTTAGTCCAATTAAACCCTGCTAAAGCAAACAAACTTGGGAAAGACAAAGAGGTGAAGAGGTTAACAGCAGACAAAACCTCCACTGACAAGCTAAATTAGCCTTGCCCACCTCAGGAGAAGGTGTAAGGTGGACAGCGGAGACTGCTGGTAGTGATTAACATTTGCTCGAAATTCTAAGGAGCTAATTTTTTTTCCAAGTTAAATGTTAACCTGTGAAAAGAGGAACAGTAACTATGCGAAGAGGAATGTGAAGAAGAAAACAGAAAGACCAGCCTGCTGGGTGGATGTCTTCCTCCCAAAGTAGTCGAGACCAGGGATTCTGAGGAATAGTTTTCCATTTATCCTTCATCATCTCCATTCAACAGGGCCGCTGAGCTCCAGATGAGCATGGAAAGATGGAGGAGCTGCCAAACCTGACTTTGGAGGCCCTGGTCAGGAGCCCGTTGGAGGCCTTCCAGTTTTACACCCTTTGTGAATTTGTCCGTGGGGTGGGTTTGTTCTGACGCCATGAGTAGCTTCCACTGGAAAAGGCACCATCTCCACCCAACATTTTAGGTATGCTGGTGCATTGGGAGGACATTCTTGGTGCCAATAATCGTCTGAACATTCTTTGCTATCCTTTGGTAGAGGCTCTATTTACCACAATGAAGAGTAGAAAGATTATGATGTGAGTGTGTTTTGGTGTGTGTGTGTGTGTGTGTGTATGTGTGTGACTATTAGTGAAAACTGCTAGTAGTATGTCAGTGTGGAGAGAAATTCAGTCCTCCCGCAAGTGGTGAGGCTCAATATTAAGGGACAGAACATCAGTGAGCACCACATTAAGGCACTATTCTCGACATCTGGGAAGAAGCAAAGAAAAATGTGTCATGCCTCTTACCTTTTAGGGACTTATAATACAGGAAAGAGAAGACTTGTATAAATGGCTAAAAATATACTGAGGAGTATAACTAATAACTAATGCAGAGTGTGCTGGTAAAAGGTTGTGTGGGTTCAGGAATGTCAAAAGTTGCAGCTGCTGTGAAAGCCAATATGGCGGGTCCTCAAAAAATTAAATGTAGAATTACCATATGACTCGGCAACTCCACTTCCGGGTATGTTCTTAAAACGATTGAAAGCAGAGACTCAGACAGATAATTGCACACCCATGTTCAGAGCAGCATTATTCACAATCGCCAAAATGTGGAAGCAACCCAAGTGTCCACTGGCCAATGAATGAATGAGTAAAACATGCTATGTATCAACAGTAGAATATTATTCAACCTTAAAAGGAAACAAATTCTGGTACGTGTTACAACATAGATGAACCTTGAGTGGAAGAAGAAAACAGAAAGAGCAGTCCGCTGGGTGGATGTCTTCTTCCCAAAGTAGTTGGGATCAGGAATGCTGAGAAACAATTCCCCATTCATCCTTCAACATCTCCATTCAACAGGGCCACTGAGCTCCAGGATGAGCATGGAAGGATGGAGGAGCTGCCAAGCTTGACCTTGGGGACCCAGGTCAGGAGCCTTCTGGAGACCTTCCAGTTTTATGCCCTTCGTGAATTTGTTTGTGGGATGAACTCTATGAAGTGAACTAAACCAATCACACACAAAAAATAAAACTGTATGATTCCACTTATATGAGGCACCTAGTCAAATTCAGAGACAGAAATAAAAATGGGGGTTGATAGGAGAGGGGAGGATGGAAGAGTGGGAAGTTACTGTCAATGGGAACAGAGTTTCAGTTTTGCAAAAGAGTTCTGGAAATGAATGGGGTAATGACTGCACAACACTGTGAAGGTACTTAATGCCCCTGAACCACATACTTAAAAAATGATTAAGATGGTAAATTTTATGTAAGTGTATTTTACCACATTTTTTTTTCAAATTCATGTAGTTTCAGATGAGACTTTATAGAAAAGGTGGCACCGAGCTGCCTGAAAGAATAGATGAATTTCAGTATATAAAGAAGAGGAAGAAGGACATTAGAGACCAGGGGAAGGACATGAAAGGATCAAAGGCAGTGAAGTATCCATGGGTACGCACAGTGAGTGGTTTAAGTTTCCTGGAACAAAGGGTTCCAGAAGGAAAACAAGGTCAGCCAGCCATTGAAATCCAGACAATGGCGAGCCTTGAAGGCTAGACTAGGGAGTTTGGATTTTATTCTCTAAGTCAGCGCATCCACCGTTTCCATAGTGTTCCACAGGACACTAATTCTATGAGATGCTCTGAAAAAAGCAGAGGAAGGGAGCCATGGACAAACAGGTTTGAGAAAGGCTGCATAGCCCTATGGCCAATTTGCCGTGCACGCTAGCTTACATTGGTAAATCCTGACGTAAAGATATCTGCCTCATTTTGCTACAGTCAGTGTTGCCCAAACTTGTTGGATTATGCTGCCCTGGGATTCTCGTGACACCTATTAACATCCTTCAAAAGCATTCCACATGTTTAGAGAAACGTCTCCCTAGGAAAGGCAGCTATTGGAGCTTTTTAGCAGAGGCATTTACATGGTCAGAGTGCTGCTTTAGGAAGGCTAATCAGATGGCAGATTGCTGCTTGGATTGAGGGGGACAGAGACAAATGACTAGAACTGTGGATATGTCATTAAGGACTGGCGCATGTCAGATTTCTAGTGTCCGAAACACCGAACAGATATTTCAAGCACCGAGAAGACACCCTGTTACTGAGATCAAATGCTGGCAATCAGCCGACTCCTCCGCCTTCCCCAGATTTTGACTCATCCTACCCTGAAGCACATAGGATCCACCATGGGTTCACGCCCCTCCGTGTCTCTCAGCCCCCAGAGGCACATGAAGTGGTGCGTTGGAGTGACTGGTGCCAGCTCATGGAAGCCGCTACCTGGGAGTTTCCCAAGAACCATTAGTAGAAGCCTGCCATGGTGGGGCCACCTATACCGTGGAAATCAGCCAATGCTACAAATGAGAGCTTTTGTTTGGGGGGGATCCATCTACCAGCACACAACTGACCAGGTGCCAAGTCGGGATTAAATGTGTAAAGGTTATATTAGAGAAAGCACTTGTGTGAGGAAAAAAAAATGGGAAGGGAGGTAAGATAGGCTGCGATGGCGTGTCCGACAGCAAACCAGGGAAGGGAAGAGAGAGGAGAGAGGGAAAGGAGGTGGCGTGGACGTGTCCCAGACTGCATGCCCTCTAAGGAAGGGTCAGCGAGTCCTCCAGCCAAAGTCAGCTATCCGTGGATGTCTTCCAGGAACCGGCGTTAGATCCTTGCAGCAGTCAGCCACTCACAGGGAGCTGCCCGCGGGGAGGGCAGCCCAGGGCACACAGCCATGGATGTCTGCGCGCAGCCGCCTGGGCCCTTGATTTGTTGACGCTTCTCGTTGATGATGGTCCGTGAGACGCATGCTCATTACCACCACCGCCCACCCCTTGCCCCACACAGATCTATTTCTCCAACCAGGAAAGTTCAGAAAGCAGCTCCTCCAGGGTTCCCAGGGGCCTTTCTTCCTGAGCGACAAACCACAGCCCCCGTGACGGCCGAGGGTCTTGGAGCATCCTAACTCCTCCTCCGCCCTGCATTTAAATTCCCCTCACCCTCAGCTATCAGGTCAGCAGGTGTCGGTAGCTTACCTGATGGGATGACCCTCATTCCTGAAGGGTCTAAATTAGAATCATACCCTGCTCAGTCTGGAGTGACTGCACCTGCGTATTCACAGTTACAAGTGGGTGAGGGAGCCGCAGGAGGCACCTGAGCCCAGCCCCTGGGTTCTGCCCCTGTTCCTCCCCGCCCCCACTAGGTAAAAGAGCCCCTGCCTCCTGCTGCTGATTAGGTCAATAACGCATGCCAATAAGATGATTTCCCTTTTAACCTGCTGATCCTTGCGAACGAGGCATCCTGAGTGTCCCGGCAGCAGCTTCCACTTGCCGTTCAACAAGACCCTTACTGTGTCTCCTGGCCAGAGTGTGTCCTCTTTTGGATCCGGACCTCCAACCCTGCAGAACCCAGAGTGGCAGAGCAGGAAGTCCCAAATCCCCCAGTGGGTCTTAGAGACTGGTGGTAAGTCACCTCTGCTTCTACTCCTTGGTTTCCAGACTCATGGGTCTTTCCTTTTGGGGACACACTGACATATACAAGTCTTTGCACACTGAAGGATGGTACTTCGTCCTTGTGGGGGTTTCCTCTGAGCCAGCACTTCAGTTGCTCCTTGAAAAGGCCATGCCAGCATTCTATGAGGCCAGCTGCCCTAGGGGGTTGCAGTGTGTGATGCAGTGAGCGAACCCCATGGTCATGGGCTATGAGGTGTGTCTCTTAGTTGGCTGTTGTGCTGTGTCGGACTCATGGCTATGGCTCAGGCATTCTATAAGCCCCCAGATGGTAGTGCTGGCTGAGATGCTCTGGGCAGGAAAGGCAGATCCATTCCCAAAGTATCTACACCTGTGAAGACAAACCACTGGCCCTTTTAGGTTGGTGTCCTAGGGTAATAGCGCCGTAGCAGGCGCAACTCTGCTGCTGACATTCAGAGGCACAGTGGCTAGATTGGTAAGCCGGAGCCATGCCGTTGACCTCTTATAGCCTCCATCTCCACACCTCAGCCATCTATCTGTTCGTGTTCCTGTCATGCCAGTTCTGGGGTGGACACTGACAGCCAGCATCACTGGGCCAAGTCATCTTGTCTAATTGATTGTTCAGAGGCTCTTCCATGATGGATGTGTCCTAGTGGACATGAATATGTGCAACAGAATCCTTCACACTGTATGCCCACTCTCAAGTGTACGTTCACACACCTCAGCCCCAGACCTCCTTAGTCACTATCCAGGATTTGCACAAATTCTCATGTTGGGCCACTTTTATTTCCCTATGCAAAGGGTTGATGACACGGTGCACTGTTCACAACCCTGTCTGCCGGGAAGAGCTTATCTCTCCACTGAGTTTCAGGGACACCCCTAAATCTGACTGTCATCTGTTATTTTTCATTTTTATTTATTTTTATTATTATACTTTAAGTTCTGGGGTACATGTGCAGAAAATGCAGGTTTGTTTCGTAGGTATATACGTGCCATGGTGGTTTGCTGCACCCATTAACCTGTCATCCACATTAGGTATTTCTCTTAATACTATACCTCCCCTAGCCCCCCACTTGCTGATAGGCCCCAGTGAGTGATGTTCCCTTCCCTGTGTCCATGTGTTCTCATTGTTCAACTCCCACTTATGACTGAGAAGATGCAGTGTTTGGTTTTCTATTCTTGTGTTAGTTTGCTGAGAATGATGGTTTCCAGCTTCATCCATGTCCCTGCAAAGGACATAAACTCATTTTTTATGGCTGCGTAGCATTCCATAGTGCATATGTGCCACATTTTCTTTATCCATTCTATCATTGATGGGCATTTGGGTTGCTTCCAAGTCTTTCCTATTGTGAATAGTGCCTCAGTAAACATATGTGTGCATGTGTCTTTTATAGCAGAATGACTTATAAATTTTGGGTATATACCCAGTAATGGGATTGCTGAGTCAAATGGTATTTCTGGTTCTAAATCCTTGAGAAATCGCCACACTGTCTTCCACAATGATTGAACTAATTTACACTCCCACCAAGAGTGTAAAAGCATTCCTATTTCTCCACATCCTGTCCAGCATCTGTTGTTTCCTGACTTTTTAATGATTGCCATTCTAACTGGCGTGAGATGGTATCTCATTGTGGTTTTGATTTGCATTTCTCTAACAATGAGTGATGATAACTTTTTTTCATATGTTTGTTGGCAGCATCAATGTCTTCTTTTGAGAAGTGTCTGTTCATATCTTTCACCCACTTTTTGATGGGGTTGTTTATTTTCTTGTAAATTTGTTTAAGTTCTTTGTAAATTCTGGATATTAGCCCTTTGTCAGATGTACAGATTGCAAAAATTTTCTCCCATTCTGTAGATTGCCTGTTCACTCTGATAACAGTTTCTTTTGCTGTGCAGAAGCTCTTTAGTTTAATTAGATCCCATTTGTCAATTTTGGCTTTTGTTGCCCTTGCTTTTGATGTTTTAGTCATGAAGTCTTTGCCCAGGCCTAGATCCTGAATGGTATTGCCTAGGTTTTTCTTCTAGGGTTTTTATGGTTTTAGGTCTTACGTTTAAGTCTTTAATCCACTTTGGGTTAATTTTTGTAAGGTGTAAGGAAGGGGTCCAGTTTCAGTTTTCTGCATGTGGCTAGCCAGTTTTCTCAACACCATTTATTAAATAGGGAATCCTTTCCCCATTGCTTGTTTTTGTCAGGTTTGCCAAAGATCAGATGGTTATAGATGTGTGGTGCTATTTCTGAGGCCTCTGTTCTGTTCCTTTGGTCTATATATCTGTTTTGGTAACAGTACCGTGTTCTTTTGGTTACTGTAGCCTTGTAGTATAGTTTGAAGTCAAGTAGCATGATGCCTCCAGCATTCTTCTTTTTGCTTAGGATTGTCTTGGCTATGTGGGCTCTTTTTTGGTTCCATATGAAATTTAAAGTAGTTTTTTTCTCATTCTGTGAAGAAAGTCATTGGTAGCTTGATGGGGATAGCATTGAATCTATCCTATCCATGAGCATGGAATGTTGTTCCATTTATTTGTATCCTCTCTTATTTCCTTGAGCAGTGGTTTGTAGTTTTCCTTGAAGAGGTCCTTCACATCCCTTGTAAGTTGTATTCCTAGGTATTTTATTCTCTTAGTAGCAATTGTGAATGGGAGTTCATTCACGGTTTGGCTCTCTATTTGTCTGTTATCGGTGTATAGGAACGCTTGTGATTTTTACACGTTGATTTTGTATCCTGAGACTTCGCTGAAGTTGCTTATCAGCTTAAGGAGATTTAGGGCTGAGACAACGGGGTTTTCTCAATATACAATCGTGTCATCTGCAAACAGAGACAATTTAACTTCTTCTCTTCCTATTTGAATACCTTTTATTTCTTTCTCTTGCCTTATTGCCCTGGCCAGAATTTCCAATAGTATGTTGAATAGGAGTGGAGAGAGGACATCCTTGTCTTGTGTCAGTTTTCAAAGGTAATGCTTCCAGTTTTTGCCCATTCAGTATGTTACTGGCTGTGGGTTTGTCATAAATCGCTGTTGTTATTTTGAGATACATTGCATCAATACCTAGTTTATTGAGAGTTTTTAGCATGAAGAGGTGTTGAATTTTGTTTAATGCCTTTTCTGCATCTATTGAGGTAATCATGTGGTTTTTATCACTGGTTCTGTTTATGTGATGTATTACGTTTATTGATTTGCATATGTTGAACTAACCTTGCATCCCAGGGATGAAGCCCACTTCATCATAGTGGATAAGCTTTTGGATGTGCTGCTGGATACTGTTTGCCAGTATTTTACTGAGGATTTTCACACTGATGTTCATCAGGGATATTGGCCTGAAATTTTCTTTTTTGTGTTTCTGCCAGGTTTTAATATCAGAATGATGCTGGCCTCATAAAATGAGTTAGGGAGGATTCCCTCTTTTTCTATTGTTTGGAATAGTTTCAGAAGGAATGGTACCAGCTCCTCTTTGTACCTCTGGTAGAATTCAGCTGTGAATCCATCTGGTCCTGGACTTTTTTTGGTTGGTAGGCTATTAATTACTGCCTTAGTTTCAGAACTTGTTATTGATCTATTCATGGATTCAACTCCTTCCTGGTTTAGACTTGGGAGGATGTATGTCTCCAGGAGTTTATGCATTTCTTCTGTATTTTCTAGTATATTTGCCTAGAGGTGTTGATAGTATTCTCTGATTGTAGTTTGTTTTTCTGTGGGATCACTGGCGATATCAACTTCATTGTTTTTTTATTGCATCTATTTGATTCTTTTCTCTTTTCTTCTGTATTAGTCTGGCTAGCAGTCTATCTATTTTGTTGATCTTTTCAAAAAACCAGCTCCTGGATTCATTGATTTTTTGAAGGTTTTTTCATGTCTCTATCTCCTTCAGTTGTGCTCTGATCTTACTTATTTCTTGTCTTTCGCTAGCTTTTGAATTTATTTGCTCTTGTTTCTCTAGTTCTTTTAATTGTGATGTTAGGGTGTCAATTTTAGATCTTTCCTGCTTTCTCTTGTGGGCATTTAGTGCTATAAATTACCCTTTACACACTGGGTAGAGGGAAATTTATTTAAATGTGTCCCAGAGATTCTGGTATGTTGTCTTGGTTCTCATTGGTTTCAAAGGCGTCTTTATTTCTGCCTTCATTTCGTCATTTACCCAGTAGTTATTCAGGAGCAGGCTGTTCAGTTTCCATGTAGTTGTATGGTTTTGCGTGAGTTGCTTAATTCTGAGTTTTAATTTGATTGCACTGTGGTCTGAGAGACTGTTATGATTTTCATTCTTTTGCATTTGGTGAAGAGTGTTTTACTATCAATTATGTGGTCAATTTTAGAATAAATGTGATATGGTGCCGAGAAGAATGTATATTTTGTTGATTTGGGGTGGAGAGTTCTGTAGAGGTCTATTAGGTCCACTTGGTCCAGAGCTGAATTGATGTCCTGAATATCCTTGTAAATTTTCTGTCTCATTGATCTGTCTAATATTGACAATGGGGTGTTAAAGTCTCCCATTATTATTGTGTGGGAGTCTAAGTCTCTTTGTAGGTCTTTAAGAACTTGTTTTATGAATTTGGGTGCTCCTGTATTGGGTGCATATATATTTAGGATAGTTAGCTCTTCTTGTTGCATTGATTTCTGTACCTTTATGTAATGCCCTTTTTTGTCTGTTTTGATCTTTGTTGGTTTCAAGTCCGTTTTATCAGAGATTAGGATTACAACCCCTGCTTTTTTTTGCTTTCCATTTTCTTGATAAATATTCCCCCATTCCTTTATTTTGAGCCTGTGTGTGTCTTTGAACATTGGGTGGGTCTCCTGAATACAGCACACCGATGGGTCTTGACTCTTTATCCAGTTTGCCAGTCTGTGTCTTTTAACTGGGGCATTTACCCCATTTACATTTAAGGTTAATATTTTTATGTGTGAATTCGATCCTGTCATTATGATACTAGCTGATTATTTTGCCCATTAGTTGATGCAGTTTCTTCATAGTGTTGATGGTCTTTAGAATTTGGTATGTTTTTACAGTGACTGGTACCAGTTGTTCCTTTCCATGTTTAGTGCTTCCTTCAGGAGCTCTTGTAAGGCAGGCCTGGTGGTGACAAAATCTCTCAGAATTTGCTTGTCTGTAAAGGATTTTATTTCTCCTTCATTTATGAAGCTTAGTTTGGCTGGATATGAAATTCTGGGTCGAAAATTCTTTTCTTTAAGAATGTTGAGTATTGGCCCTCACTCTCTTCTGGCTTGTAGGGTTTATGCAGAGAGATCCACTGTTTGTCTGATGGACTTCGGCCTTTGTGGGTAACCCAACCTTTCTGGTTGCCCTTAACATTTTTTCCTTCATTTCAATCTTGATGAATCTAACAATTATGCATC
This sequence comes from Homo sapiens, assembly GCF_000001405.40. Classification (NCBI taxonomy): domain Eukaryota; kingdom Metazoa; phylum Chordata; class Mammalia; order Primates; family Hominidae; genus Homo; species Homo sapiens. The sequence continues at coordinate 3,470,637 of NW_018654717.1, forward strand.
TTGGGGTGGTTCTTCTCGAGGAGTATCTTTGCGGTGTTCTCTGTATTTCCTGAATTTGAATGTTGACTTGCCTTGCTAGGTTGGGGAAGTACTCCTGGATAATATCCTGAAGAGTGTTTTCCATCTTGGTTCTATTCTCCTTTTTACTTTCAGGTATACCAATCAAATGTAGGTTTGGTCTTTTCACATAGTCCCATATTTCTTGGAAGCTTTGTTCATTCCTTTTCATTCTTTTTTCTCTAATCTTGTCTTCTCACTTAATTTCGTTAAGTTGATCTTCAGTGTCTGATATCCTTTCTTCGACCTGATCGGTTCGGCTATTGATACTTGTGTATGCTTCACGAAGTTCTCGTGCTGTGTTTTTCAGCTCCATCAGCTCATTTATGTTCTCTCTAAACTGGTTATTCTAGTTAGAAATTTGTCTAATCTTTTTTCAAGGTTCTTAGCTTCCTTGCATTGGGTTAGAACATGCTCCTTTAGCTCAGAGGAATTTGTTATTACCCACCTTCTGAAGCCTACTTCTGTCAATTCGTCAAACTCATTCTCCGTCCAGTTTTGTTCTCTTGCTGGCGAGGAGTTGTGATCCTTTGTAGAAGAAGAGGCATTGTGGTATTTGGAATTTTCAGGCTTTTTGTGCTGGTTTCTCCCCATCTTCATGGATTTATTACCTTTGGTTTTTGACATTGGTGACCTTCGGATGGGGTCTCTGAGTGGACGTCCTTTTTGTTGATGTTGATGCTCTTCCTTTCTGTTTGTTAGTTTTCTGTCTAACAATCAGGAACCTCTGCTGCAGGTCTGCTGGAGTTTGCTGGGAATCCACTCTAGACTCTCTTTGCCTGGGTATCACCAGCGGAGGCTGTGGAATGCAAAGATTGCTGCCTGATCCTTCCTCTGGAAGCTTCATTCCAGAGATGCACCCACCAGATGCTAGCCAGAGCTCTCCTGCATGAGGTGTCTCTCGGCCCCTACTAGGAGGTGTCTCCCAGTCGGGATACAAAGGGGTCAGGGACCTACTTGAGAAGGCAGTCTGAACCTCAGCAGAGCTCGAATGCTGTGCTGGGAGGTCCACTGCTCTATTCAGAGCCGTCAGGCAGGGACATTTAAGTCTGCTGAAGCTGTGCCCACAGTTGCCCCTTCCCCCAGGTGGTCTGTCCCAGGGAGATGGGAGTTTTCTGTGTAAGCCCCTGACTGGGGCTGCTGCCTTTTTATCAGAAATGTCCTGCCCAGAGAGGAGGAATCTAGAGAGGCAATCTGACCACAGTGGCCTTGCTGAACTGCAGTGGGCTCTGCCCAGTTTGAACTTCCTGGCAGCTTTGTTTACACTGTGAGGGTAAAACCGCCTACACAAGCCTCAGCAGTGGCGGATGTCCCTCCCCACACCAAGCTTGAGCATCTCAGGTTGACCTTAGACTATTGTGCTGGCAGTGAGAACTTCAAGCCCATGGGTTTCAGCTTGCTGGGCTCCATGGAGTTGGGACCCGTTGAGCCAGACCACTTGGCTCTCTGGCTTCAGCCCCCTGTCTCTTCTGATCTCAGAAGCTAAGCAGGTCAGGCCTGGTTAGTACTTGGATGGAAGACTGTCATCTGTTTCTAGTTTGCTCCCCATATTCAGCCAACCCATTTGCAAAACAAGCTTGGGATTTTCCTCCTCTTTCAGCTGGTCATGCAGGATCTCACATACAGTCAGAGGTGATGTGATGAATGACAAGGGAGTCTGCACTAGTTGCTTATATAGCTTACTCATGCCCTCTGGGCCAGGTGAGCCCCAGCCTGGGATGGACCACTTACATGGTATGATGGGACTGCAGCTGTCAGACTTATGGTTTTGCAGGTCAGACAGGACCCAACTCACCATGGGCAGTTCCCAATGCGTGATCACCAAGTACCCCATGGGCAAAATGGTCGTGTTCCATCTCCACTATAGCCCGGTAATATGCTGAAAGCTGATTCTCAAAGGCTGTATCAGTTTCAGAGGATGATGGCACAGCCTCACTCCAAAGTTCCAGCGGCCTCCATTGCAATTCTTCCAATATACCTGCCGTAAGCTTTGTATTGTGCTTTTTCTCACTACTGACACCTCCACCACCATAGGATCTGCCAGAATTCATGGCCTAAGCAACAGGGCAATTGCACCACAGTCTGGACTTGCTGAAGCACCCCTTTCTACTCTGAGCCTCCACTCGAAGATGGTCACCTTTAGTGTCCCTCAGTATATGGGCCAAAACTGTATTCCTCGTTGCAGAATGTGTTGCCTCTGGAACCCAAAAAGGCCTGTAAGGTGCTGGGCGTACTTCAGTGGGATAGAGGATGCAAGATACACAAAGGTTTTTTTTTGTTTTTTTTTTTTACTTTGGAGGCCCCTGACTACTGGATTCCTAAAATCTTCACTGAAGTGGCCAATCCCTAGCTCTTCACAGGGCTTACTCACCCCCAACTGGAGTGCATGTGTCTTACCCAAGCCTCCAGCATACCAGCCACCTCTTCCTCATTTTGACCAATCAGCAGGTTGGCACCCATGTAATGATATAATCTAGATGTCTTCAGACTACACGATGACCAAGAACAGAAGAGTTCCTGTAGATGTAAGACAAAACTGTGAATGCTTATTATTGTCCATCTCAGTAGAATACAGTGTTTCTGATCCTCTTTTCTGATTAGAATGGAAAAGAATGCATTCACCAAATCAATGACCACCTATGAAGCTTTGCTAATCCATCCCAACAGTGATGCCATGTTCAATACAGTCACTGAAATCGAGGCTACTACTTGGCAAAAGTCCATAGTAGTCTATGGTCATTCTCCAATATCCAACCAGCTTTTGCAGAGTCCTGACTGGCAAATAACCTGGGCCACCACTGTTATATCCTTAAGTTTTAATGACGGTATTAATCTTCCCCTCCCCAACCCCTGCTATGATATTGTTTTTTATTACTTTGGCTGGGTGTGGGGTGTGAGGAGGTCAGTTCAGAGATTCCATCTGGACTTCTCGACTATGGTACCTTCATAATCCATAGACCAGGGCCTGATGTGGAGGTTACTCCAACTGCCAGGTACACCCATTTCAGTTGTGCACTTCAGGCCTGGAGAAATGACCACTGGTGGATCTGCAGACCCAGTGGGTCCACTGTGAGCTGGAGTTTACTGGAACTCCATTTATCACCTGGACCTCATAGACCTCCACTCTTAGAAGGGGATATGATGACACCTTGGATCTCTGGCTATCAATGTCATTGCAAATCCTGGGTCCAATTGTCCTCAAAATATCTGGCTATTCCCTTTTTCCCAGTGTACAATCTCATCCAAATAAATTAAGTCCCTTTGGGGAAGGATTTGGGGGAATCCTCACAAATACATACTCGTCTAGTATTATAGATTCCTTCTTTTCAGGGACTGTCTCTTCAGTCTGTGGGTTTCTGATATTAAAATTGGCTCAGGCTTAGGAATTGAACAAGGGATCTTGAATTTTTATTCAAGCCCACTGGACCTCCATTCTTGCCTTATTTGTCTTGTCCTTTTCTTTTCTTTTCTTTCTTTTTCTCTCTCTCTCTCTTTCTCTTTCTCCCTCCCTCTTTTCTCTCTCCTTTATTTCTTCCTTTCTCTTTCTTTCTTTTTCTTTCTTTCTTTCTTTCTTTCTTTCCTCTTTCTCTTTCTTTCTCTTTCTTTCTGTCTCTCTTCCTTCCTTCCTTCCTTCCTTCCTTCTCACTTTTTTTTTTAAGAGAGAGGGTCTTGCTTGGTTGCCCAGGCTGGAGTGCTGTGGCATAATCATAACTCACTGAAGCCTTGAACTCCTGGGCTCAGGCAATCCTCCCACCTCAGCCCAGTAGCTAGGATAACAGGTGTGTACCATCAAGCCCAGCTAATTGCCTTATTTTTCATTAAAGATGTCATGCAGCACACTTTCTGGCTGCTTGTCTATCTTTCAGAGATGCCATGTTTCACAAACCACTTCCATAACTCTCTGAGGGTCAAGCCCCATGACTGTCACTCCAGCTTTGCCAGGTTTTACAGTTATTATGGCTTCGTGGTTTTTGGGGCTTGCATGCTGCCCTGGACTCTGTTCCTCAGGGCCCCTTCATCCCCATGGAGGGTAGTGAGGCCCTCTCTGTGACCATCTCTCCTTCAGTTACTTCTGACCTGATGAGCCACTGCTGAATGTCATTCATTCCTGGTGCCCTTGGTGGATGTGTCTTCTGGGCCCTCCATGGAACGTTCTCCTCTGGTGGGTCTCCCTCTAACACTGTGTTGCTTCTCCACCCCAGCACACCTGCTCCGTCAGCCTCATACACCTTCTGCCACCATCCTCCAGAGCAGCTCAAGCATTTGCCACTCTGCTCTGTGTTAACAGTTCCGTTGCTTTTCTCCAGGCATCTAAGTACCACCCTGGCCTAGCAGCTGAGTTTTCCCGTCCCTCAGGGTCCTCAATTGGGTGTTAACATCTCATGTTCTAAGAAAGAGTCTCCAAGTTAATCCATTCTTATTTAGCCAACCTCCCACTCCATCCCACCTGATCAAACACCCTAAAATCCTATCCCAGAAGCCCTTCCCTCGCTCTGGCTGTCTGTTTCCTACAATTCCTTAGGTGTGGATTCTCTTTTTCTCCCTCATCTGGCCCGGTTCATTTCCAGCCAGGGTGTGCTGGAACTTAACCCAGTTATCAGCCTGGCAGCGGAGATGAGGGTGTTCCTTAGGGGATCACCTAATGCCTCAACAAGGAGAAGTGTTGACAGCACCTTCAAGGCACAACAGACGAGCTGGCAGGGCAGACAACCTCTGCAAGGCCAGGGGGTCCACCGGCATCTGTGGAATCAACGTCTTCAACATCCATCTAGATGTTGCCATCCATGCTTCAGAGTCACAGGCTGTCCTAGTCTACACCAGCTGCTGTAACAAAATACCATAGATGGCAGCTTCAACAGTAGACATTTATTTTCTCACAGTTATGGAGGCTGCAAAGTCTAAGATTAAGGTGTCAGCCAATTCTGTTTCTGGTGAGGGCCCTTGTCCTGGCTTGCAGATGGCTACCTCCTCACCACGTCCTCATATGGCAGAGAGAGAGAAAGAGTCTCATGAGGCCACTCACTCTGCAGTGTTTCCAGTCTTCTCTGACTTGTTATCAGAGAGATAAAAATGTGACATTCAAAAAGAATTAGCCTATAACATTTTTAAATTCTTGGGTGTTAATCTAAATGTCCACTTCTGCCAATAAATGACAGAGATCAACTTCCTTATGCCCGTAGTTCCCACCGTACTGGTAGGTATTCATTATTTGCTCCTAGAGGTTAAAGATAGAACTACCTGCATGCCAAGCGCCATAGCTCACGCCTGTAATTCCAGCACTCTGGGAGGCCAAGGTGGGGTGGATCACTTGAGCCCAGGAGTTCAAGACCAGCCTGGCCAACATAGTGAAACCCTATCTCTACTAAAACTACACAGATTAGCTGGGCATGGTGGCGGGAGCCTGTAATCCCAGCTACTTGGGAGGCTGAGGCAGGAGAATCATTTGAACCCAGGAGGCAGAGGCTGCGGTGAGCCAAGATCATGCTACTGCACTGCAGCCTGGGGGACAGAGCAATACTCCATCTCAAAACAACAACAACAACAACAACCTGCCATTGATGGCAGGAAATGAGGCTGGGTATGCTAAATGCTGTCTTCGTGTTTTATACCACATCTCTTCCATAATTTTCTTCTGGGAAGCTTACCACCGAAAAGCAGTTGTAATGATTTGCCACTGTCGTTTTTATAACGTTCATGATGCTAAATGCATCTCTGTGAATGTTCAATGGCCAATAAAGGTGCATCCCCACACTACTTCTGAAAGGAAAGGGGTGAGTGGGTGGGATTTCATTCCTTTACCCAGGGGAGAAGCTCAAGTCCATGGTAGCAGAGCAGCCACTGTCTGGGAATGAGCTGCTGCAGGCCAGAGAACCCCTGATCGCCAAAGGTGTTCCCAGGACAGCTCCAGGTCCATCCTGTGGCAACAGATCTTTACCTCTGTCCTCTGCGTTTTCTCTTTTATTTCATATCCTATCCCAGTACCTCCTGATCCTAGTCAAAATCGGTTTCCAGTTATCAGTGGTAGAGTCCCATAAGCTCCTTCTGGCCTAAACTTACATAAAATAAGAATAAAAGGATCGTGATTGTCAAGTCAGCATTTACTTATTGAGCTCCTGCTGCATACCAAGCACGCACTGTTAAGTCCTGGGCTGCGGAGATAATAAGATGCCAGCCCCACTTTCCCAAAGCTCCCAATCAGCTTGTTCGCAGTCCTCATGCTCTCGCTGCCTTCGGAGCGATGGTGTCTAAATTATTCACAGAGGATAACATAGTCTATTTTGGGGTAATTCCTATCACACTTCGTGGTGACTGCTTCCATTTTTAAAATAGCCTCAAGTATGACTATTAATCAGGATATCATTAAAAATAATATGTCAGGGTGACATTCGTTTCCCTTCCACAAGTAATGTCACCAGCACTGAATTCCTGAACAATGGGACACTTAACAGGAGGGACAGGGTTGTGTCTTTTATGTTTTCCTTTCTTTTCTTTTCTTTCTTTCTTTCCTTTCTTTTTTCTTTCTTTTCTTTTCTTTTCTTTTCTTTTCCTTCCTTCCTTCCTTCCTTCCTTCCTTCCTTCCTTCCTTCCTTCCTTCTCTCTCTCTCTCTCTCTCTCTCTTTCTCTCTTTCCTCTTTTTTTGAGACAGGGTCTTGTTCTGTCACCCATGCTGGAGGGTAGTGATGTGCTCATAGCTCACTGCAGCCTGGAACTCCTGGGTTCACGCGATCGTCGCACCTCAGACTCCTGAGCAGCTGGGACCACAGGCATACACCAACGCATCTGGCTAATTTTTTGACTTTTTGTGGATATGGGGTCTCACCATATTGCCCAGGCTGCTCTTGAACTCCTGGGCTCAAGTTTTCCTCCAGCCTTGGTCTCCCAAAGTGCTGGGATTACAGGCGCGAGCCACTGCACCCAGCGTTTCTAACACTGAGCAACCAAGACATGCCTGACACTTCATAGGAACTCAGCAAATGTTCACTGAGCTCATTTTAAATTGACTTGGGACCTGATTGTAGATGCATGAGGCTCTTATTTGTGATGTCAAACTCCAAGGTCAGAAATGCTCCCAAAATTTCATGTGTCTTAGAAACCCAATGTTGCATATACATATATGGGCCAGGTACATTTGGGCCAGGTACAGTGGCTCAACATGCATGTAATCCAAACACTTTGGGAGGCCAAGGCAGGAGAATCACTTGAGCCCAGCAGTGTGCTATGATTCCGCCACTGCCCTCTAGCAGCCTAGGTGGCAGAGCTGAGATGCTGTCTTTAATTAATACATATACACACACACACACACACACACACACACATTGTATAAATCTTCATCCTCTCATTTGTTAGGCTAATACATTTCATAAGTTTATTATTCAGTGTGTGAAAAGGTGCATAGTTTTCATTTGTTTAAAATCTGCCTCTATTAAAGGTCAAGAGCTGACCCCTTTTGAGTTGGGTAAAAGTCAGTGTGGTCGATTTCCACTTTTCTCTAGCACTAACAGTCTAGGCTTATTTGATTTCTTAAATTAGATGTTTGAGATAATTGCAGATCTCAAATCTATCCATTGTGCCCTTCACCCAGTCTCTCACTAATGGTAGCATTTTGTGTAACTATAGTACCCAATGTCACAACTGGGAAATTGACGTTGGTGCAATCCACTGAGCTTTTTCAAATTTCACTTGTTTTACATCAGATTTTCACTAGTTGTGTGTGCGTGTGTGTATTTAGTTCTACATAGTTTTATTGCATGGGTGGGTAAAACTAACACCACAGGCAAGCAATGTAAGAGTGTCATGACCACCATGGTCCCTGGTGCTTCACTTTTAATTTTTTTGGGGGATGGCGTCTCACTTTGTTGCCCAGGGTAGAGTGCAGTGGTGCGATCTCTGCTCACCACAACCTCCGCCTCCCAGGTTCACGCCATTCTCCTGCCTCAGCCTCCCAAGTTGCTGGGACTACAGGCACCAGCCACCATGCCTAGCTAATTTTTTGTATTTTTAGTAGGGACGGGGTTTCACCATGTTAGCCAGGATGGTCTCGATCTCCTGACCCCATGATCCAGCCGCCTCGGCCTCCCAAAGTGCTGGTATTACAGGCATGAGCCACTGCGCCCGGCCCCCTGGTGCTTCACTTTTGCAGTCATAGCCATCTCCCTTCCTCCCCACCTCCCTAACCCTGGCAATCACTTGTCTATTCTATTCTCCATCTCTATAATTTGGGTATTTTGTTTTGTTTGGAGATAGGGTCTTGCTCTGTCGCCCAGGCTCTGGAGTGCAGTGGTGCAGTCACGCTCACTGCAGCCTCAATCTCAAGTGAGGTTGCAGATTATCCTCTCACCTCAGAATCCCAGGTAGCTGGGACTACAAGCACACACCACCATACCCAGCTAATTTTTCTATTTTTTATAGACACAAGATTTCTTTCTTTCTTTCTCTTTTCTTTCTTTCTTTTCTTTCTTTCTTTCTTTCTTTCTTTCTTTCTTTCTTTCTTTCTTTCTCTTTCTTTCTTTCCTTCCTTCCTTCCTTCCTCTATCTCTCTTTCTTTCTCTGTCTTTCTTTCTCTCTCTCTCTCTCTCTCTCTTTCTTTCTTTCTTTTTTTTGTCAGAGTCTCAGTCTGTCACCCAGGCTGGAGTGCAATGGCACAATATCGGCTCACTGCAACCTCCGCCGCCTGGGTTTAAGCTATTCTCGTGTCTCAGCCTCCTGAGTAGCTGGGATTACAGGTGCACGCCACCATGCCTGGCTAATTTTTGTATTTTTAGAAGCGATGGGGTTTCACCACATTGGCCAGTCTGGTCTTGAACTCCCAACCTCAGGTGATCCACCCACTTCAGCCTCCCGAAGTGTTGGGATTATAGGCGTGAGCTACCACACCCCACCTAAAAATGGGGTTTCACCATGTTGGCCAGGCTGGTCTCAAACTCCTGGATTTAAGCGATCCACATGCCTCGACCTCCCAAAGTGCTGGGATTACAGACATGAGCCACTGCACCTTGCAGTTTCGCTTATAGAATGTTATCTAAGTGGAATCATACAGCATGTAAGCTTTTGAAATTTGCTTTTTTCACCCTACATAATTCCCTTGAGATTCATCCCAAGTACATGCATGCATCTATAGCCATTTGTTTTTCTTGCTGAAGAGTACTCCACAGCATGGCTGTAGCACAGTTTGTATAACCATTCACCTACTGAAGGACATTTTGGTTGTTTCCAGTTTGAGGTTAGGTCTATTTAATTTAATTTAATTTAATTTATTATTATTACTATTATTATTTTATTATTTGAGATGGAGTCTTGTTGTGTCACCCAGGCTGGAGTGCAGTGACGTGATCTTGGCTCACTGTAACTTCCACCTCCCGGGTTCAAGCAGTTCTCCTGCCTCAGCCTCCCAAGTAGCTGGGATTACAGGCACCCGCCACCATGTCCAGCTAATTGTTTTGTATTTTTAGTAGAGATGGGGTTTCACCGTGTTGGCCAGGCTGGTTTGAAACTCCTGATGTCAAGTGATCCACCCTTCTCAGCCTCCCAAACTGCTGATTACAGGCATAACGCACCACACCTGGCCAGGTCTATTTAATTTTATAAAATAAAATCATTAGGCATATCATCTGTCAATTTTACCGTATTAAAAAGTCCAAATGCTTCCAGTTTCCTTCCAAATCCCTGTCCTTACCTTTTCCTTTAACTTTTAAACTGCCCTGCTCACGTCCTAAGCATATTTTTCTGAGGTTTATTGACCAAAATTCCATAAAATTCAGACTCAAAAATGCAATAATTTTGCCAGATGCAGTGGCTCACACCTGTAATCCCAGCCATAATCCCAGCCCTTAGGGAGGCTGAGGCGGTAAAATAGGGGTTAAAGAAGAGACTGCGCAACATTTCAAGACCCTGTCTCTACAAAAAATTTAAAAAGTAGCCAGGCGTGGTGGTGTGCACCTGTAGTCCCAGTTACTTAGGAGGCTGAAGTGGGAGGATTGCTTGAGCTAAGGAGTTCCAGGCTGTAGTGAGCTATGATCACACCACTGCCCTCCAGCCTGGGTGACAGAACAAGACCCTGTTTCTTTCTTAAAATGCAATACTTTTATATGATAGTATAATAATGTATTATCTTATGTTTCTATTACTTCTCTTGATTGGGCCCAATATATAGCCAACTTTTTTGGCTGCCTAAAGTTGATGAGCTCAGAAAACAGTCTAATATTCCGCACAGACGTATGTTTAGCCCTAGGAGCTATAAGTATAGTCTGGACTATTTTTGTCAACATTCCATGTTGGCCAGGCACCTATACTTCCCAGCTACTCGAGAGGCTGAGGCAGGAGGATCACTTGAGCCCAAGAGTTCATTTAAGGCTCAGTGAGCTATGATCATGCCATCGCACTCCAGCCTGGGTGACATAGTGAGACCCTGTCTCTAAAAAAATAAAAATAAAAATTCCATCTTTCATTGACCTGGGCTGAAACCCACCTACCACTTCTCTGTAGCTCGGAGAATCTGGCAAGAGTTTCATGTATCTTATGACTTTTTGTTTGTATCTCCACTACCTGTCAAGTCCTGTGCTATCTGCAAACCTGGGGACTGTGCCATGCAATCTCCTTCCCTACTCTTACATAAAGGACCAGGGCTTTGGGCCAGCTTTTCTCAATTTCTTGGTCCTGTGTCCATTGCAAATGAGAGTCTTATCTATGACTGCTCTCTGTTCATCAGAAAGAAGGAATTCATTTCACTTTCCAAAACCCTGAACCAGCTCTCTAAGTGCTAGGAAACCAGGACTGTTCCTACTGTAGGCTGAGAAAGAAAGAGACCAGTGAGCCATGCCAGTGGTTCCCACACCTGCCTGCACCTCACACCCAGGCACATTAGAGCTGAGGAAGCCCCAGGGCATGAGTATCTTTAGAAAAACCCAGGGACTCAAATAAATGCTGGTAAACATAGACACTGGAATACTAGGCTACCATCAAAAAGACTGGGGCAGCTGTTATGAATGAAGCTGGTGTAAATCAGTATGCTTCCATTTGTATAGGGGATAATAATGTGTATTTGCCTTTGGTTATAGAAGCATAAAATCTCTGGAAGGATTCACAAGATCCTTGGGATGAGGGTTGCCTCTGAGGGAGTTACAGGAGGCTGGGAGACAGAGGGCAGAGAGCAACTTTTCCTACGGACCTTTTAAAATTAGTTGAATGTTAAATCACGTAAATAGTTTACCTGTGTCAAGGATTAGATCCTTTTGTAGGTCATAAGTGCGATGATTGGGATGTTGTGCTCAAGTGTGAGATGTGCCTGCCTCAAACCTTGTTACAACGTTGGCACATTACCTGTCTGACATGAAAAAAAAAAAAAAAAGGAGACAGGCGTGGTGGCTTTCACCTGTAATCCCAGTACTTTGGCAAGGTCAAGGCAGGAGATCACATGAGGTAAGGAGTTTGATACCAACCTGGCCAACATGATGAAAGCCTGTCTCTACTAAAAATACAAAAATTAGCTGGGCATGGTGGTTTGCTCTTGTAATCCCAGCTCCTTGGGAGGCTGAGGCAGGAGAATCACTTGAACCCAGGAGGCAGAGGTTGCAGTGAGCCGATATCTTGCCATTTCACTCCAGCCGGGTTACAGAGTGTGACTGTGTCTCAAAAAAACAAAAAGAAAGAAAAGAAAATAAATTAAATAACAAAATTAAAACAAAAGTGATTCTAATGCATAGCCACAATTGAGAGCTACTGTGCAACACAGTTGTGAGCCAACAGTGAAAACTACAAGGCCAATTACAAGCTTCAGGGACTATCTACATATCTATCTCTCTTTATTTATTTTGGAACAAGGTGCCTGTGGTCCCAGATACTCAGGAGGCTCAGGTGGGAGGATCGTTTGAGCCTGGGAGTTTGAGGCTGCAGTGAGCTGTGATTGCACCACTGCACTCCAGCCTGGGCAACAGAGTGAGACCCTGTCTCAAAAAAAAAAAAAAAAAAGTTGAAAATTCCCTTTTAGGTCCACATCCACTTACCTTTAAAAAATTGAGGGATAATGGGCCAGGTACGGTGTCTCACACCTGTAATCTTAGCACTTTGGGAGACCACAGCAGGCAGGTCACTTGAGGCCAGAAGTTTGAGACCAGCCTGGCCACATGGTGAAACCCCATCTCTACTTAAAAAAAAGTAGCTGGATGTGGTGATGCACGCCTGTAATCCCAGCTATTCGGGAGTCTGAGACAAGAGAATTGCTTGAATCTGGGAGGCAGAGGCTGCAGTGAGCTGAGGTTGCTCTATTGCACTCCAGCCTGGGCAACAGAGCAAGACTCAGAAAAAAAAGGAAAGAAAAGAAAAACTGAGGGATAATGTAAATAGAGAAAAGTGTACAAGTGCACACCTTGACAAATTTGCGTATGTGTACAACTGCAAAATCACCATTCAGATCAAGATATAAACCATTTCCAGCCTGGGCAAATGGTGAAACCTTGTCTCTACTGAAAATACAAAAATTAGCTGGGCATGGTGGTGCGAGCCTGTAATCCCAACTACTCCGGAAGCTGAGGAAGGAGAATCACTTGTACCTGGGAGGCGGAGGTTGCATTACCTGAGATTGCACCACTGCCCTCTAGCCTGGGTGACAGAGCAAGACCCTGACTCAAAAAATACTAATATTAAGCCCCCTTCGGAGGTAAACGCTCTTGTGTCTTCTCTGGCCTCTTCTTAGACTTCATATAAACAGAATGCAGCATGTGCTCTTTTGTGTCTGCTTTCTCGCATGCAGCCCTACGCCTGTGAGAGTGATTCATGCTGTTGCATTCAGCAGCGGGTTGTTGCTGTTTTTGCTGAGTAGTCTTCCATTGTATGAAATTTATTTATTCATTCTTCTGTTGTTGAGCGTTTGGGTTATTTGCCGTTTGGGGCTATTATGCATGAAGCTATATGAACATTCTTAGAGCTGCCTTTCGTAGGCACTCATTTCTCTTGGGTACTCTTAGGTCTTCTTAACGGCGTTCTTCAGTTGTGCAATTAACTGCTCCATGTTTATCTTCCCTGAGGATTTAGAAGTTCCATGATGGTAAGGCAGGATCTGCCCCTGTGCACTGGAGGCAAAAAGACAGATTCTCCATTGCCCTTCACCTTTATCCTGTATTCTAGCCTGGGAGGAGAGGCAGGTGCCTGCAAAAATGGCAGCCATCTTCTGATAACAAGAGCAAAAGCAAAAGAAAGGCAGAGCGGGAAGCTGTGAGGACTCTAGGTCTTTAATGATGACCTAGAGTCATGGACACCAGCTCTGGACTGCCCACCTTCAGATTGGTCTGCAGGAAAAGGGAGAAAAAAAAAATAGAAATAGGTGCATGGAGTAGAGCAGAGAGGAAGGATGGAGAAGGTCCCGATGGGAATGGGTCTGAGTCCCAGCTCATTCCTGAGACCCGGCTGCACCCTACTCCTTCTCTCTTTGCTTAAGCATTACTTGATTTCCATCACTTCACCCGAGGATCCTGCCTGAGTCAGTCCTTTGGCACTGCATTATCACTGATGTTCATAATTTTGTCGATAACTCATGAAGAAAAGGTTAAAAATATGCTTGATCACCTCTAATTTGAAAGAAATAAGTGAGGCATCACAGCGTGGTGGCCATCCCATGGGCTGCAGGGTTGGACAAAATTGAATTCAAATCCCCACTCGGGCACTCGCTCACCCAGCGTATAATTTTGGCCATGTTACATAAGTTCTCTGGGCTTCTATTTTTCTCACTGGCTAAATGGTGAGAATAATACCGGCTTTTTGGGGTTTTTAAGGGCTAAATGCAACAATGTATGTAAAAGCCTGGCAGATCATTAGTATTCAGTAATGATATGAATTATTTTAAAAGGTGAAGTATATATTCATCTATATATATGAAAGATTTACCTGGGAAGTGATTTTTCTATTTAATGGGCTTATCTTTATTTAGAGAGAGAGGGAAAGAATTCCCTTATTTCCTAGTGATGCCATATGGTAGACTATCAATGTACACTAGTCCCAACTTGGAGTATGGCAAACATTATTTTTAAGTATCAATAAACTGCCAGAAAAAAGTTATGTGTTAGCTAAATGATATCCTCAAAGTAAGATTTCTGAAATTTATAGGCACTGTGAAAAGGGATTGGCAGGCCAGGGCTGCTCTGAGCTTCACTTGCCAGAGCTTGGGGACAAATAGGATGTTTCAGAATACCCGATGACTCTACAGACTGCACGCCTCCTGCAGTCGTTGAAGCCCCAGAGGCTTCGTGCAATCTCTGGGCTAGAAAACCACATGCCCAGGTCTGCTCTTCATCATGGATGGCCATAACTTTAAATACACGACGGTAATTTACAATCAAACACATCCAGATGGACGGCTCCCCCAAAGCCAAATCTATACCCAGGACGCAGATTTCTACAGGAAAATGCAGCCAAGCCAGAAAAAAAAACAACTCAGGGAACAAACAGTCCCTACCACTGTAAAGCCATGGTTCCCTCTGCTGCTCCGAATGGAGCACCACATGAAGGAGGTGAGGAGGACAGCTGCCAGGCGTCTGGGAGGACCTACAATCAGATACCAAGGCCCAGGAAATGGGCAAGGGGCATGCATGCGGAAGACAGAAGTGACAGTGGGGAGGGCAGACATACCCCTCTCTAGTCGTCGTTAAAGTGTGAGGGCCCAGCCTTGTACACCCCTGAGGCCCCACTGCGTGGAGAGTCCTGCAGCATGGGCCACCGTTCCCTGGGTTAGGCCCAGCACCTCGAGAAGATGGACCACGGAGGATGCCTACTCTCCTGGAAGCCACTGCGGCTCCAGCTTCTCCCAGCATGGCAGACCAAGATCACAACTGGTTAGGTTGCTCCAAAGTGGCCAGCCCGACGGGAACTGCCTTGTGCTAACTAGATTTGTAGGAGGCTTCTTGTTGGCTGAGATGCCTGTGGACTGGTCTTTTTTTTTTTGTTTTTATTTGAGACAGTCTCACTCTGTCGCCCAGGCTGGAGTGCAGTGGTGCCATCATAGCTCACTGCAGCCATGACCTCCTGGGTCCAAGCCATCCTACTGGCTCAGCCTCCCGAGTTGCTGGGACTACAGGTATGTGCCATCGTACCCAGCTAATTTTTCTTTTTTTCTTTTTCGTAGAGACAAGGTCTCGCTAAGTTGCCCAGGCTGGTCTCAGAGTCCTGGGCTTAAGCAGCCTTCCCACCTCAGCCTCCCAAATTGCTGGGCTATTAGGTGTGAGCCACTGCAGCTGGCCCGGACTGATCTTGTATTAGAAGAATGCACCCTTTTGCAGGCTGCCCTTGTTTGGTAACATCCCTTCCTCCAAACCTTCACTTCTGTCTTCCACCAGCCTTTATTCACCCCGTGTCCACATTGTCTGGAGCCTTCTCTTAGGGGCTAAACTACTGGTTAAACTGATAATGAATTATGATGGGGAGAGTCAAAAATAGGTTGTTTCTTTCCTAATAGCAATACCAATAGTTACCATTTATTAAGCAATTATGCACAAAGTTGGTAAGTGTTTTACATATATGACCTCATATAATTCTCAATCCTATGCAATGGACAGCAAATTATTATCATCCTGATTTTTATAGATGAAGAAATGGAAGGTGGGCACAGTAGCATGTGCCTGTAATCCCAGCTACTTGGGAGGCTGAGGCACAAGTTTCACTTGAGCCCAGGAGTTCGAGCTGTAATGAGCCATGACTGCACCTGTGAATAACCACTGCACTCCAGCCTGGGCAACACAGCAAGACCCCATCTCTAAAACAAGAAAAGAAATGGAGGCTCGGAGTGATTAAGTAACTTAACTGTCCCAGGTTGGGCTCCTCAGCAAGGAGACTCCAGGGTTAGTATGCAGTGTGTTCCTCAGGGGGTGCCCTTGAGTTGATACCCTTGGAAGGGAGGGGAGCAGGAGTGGGCAGATAAAGAAGTGGAGCTCTGGTGCAACCACTGCCAGCCTCAGCCAGCATGCAGGAAGCTCTGGAGCCTGAATGGCACTTCATGGTTTTCTCGAAGTGGGCCAGGGTGGCCAGGCCTTTATATGCCCTCTCCATCAGTCACTGGACGTGGGACAGCCCTGAAGGGTGTGGCCTTGGGCAAGGTGGCTCTGCGGCTGAGGCAAACCCTGGGGGTGCTGGCAGCTGGAGGTAGTCTGTGACCACACTCCCAGCAGTTGGGGTAACAAGTCCGTCATTGGCATGAGAATTGAATGTGTCTGCAATGGTAAGAAGGTCCCACTTTGAGTGGTAGGGTGGGATGGGGAGAGAAGCCTCTCTGATCCCAGATCCTCCTAATTACCCACCTTTTCATACTGCCTCCCACAACCCTCTAAATTGAATGCTGAATGTTCGCCTCTCAAAAGGTGCTTTTCTTCTATTTGCTTGGCCTACACAGAGGTCCCCTCCTCCCAGGTAGCTGAGACTCTTGGCTACATTCATGATTCTTGCCTAAAGGAGATGGCCTGTGCCCCTCCGTGGAAGAACAGTGGCCTCAGCAGTGAGAACATTCTGAGTCCTTGGCCTGGGGTAAAATCAAATCTGTGTGTCCCTCATAACATGCTCAGTGGTGACGACCACCCCAAGACCAAGCACACATGCCTCAGAACAAAGCCAAGCATTCCAGTAGCCCCACTTCATCCTGCTAACCATGCACACCCTCCATCTACTGTTTCTCTAAAAATTAATTTTTGAGAATTTTTTTTTCAAGATGGGATCTCACTGTGTCGCCCAGGCTGGAGTGCAGTGGCATGATCATAGCTCACTGTGGCCTCAAACTCCTGAGCTCCAGTGATCCTCCTGCCTCAGCCTCCCAAGTCACTGGGACTACAGGCATGCATCACGACACCCAGCTAGTTTTTAAATATTTTATAGAGATGGAGTCCCGCTATGTTGCCCAGGCTGGTCTCAAACTCCTGGTCTCAAGAGATCCTCCCACCTTAGCCTCCCAAAGTGCTGGGATTTCTGGCATAAGTCACGACACTCGGCATTTTGATGTCTTATTTATTTATTTATTTATTTATTTTTTTTTTTATTTTTTGAGATGGAGTCTCGCTTTGTTGCCTATGCTGGGTGGAGTGCAGTGGCATGATCTCGGCTCACTGCTACCTCTACCTCCTGGGTGCAAGCAAGTCTCCTGTCTCAATCTCTCGAGTTGCTGGGACTACAGTTGCATGGTACCACGCCCCGTTAATTTTTTTTTTTTTTTTTTGTATTTTTAGTAGAGATGGGGTTTCACCATATTGGTCAGGCTGGTCTCAAACTCCTGACCTCAGGTGATTACCCGCCTTGGCCTCCCAAAGTGCTGGGATTACAGCTGTGAACCACTGCGCCCGGCCTGAGATCATATTTCATTTGCTCTTTCCTATCAGAGCTCTTAAACAGAGAATGAGTCAAACAATCCAAGAGTCACAGATCAATTTTATAAAAATGACATTTTACCCCTGTAAAAATTTCAAACCATGTATTTTTAAAGTTGCTCACAATGATACCACCCAGAGGTAACCACGGTGAACGTTTTGAGCATTTCCTTCCTGAAAGTTCTGTGCATGTATACAGATTAAACTATGGGTTCTCAGAATAGTCACTGTGTTCCAGCCTGGGCAGCAAAGTAAGACCCCATCTCTAAAAAAAATTAATATTATATAAAATAGGTGTCTTCAATTTTACATAAATGAGGATATGCCAGACATGCTTTGTATGTAATCTGCTTTTTCCCTACCCAATGTGATAGGGGCACATGTCTGTGCCTTCAGACAGTCACGCAGGGGCATCAGAGTAGCTGGAGATCACGCTGGAGATATGGATACAGTTGAGGAGAAGGGGCAGGCTAAGGTGAAGTCTTGGAATCTTATCTTTATAAGTCTTCATAAGAGACAACATTGAAGGACTGCAAAATACAATTTAGTTTTTTAAAGGCTTATTCTGGGCCAGGCACAGTGGCTCATGCCTGTAATCCCAGCACTTTCAGAAGCTGAGGCAAAAAGATCACTTGAGCTCAGGAGCTCAAGACCAGCCTGGATAATATATTGAGACTCCGTCTCTACAAAAAAAATAAAAAGCTAGCTGGGCATGGTGTTGCACACCAGCTACTCAGGAGGCTGAGGCAGGAGGATGGCTTGAGCCCAGGAGGCAGAGGCTGCAGTGAGCCATGATCACACCATTGCACTCCAGCCTAGGAGACAGAGCAAGACCCTGTCTCAAAAGAAAATAGAAAAGAAGCCGGGTGCCATGGCTCACAGGTGTAATCCCAGCACTTTGACAGGCTGAGGTGGAAGGATCGCTTGAGCTCAGCAGTTCGAAACCAGTCTGGGCAACATAGCAAAGCTCCATGGAATTGAACAATGAGAACACATGGACACAGGAAGGGGAACATCACACGCCGGGGACTGTTGTGGGGAGGGGGGCGGGGGGAGGGATAGCATTAGGAGATATACCTAATGCTAAATGACAAGTTAATGGGTGCAGCACACCAACATGGCACATGTATACACAAGTAACAAACCTGAACGTTGTGCACATGTACCCTAAAACTTGAAGTATAATAAAAAAAAATTTTTTTAAAGAGAAAAGAAAAGGCTTATTTTGACTACTGGTGGTGACATGAGTGTTGTTATTATGTAGTCAAAATCTCTGTCTAAATAACATTTCTTTAAAAAAAAATTTCTATAGGTTTTGGGGGAACAGGTGGTATTCGTTACACGAGTGAGTTCTTTAGTGGTGATTTGTGAGATTTTGGTGCACCCATCACCTGAGCAATATATACTACGTCCAGTTTGTAGTCTTTTATCCCTTAACCCCCTCTCACCCTTTCCCCTGGGTCCCCAAAGTCCACTGTACCATTTTCATGCCTTTGCATCCTCATAGCTTAGCTTCCACTTATGAGTGAGAACATACTGTGTTTGGTTTTCCATTTCTGAGTTACTTTACTTAGAATAATGGTCTCCAGTTCCATCCTGGTTGCTGCAAATGCCATTAATTCATTCCTTGTTATAGCTGAGTAGTTTTCCATCATATATATATATGAATGATGTGGTATATATATATTGATGTGGTATATATATATGATGTGGTATATATATATATGATGTGGTATACACCACAATTTCTCTGTCCACTCATGGATTAGCATTTGGGCTGGTTCTATATTTTTGTAACCGTGAATTGTACTGCTATAAGCACGTGTGTCTGAGTATTTTTTCCTATCACGACTTCTTTTCCTCTGGGTAGATCCAGGGATTGACTGGATCAAATGGTAGTTCTATTTTTATAACATTTCAATGTGTTCAACCTCAAACTTGAGAAAGGCAGATATCTGCTGACTCCACTCAGTCCAACCCTACATATAGCCTTCTTTGACTCGAACGTATTGATTATCAGGAAAAAAGTCATCCATTATAAAGTGTTTCCTATCTGTATAAAACATATCCCTCTGCTTCCAGAAATAGTAAATACTCCTGATAGAAGACACAGAGAATTATAAAAGAAAATAAAATGTAACTCACTTGTTATTCTACCACCCAGAGATAACCACTCATCGGGACCACACTGATGTACCTCTTGCCAGTCTTTTTCTCTAGAAATAGTTTTTCCTTGTATAAACAAGGGCAATCATATTGCACAAACTGTTTTACATTTTAATACATCTCGAAGGTCTTTCTAGATCAAATTAAATAATTTCCTACGACGACCTCATTTTCAGCAATCACCTCATATCTATTGTGTGGTACCATAATTTGTTAAAATATTCTCTTATTGGTGTCAATGTAGGTGATTTCAAATTATTTGCTATTTTTTTCAAGTTGTCACTGACTTGAAGTTATTTGCTATTGTAAACCAAACTGTGATGAACATCCTTGTGGGCAGATATATGTGTGCATTGCCATTTTAAGATTCCACAGTCCCTCCGTGTTCTCACTTTGAGAAATTTCATCCTACCTAATATCAAGCATTGCCAAATGCACATGTGGCTCACGTTAAGTACAATTGTTTTTTTGCAAAAAATTAAAATAATTTTTATAATTTGGCTTCTGAAATTCTTTAACTCTGAGGAACACATTTAATTCCGCTACGACTTCTCTGCAATCAGATAGGCATATACCAGAATTCTTGTGAAGTGAGAAAAGCAAACCTATAGATAGCTTTCAACTATACATGTAATGACATTATATGAACACTAAATTTAATCAATCATAAAATTGATAGAAATTTACACTTTATATATATTTGTTCACTTAGTTCACATGTTCATGTAGTTCAAACATATGTTTATTTCAATTTTTTCCATCTTAGAGTCATACCTTCTTTTTTCTAGACCTCAGATATTTTTTGTAGGCTCCTTAAAAGCTCATAGGCCTCAAGGCAATGCAACTATAGATCCTAACAAAGTGACACTGCTAGTATTCCTAAAAGGGACCAAGGATATAGAAAGATTTTAAAATAGAGCAACGAGTGAAACAATCAACAAAGTGAAGGGACAACCCACAGAATGGGAGAAAATATTTGCAAACTACACATCTGACAAAGGATTAATGACAGCACATATAAGGAGCTCAAACAACTCTATAGAAAAAGAAATGTAACAATCTGATTTTAAAATGGGCAAAAGACGTGAATAGACATTTTTCAAAAGAAGACATAGTAAACAGGTATATAAAATATGCTCGACATCATTGAGCATCAGAGAAATGCAAATCAAAACCACAATGGGATATCATCTCATTCCAGTTAAAATTGCTTTTATCCGAAAGTCAGGCAATAACAGGCTGGGCACTGTGGCTCACGCCTGTGATCCCAGCACTTTGGGAGGCCGAGGCAGGTGGAACATCTGAGGTCCAGAGTTCAAGACCAGCCTGGCCAACATGGTGAAACCCCAGCTCTACTAAAAATACAAAAAAATTAGCCGGGTGTGGTGGCATACACATGTAATCCCAACTGCTCTGGAGGCTGAGGCAGGAGAATCGATTGAACCCGGGAGGCGGAGGTTGCAGTGAGCCGAGATCGCGCCACTGCACTCCAGCCTGGGTGACGGCGGTGGCTCACGCCCCCAATCCCAGCACTTTGGGAGGCCGAGGCGGGCGGATCACAAGGTTAGGAGATCGAGACCATCCTGACTAACACGGTGAAACCCCGTCTGTACTAAAAATACAAAAAAATTAGCCGGGCGTAGTGGCGGGCACCTGTAGTCCCAGCTACTTGGGAGGCTGAGGCAGGAGAATGGCATGAACCTGGGAGGTGGAGCTTGCAGTGAGCCAAGATCACGCCACTGCACTACAGCCTGGGCGACAGAGTGAGACTCCGTCTCAAAAAAATAAATAATAAAATAAAAAAATGTCAGGCAATAACAAATGCTGGCAGGGATGTGGAGAAAACAGAGCCCTTGTACACCGTTGGTGGGAATGTAAATTAGTACAACTGCTATGAAGAACAGTTGGAGGCTCCTCAAAAAACTAAAAATAGAATTACCATATGATCCAGCAATACAACTGCTGGATATAAACCGCGAAGAAAGGAAATCAGTACATCAAAGAGATATCTGCAGTCCCAGGTTTACTGAGGCACTGTTCACAATAGCCAAGATTTGGAAGCAACCCAACTGTTCATCAACAGAAAAATGGATAAAGAAAATATGGTGCTTATACACAATGGAGTACTACTCAGCCATAAAAAAGAACATGATCCTGTCGTTTGCCACAACATGGATGGAACTGGAGGTTATTATGCTGAGTAAAATAAGTAAGGCACAGAAAGACAAGTGTTGTATTTTCTCACTTATTTGTGGGAACTAAAAATTAAAATGATTGAACTCATGGAGATAGTGGAATGATGGCTACTGGAGGCTGTGAAGGTTAGTGGGGGGTGGGGGGAAGTGGGGATAGTTAATCGGTACAAAAGTAGCTAGAAAGAATTCTAAGACCTAGTATTTTGTAGTACAACAGGCTGACTGTAGTCAATAATTTAATTGTACATTTAAAAATAACAAAGTATAATTGGATAGTTTGGAACACAAATGATAAATGCTTGAGGTGATGGATACCCCATTTACCCTAATGTGATTATGAAGCTTTGCATCCTTGTATCAAAACATCTCATGTAACCTGTAAATATAGATGCACCTCCTATGTACCCACAGAAATGAAAAATTAAATAAATACAGCATGAGCCCTTCCACTCTTGATAAACTCGAAACTGCTTCTCCCTCCCTGCCTCTCGTCCTGCCACCCTCTTCCCTAAGTGTAACGTTGACTACCTGAAGTCAGCGGGTGTCCCAGCAGAAACGAGAAAGAAAGACACCTTGCTTCTCAGGAGTTGATGTCACACAACAGCCTGCTTTCTGGTTTTGGTTCAGAGGGCATGTGGGCCAACCCATACATTGGCATATGAACTCATTCTTGCCGAATGGGTCTGTTGAGATGGACATACTAATCGATTTGCCTGGACACATGCAGCAGGGATCTGATGGTGATGGTAGTGGAGGCACAGGCCACCTGAGAAGCCTTGCCTCTGGGCCCCAGACCCCTCTCTCCTCCCAGCCTTGCCTTTCTACATCCAAGGAAGCTCATTTTCCTCTCCTGTTCCTGCAAGGCCAAGGCATCTTCATGCAGAAGGCATCTCTGGCACAGGAGACCGAAGGAAGGAACCCATCTTCTTCCCGCCATCTGGGATTAGGCAGGCATTAGCAGCAGCTCCGGCTACTCTACGGCAGGATTTCTCAAACCGTCTCCAGATGTCAAGTGAAGGAATGAATTGCAGCTCATCAATAAATGCTTTCTCTTTGAAGAGGCGTTCTAGGAAGAGGAAACTGTCACTGCCAGCCCTAGTTCTTCCCTTCTCACTCATTTCTTTTCCAATCCCCTTTATTCCTTCTTTTGGATTTTTCTTTAAAAGCCTCAGACGCCCTTCTCTTCCCGGAATGCGTCTCTGCATCTCACACACAACGTAGCTTTGGCTTTAACCCCGTAACTCTGCAATCAAACATCTTCGGCTTCTTCTTAGGCCTTCACTCCAGCTTTGTTTTCTCTACAAAACATTTCCCTCATTATTCTCTGACTTTATCAACAATGCATTTACTTCTTGTTTATTTCAGAGACAAGGTCTTGCTCTGTCACCCAGGCTGGAGAGCAGTGGAGAAATCATAGCTCACTAGCCTCAAACTTCTGAGCTTAAGCAATCCTCAGTCTCCTGAGTAAGTAGAACTACAGGCACACGCTCCCATGCCCAGCTGAATTTTTTTTTTTTTTTTTTTTTTTTTTTTTTTTTTTTGGTAGAGATGGGATCTTGGTTTGTTTCCCAGGCTGGTCTTGAACTCCTGGCTTCTAGTGATGCTCGCACCTCAGCCTTCCCAAGTAATGGGATTACAGGTGTGAACCACCACACTTGGCCCGTTTTCTTCTTATTGCAATTTTTTTTTTTTTTTTTGAGACGGAGTCTCACTTTGTTGCCCAGGCTGGAGTGCAATTGCACGATCTTAGCTCATTGCAACCTCTGCCTCCTGGGTTCAAGCGATTCTCCTGCCTCAGCCTCCCGAGTAGCTGGGATTACAGGTGCCTGCCACCATGCCCAGCTAATTTTTGTATTTTTAGTAGAGAGGGGGTTTCACCCTGTTGGCCAGGTTGGTCTCATTAAAAAAGTAAATATTTTTATTTATGTGAATGGCTTGCTATTTATATCTAATGACCATGTAGCACAGTAACAAACACATGTGTCACTATTGCAGATGTTATTACCAAACTCTGCATGTACATAGACAGTCCTCACAGCTCAAGCAGCAGGGCTGCCTCCTCACAACTTAAAATGGCCTGGAGGAGCTTTGCTGATCAACACCTGAACTCCTTTCCCCATGATTTTTTTTTTTTTTTTTTTTGAGACAGGGTCTTACTCTGTCACCCTGGCTGGAGTGCAGTGGCATGATCATAGCTCACTGCAGCCTTGAACTCTTGAGCTCAAAGGATCTGCCCGCCTCAGCTTCTCAAGTAGCTGATACCGCACGCGTGTACCACCACTCTCAGCTAATGTTTTTAGTTTTAATTTTTGTAAAGACAGAGGTATCCCTATGTTGCTCCGGCTGGAGTTCAAAACTCAAAGCGATCCTTCCACCTAGGCTCCCTAAAGCACTGGGATTATGGGCATGAGCCACCGTGCCCGGTCCCTCCCCCATGATTTTTATAAAATAATACTAACAGTCACAGATCACATTTGGTGAGCACTGCTACATGCCAAACGCTGTGCTAAGTCTCTACATTCCTTACATCATTTACGTGTCATAAAGCCTGTGCTATCCTCATCCCCATTTTACAGATGAAGAAAGAGTGGTGGAAGCAGTGAGGTCACTTGCTCATGATCACGCAGCCATTGAGTGGCAGAGCCAGGCAGTGCAACCGTCGATCAGGGAAGGCGCTGGGTGCTGCTCTTCAACACATTGCAGCGGAGAGGTTGAGTGGTTGTTGGCAAAAGGGCAGGTTTTAGTGAATTGAAGTGTCAGCTTAGACTAATGACAGGTAAAAGCCAATATCATTTTTCTCACCAACCAGATTTAAGCCTCTCTGGGGGTGGGGACCTTCATATGCCTGTTGCATCTGAACACTGCATAACAGTTTCTGCTGTTCTGAAAATAATACCAAATTCAGTTGATGTTCCTAACTCAATCACATAGAAATAGCTCTCTCCTTCACCTGCCCACAGCCCACTAATCACCTATCTTGAGTCGATTCTACTATAGAAAAGGTTTTTCAGTCCATCCCATTGCCAATGACCTGGGTCAGCTCCTGGTCATCTCTGCCTGGTTTAGGACAGCACCCCTCTTTCTGCCTAGGAACTTTGAGAAATTTTTCCAAAACCCAAGTCCTCTGTGACCCCGCCACACAGCATTAGTCTCTCTCTCTCAGTGGGGCTTTTTCCACTGTGCTATAATTATCTATAAATGGTCTTCAGTGAGACTGAGTTCTTCCAGCAAAGGTGCATGTCTTTTTTATACTTTTTCTTCCCTTGTGTCTGCCACAGAATGTGGAACACAACAAATTTCAGTAGGCGTTTGCTAAATTAACGATCTCCAAAAATCTTTATTAAAATGTTTTAAAGTAAAAATTACGTATTTAAAAAGGAAAATGTAATATATTCAAACAATATAGACATTTCAAAATAAAGATAAATCTTCCTCCCTCCCCACTCCCAGTTCCCCCCTCAAAGATTATCTGCATGTATGTTTTTTAATTTACCAAAAAAAAAAACACAACTCCTTAGAATTCCTCTGTGGAGACATCTATAGCTTGCTTTTGTTGTATGTATCTAGCAGATATTCCCCCATGGAGTTTGTCCCACTCATTTCTGTCACCCAGGCTGAAGTGCAGTGGCACGAGCATAGCTCACTGCAGCTTCCGTCTCCTGGTCTCAAGTGATCCTCCCACCTCATTCTCCTGAGTGGCTGGAAATACAGGCAGGGACCACCACTTCTGGCTTTTTTTTTTTTTTTTCTTGTTTTTTTTTTAGAGATAGGGTCTCTCTATGTAGCCCAAGCTGGTCTTGAACTCCTAGCCTCAAGCGATCCTCCTTACTCAGCTTCCCAAAGTGCTGGGATGACAGGCATGAGCCACCATGCCTGGCCTCATCTCACTCTTTTAAGCAGCTACATAGATTCCACTGTCTGTACATTTACTCAAGCAGTCACCTGTTGATGACCATCTGGGTATTTTTCAGTGATTTGCAATAGTAATGTTACAATGAACATATCTTGAAGTCCTTTTTTAAATTATGTTTTTTAATTGACAAATAACAATTACATATTTATGGGGTGCATAGTGATATTTTGATACATATAATGTATAGTGATCAAATGAGGGTAATTAGCATATCCATTATTTCAAACATTTATCATTCTCTTTTGTTGGGAACATCAATATCCCCCTTCTAGCTATTTGAAACCATATAATAATTATTGAGTTTTGTTAACTTTTAGGTTCAGGGATATATGTGCATGTTTTTGTTTTCAGTAAACTTGGGTCACAGGGATTTGTTTTACAGATTATTTTGTCACCCAGCTACTAGGAATAATATTATTATATACACTCATCTTACAGTGGTGAGGTCCTCTTTTTAAGTTTTTTTTAAATCATTTTTAATGTAAAACAAATTTGTTAATGATTTTATATACTCATTTACAAAATTCAAAATTCAAATATCTAAGAGATTATAAAGCAAAAAGTCTCCCCTTCTTCCTCTGTAATCCCCATTGCATCCCTCCTAGACAGCCCCCAGCCACCATTTTCCCCTCCATGGGGGAAATTTATGTTACTTGTTTCTTATCTATGGCTACATTGGTACTTTTAGGTGAATATCCAAGGGCTGAATTCCTGGTACTCAAATTGCTGAGTCAAAGAGTATGTGTGTGTTTTTTTAAAGTTGATATTGGATACTTGTTCTTCCAAAAGGTTGTACGGATGTAATTAGTGATTACTAAATATTAATTAAGTAATTAGGAATTAATAAATAGCTATTTATGTTTCTACTAGTAGCAAACAATATTTATTTGCCCACACACTCACCGACACTGGCTCTTTTCAAACTCGTAAATATTTGCCAATATAATAGGTGATGAATGGTTTGGCTCTGCATCCCCACCCAAATCTCATGTTGAATTGTAATCCCCAATGTTGGGGGAAGGATGTGTTGGGAAGTGATTGGATCATGGGGACAGATTTCTCCCCTGCTATTCTCATGACAATGAGTGAATTCTCACAAGATCTGGTTTTTTAAAAGCGTGGAGCATGTCCCCCTTCACTCTCTCCTCTGGCCATATGATGATGTGCCTGCTTCCCGTTTGCCTTCCACCATGTTGTAAGTTTCCTGAGGCCTCTCCAGCCATGCTTCCTGAACAACCTGCAGAACCATGAGCCACTTCACCTTCTTTTCTTTTTAAATTACCCAGTCTCAGGTAGTTATTTTTAGCTATGTGAGAATGGACAATACAGGTGATAAAGAACATCTTATTGCTTTGATCTACAGTTCTGCATTTTGAGTATGAAGGTAACCAACTTTTCATATGCTTGTTGGTGTCTGGATTTCTTTTTCTGTGATCTGCCTATCCAGTCCCTTTGCTCATTTTTCTTTGGGGTTGTTTATATTTTTCTTATTGATTTGTAAATTTTCCTAAGTTAATATCTGCAAATATTTTTCCTGAGAATATACTTATTGTTAAAGCCACATAATTCAAAATTTGAAGCTTCTGGTCACGAGTGTCACTTTGTCTTCCCAGTCAGATTATCAATTCTTTGAAAACAGGGACCCAGAAACTACTCTAGTCTTAAGTTGCATGGTAAATACTGGTTGATGAGCCTTGTCCTTCATCCTGGGCACCTGTCGTGGAATGCGATCCTCTGGGGAAGAGTTGTATCTTCCCTAGTTACAGAAGAAGATGAGATTTGCCTTCCTGGGTCAGACCCTCCATCGATCCAGTCTTGCTTTCTATCTGACAGCAGCAACAGGAAACATGTTGAAGAGAATCCAATTACCCTCTTCGACATCCACTTCAAAAGGTTAGGAATTTATCGTACGTATCACTGTTTGAGATCTATCTTCCATCAATTCCTCCAAACCCTTCTTGAACCTACTTACATTTCAGCATACAGTCCCACTGAGGGCACTAGAGGTAATGAGTTCTTTTGTTTATAATGCAACATGTCAATTTCTGGGTCAGTAGGACAATATTATATATGAACATATAGAATTCTTTCCAATTCGATTCAAACATCTACGAATAATATATTTAAAATAATTTTAAAATATTAATACGTTTTCTTTATTAATTCCAAACATTTTTCAGACTTTTCTTTGAGCTTTTTTATTGTGTATTACTACATATTTTAAAAAGACCAAAAAATATAAATATACAGTTTAATGAGTAATTTTAAAGGGAACAGCTGTGTACTCATACTGGGTCAAGGAAAGTCCTTGCCAAGGTCCCAAAACCCCTTAAGTGTCCCCTCCCCACAGAGGGTGAGTAAACACTATTCTGACTTTTTAGATAATTACTTTCTTTGTATTTCTTTATCTTTTACCATGTATGGATAGCCCCCCTAAATTCTGTGTTTTAGTTTCTGCTTTTTAGTTTCAGGTTTTTGAACTTTATGTAAATGAATTAATACTGTCTATATTTCTGGTGTCATGTTTCTTTCCTTCAACATTAAGTTTTTAGGCTTCATCCACATTTGGTGAGAATAGTTTTAGTTCATTCATTTTCTTCTCTCAAAAGTCTTCCATGATATTGCCATACTACAATTTAATTGCACACTCTGATGATGGACATTTGGGTTGTTTCCATTTTGGAGTCATTGCAATTAATGCTGCTATTCTCCTAAATGTATCCTGCTACACATGTGTACAAGTTTCCCAAGGGGATATATTCAGGAATAAAATTGCTGAGTCATAGAGATACTATGTAGTCTTCAACTACTAGATATTGGCAAACATCTTTCCAAAGTGGTTATGCTAATTTTCATTCCCATCAACATCACTTGAGAGTTTCCACTGCTCCATACCCTTCTTTTTTTCAGTACAGAGAGTCCTGTACCATACCCATCTTATTGAGATATGATTCACATATCATACAATTCACACTTTCAACTTATGCAAACCTGTGGTTTTTAGTATTTTCACAAAGTGCACTTCTAGGACCACAATTAATTGTAGAACATTTTAATTACCACAAAAACAAAACACAAAACCTATGCCCCTTAGACACCACTGCTGAAACACCTCATCCCACTGACCCTAGTCCTAGGCAGCAACTACTTTCTGTCTCTACAGATGTGCCTGTTCTGGGCATTTTATATAAATAAAATCATACAATATGCAGTCTTTTGTAACTGTTTTCTTTTTCACTTAGCACAGTGTTTTCAAGATTCATGCGTGTTGTAGTATGTATCAATATAGACATTCCCCAACTTAAAATGGCTCAACTAACAATTTTTTTGACTTCATGATGGTGCAAAAACAACACGCATTCAGTAGGAACTGTGCTTCAAGAACCCATCCAACCATTCCGGTTTTCCCTTTCATTATAGTATTCAATAAATTATATGATATATTCAACACTTTATTATAAAATAGGCTTTGTGTTAGCTGATTTTGCCCAACTGTAGGCTAATTTAAGTGTTCTGAACACGTTTAATGTAGGCTAGGCTGAGCTATGTTGTTTGGTAGATTAGGTGTATTCAATGCATTTTTCGACTTTCGACGTTTTCAACTTACAATGGTTTATTGGGATGTAACCTCAGTGTGAGTTGAGGAGCACAATACTTCATCTTATTGGCAAATATCTCATTCTATGGACATATCACATTTTATTTGTCCCTTCATCAGTTGATGGATAGACATTGGAGTTTTCCCTCTTTTTGACTTTCATGAACATGCTGCTAGGAATGATCATGTACAAGTTTTTGTGTGGACATGTTCTTACTTCTCTTGAGGATCTACCTAGGAGTGGAGTTGTTGGATAATATGGAAACTCTATGTTTAACACTTTGAAGAACTGCCAGACTATTTTCCAAAGCAGCTGCATCATTGTACATTCTCACCAGAAGAGTATCATGGTTTTGATTTCTCCAAATCCTCACCAACACTTGTTTTTTGGGTTTTTTATTTATTTTTTATTTTTGGGGGTTTTTTGTTTGTTTTTGGTTTTTTTTGGTTTTTGTTTTGTTTTGTTTTTTTGAGACAGAGTTTTGCTCTGTTGCCCAGGCTGGAGTGCAGTGGCATGATCTCAGCTCAGTTCAACCTCTGCCTCCCAGGTTCAAGTGATTCTCCTGCCTCAGCCTCCCGAGTAGCTGCTACTAGAGGTGTGTGCTACCACGCCTGGCTAATTTTTTTTTTTTTTTAGTAGAGACGGGATTTTGCCATGTTGGCCAGGCTGATCTCTAACTCCTGAGCTCAGGCAATCCACTCGCTTCACACTCCCAAAGTGCTAGTGAGAGGTGACAGCGTGCTGGCAGTCGTCACAGCCCTCGCTTGCTCTCGGCGCCTCCTCTGCCTGGGCTTCCACTTTGGCAGCACTTGAGGAGCACTTCAGCCCACCGCTGCACTGTGGGAGCCCCTTTCTGGGCTGGCCAAGGCCGGAGCCGCCTCCCTCAGCTTGCGGGGAGGTGTGGAGGGAGAGGCGCGGGCGGGAACCTGGGCTGCGCAAGGTGTTTGCGGGCCAGTGCGAGTTCCGGGTGGGCGTGGGCTGGGCAGTCCCCGCACTTGGAGCCACCGGCCGGCCGCGCTGGCCCCGGGCAGTGAGGGGCTTAGCACCTGGGCCAGCAGCTGCTGTGCTCAATTTTTCGCAGGGCCTTAGCTGCCTTCCTGCAGGGCAGGGCTCGGGACGTGCAGCCTGCCATGCCTGAGCCTCCCCCACCCTCGTGGGCTCCTGCTTGGCCCAAGCCTCCCCGACGAGCGCCGCTCCCTGCTCCGTGGCACCCAGTCCCATCGACCACCCAAGCGCTGAGGAGTGCAGGCGCAGGGCGCGGGACTGGCAGGCAGCTCCATCTGCGGCCCTGGTGCGGGATCCACTGGGTGAAGCCAGCTGGGCTCCTGAGTCTGGTGGGGACGTGGAGAACCTTTAGGTCTAGCTCAGGGATTGTAAATACACCAATCAGCACCCTGTGTCTAGCTCAGGGTTTGTGAATGCACCAATCTACACTCTGTATCTAGTTACTCTGGTGGGGACTTGGAGAACCTTTGTGTGGACACTCTGTATCTAGCTAATCTAGTGGGGAGGTGGAGAACCTTTGTGTCTAGCTCAGGGATTATAAACGCACCAATCAGCGCCCTGT
Source organism: Homo sapiens (assembly GCF_000001405.40). Lineage (NCBI taxonomy): Eukaryota > Metazoa > Chordata > Mammalia > Primates > Hominidae > Homo > Homo sapiens. The sequence goes on from NW_018654717.1 coordinate 3,501,464, forward strand.
CAAAACAGATCACTCCGCTCTCTGTAAAATGGACCAATCAGCAGGATGTGGGTAGGGCCAGATAAGAGAATAAAAGCAGGCTGCCCGAGCCAGCAGTGGCAACCCGCTTGGGTCCCCTTCCACAATGTGGAAGGTTTGTTCTTTGGCTCTTTGCAATAAATCTTGCTGCTGCTCACTCTTTGGGTCCACACTGCCTTTATGAGCTGTAACACTCACCGAGAAGATCTGCAGCTTCACTCCTGAAGCCAGCGAGACCATGAACCCACCGGGAGGAAAGAACAACTCCAGATGCACTGCCTTAAGAGCTATAACACTCATCACGAGGGTCCGCGGCTTCATTCTTGAAGTCAGTGAGACCAAGAACCCACCAATTCCGGGCACACTAGGATTACAAATGTGAGCCACTGTACCCAGTCAACACTTGTTACTATCTGTTTTTTTTAATTAGTTTTTTGTTGTTTTTATAATAGCCATTCTAGTGGTGTGAATTGGTATATCCCACTAGATACCAATAGTTTCGACTTTCTTTTCTCTGATGGCCAATAATGTTGACCATCTTTACATGTGCTTATTCATCGTTTGTGTTTCTTCTTTGGAGAAATGTCAGATCCTTTGGCCACTTTTTAATTGGGTTATTACCTTTTTATTATTGAGTTGTAAAAGTTCTTTATACTAGATACAAATTTCTTATCAGACATGATTTGCAAAAATTTTCTCCCATGCTGTAGAGTGTCTTTTCACTCTCTTGGTCGTGTCCTTTGAGGCACAAAAATTTAAACTTCTGGTGATGTCCAGTTTATCTATATTTTTCTTTTATTGCTTATGCTTTTGGTGTCATGTCTAAGAAACCATTGCCTAATCTAAGGACATGCAAGTTTATACCTGTGTTTTCTTCTGAGAGTTTTATAGTTTTAGCTCTTTAATTTAGGTTTTTAATCAATCTTTTAGTTAATTTTTGCATATGGTGTGAGATATGCATCCAGCTTTATTCCATGTAAATTTCTATTTGCATGTGGATATTCATTTGCATGTGGATAATCCATGTGACCCAATACCACTGGTTGAAATGATAGTTCTTTCTCCCACTGAATTGTCTTGGCACTCTAGTAAAAAAATCAATTAACTGTATACATGCCAGGACCTATTTCTGGAATTTCAGTTCTATTCCGTTGATCTATGTGTCTATTCTTACACCCGTTCCACACTGTCTTGATTTTCATATTTTTGTAGTTCTTTGAAATTAAGAAATGTGAACCTGGTCTTTTTTCTCAAAATTGTTTTGTCTATTCTGAGTCCCTTGCATTTCCATATGAATTTTTGGATCAGCTTGTCAATTTCTGTAAAGAAGGCAGCTGGGATTTTGATAGTGATTGCATTAAACATCCATATCAATTTGGGGAGTATTGCCACTTTAACAATATTACATCTTTCCATTCATGAATATAGGATGTCTTTCCATTTATTTAGCTCTTCTTTCACATTTTTCAATAATGTTTTGTAATTTTCATTTTATAAGTTTTGCGCTTCTTTTGTTAATTTATTCCTGAGCATTTGATATGGTTTGGATCTGTATGCCTACCCAAATCTCATGTTGAATTGTAATTCCCAGTGTTGGAGGTGGGGTCTGGTTAGGAGGTGATTGTATTAAAGGGGTAGTTTTCTCATAAATGGTTTAGCACCATCACCTTAGTGCTGTTCTCGTGATAGTGAGTCCTTGGGAGATCTAGTCGTTTAAAAGTGTGTAGCACCTCCCACCTCACTCGTTCTTGTTTCTACTCTGACCATGAGATGCCTCACTCCCCCTTTGCCTTCCGCCATGATTGAAAGTTTCCTGAGGCCTCTCTAGAAGCTGATGCTGCCATGCTTCCTGTACATCCAGTAGAACTATGAGCCAATTAAACCTCTTCGTTTTGAATTACCCAGTCTCAGGTATTTCTTCATAGCAGTTGGGAATGGACAAATATAGTATTTTATTCTTTTTGGTGCTGTTCTAAATAAAACTACTCTCAATTTCATTTTTAGTTTGCTCATTGCTACTGTACAAAAATACAATTGATTCCATCAGGACTTGGTGAAATGAAAAAGATAGGAAACCATAGAAATACAATGAAATATTGTTTATATTCATCTTGTATTCTGAAACTTGCAAGACTCACTTATTAGTTCTAAGAGATTTTTAGTGGATTTTCTTGTATTTTCTGTATACCAGCTCATGTCATCTGCAAACAGAGATAGTTTTACTTCTTCTTTTCCAATCTGTATCCATTTTTATTTCATTTTCTTACCTAATTGCCCTCACTAGAACCTCTAAAACAATGTTCAATAGAAGTGGCAAGAGCAGATGTCAGTATCTTGTTCTTAATCTTTAAATTCAGACTTTTACCTTTAAGTATGATGTTACTTGTTGGTTTCCCTAGATGTTCTTTATCAGGGTGAGGAATTTCCCTTCTATTCCTGGATTGTTGGGTGGTTTTTTTTCATGACAGGGTGTTGGATTTTGTGAAATGCTTTTTCTGCAACTATTGAGATGATCATCTGGTTTTTTTGTCCTTCATTCTATTTATGAGTATATTATGTTAATCGATTTAGGTATGTTAAACACACTTGCATTCCTGGGATCGTCATAGTGTATATTCTTTCTATATATTGCCAGATTCTGTTTGCTAGTATTTTGCTGAGGATTTTTTTAATTGTACATTAAGTTCTGGGGTATATGTGCAGAATATGCAGTTTTGTTACATAGGTATACACGTGCCATGGTGGTTTGCTGCACCCATCAACCTGTCGTCTACATTAGGTGTTTCTCCTAATGCTATCCCTCCCCTAGCCCCTCAACCCTGAACAGGCCACTGATGTGTGATGTTCCCCTCCCTGTGTCCATGTCTTCTCATTGTTCAACTCCCACTTATGACTGATAACATGTGGTGTTCGGTTTTCCGTTCTTGTGTTAGTTTGCTGAGAATGGTGGTTTCCAGCTTCATCCATGTCACTGCGAGGGACATGAACTCATCTTTTTTTATGGCTGCATAGTTTTCCATGGTGTATATGTGCCACGTTTTCTTTGTCCAGTCTATTATTGATGGGCATTTGGGTTGGTTCCAAGTCTTTGCTATTTTTAACAGTGCCACAATAAACATACATTTGCATGTGCCCCTCTAATAGAATGATTTATAATCCTTTGGGTATATACCCAGTAATGGGATTACTGGGTCAAATGTTATTTCTTGTTCTAGATCCTTGAGGAATCGCCACACTGTGTTCCACAACAGTTGAACCAATTTACACTCCCACCAACAGTGTAAAAGCGTTCTTATTTCTCCACATCCTCTCCAGCAGCTGTTGTTTCCTGACTTTTTAATCATCACCATTCTAACTGGTGTGAGATGGTATTTCATTGTGGTTTTGATTTGCATTTCTCTAATGACCAGTGATGATGAGCTTTTTTTATGTTTGTTGGCTGCATCAATGTCTTCTTTTGAGAAGTGTCTGTTCATATCCTTTGCCCACTTTTTGATGGGGTTCTTTTTTTTTTCATGTGAATTTGTTTTAGTTCTTTGTAGATTCTGGATATTAGCCCTTTGTCAGATGTACAGATTGCAAAAAATTTCCCCCCATTCTGTAGGTTGCCTGTTCACTCTGATGATAGTTTCTTTTGCTGTGCAGAAGTTCTTTAGTTTAACTGGATCCCAGTTGTCAATTTTGGCTTTTGTTGCCTTTGCTTTTGGTGTTTTAGTCATGAAGTCTTTGCCCAGGCCTAGATCCTGAATGGTATCGCCTAGGTTTTCTTCTAGGGTTTTTATGGTTTTAGGTCTTAGGTTTAAGTGTTTAATCCATCTTGAGTTAATTTTTGTGTAACGTTTAAGGAACAAATCCAGTTTCAGATTTCTGCATATGGCTAGCCAGTTTTCCCAACACTATTTATCAAATAGGGGATTCTTTCCCCATGGCTTCTTTTTGTCAGGTTTGTCAAAGATCAGATGGTTTTAGATGTGTGGTGTTATTTAAGAGGTCTCTGTTCTGTTTCATTGGTCTATATATCTGTTTTGGTACCAGTACCATGTTGTTTTGGTTACTGTAGCCTTGTAGTATAGTTTGAAGTCAGGTAGTGTGATGCTTCCAGCTTCGTTCTTTTTGCTTAGGATTGTCTTGGCTATGTGGGCTCTTTTGTGGTTCCATATGAAGTTTAAAGTAGTTTTTCCAATTTTGTGAAGAAAGGCAGGGGTAGCTTGATGGGGATAGCATTGAATCTATAAATTACTTTGGGCAGTATGGCCATTTTCACGGTATTGATTCTTCCTCTCCATGAGCATGGAATGTTTTTCAATTTATTTGTGTCCTCTCTTATTTCCTTGAACAGTGGTTTGCACTTCTCCTTGAAGAGGTGCTTCTCGTCCCTTGTAAGTTGGATTCCTAGGTATTTTATTCTCTTAGTAGCACTTGTGAATGGGAGTTCACTCATGATTTGGCTTTCTGTTTGTCTGTTTCTGGTGTATAGGTATGTGATTTTTGCACATTGATTTTGTATCCTGAGACTTTGCTGAAGTTGCTTATCAGCTTAAGGAGATTTGGGGCAGAGACAATGGGATTTTCTCAATATACAGTGATGTCATCTGCAAATAGGGACAATTTGACTTCCTTTTTTCCTATTTGAATACCCTTTATTTTTTCTCTTGCCTTATTGTCCTGGCCAGAACTTCCAATACTATGTTGAATAGGAGTGGTGAGAGAGGGTATCCTTGTCTTATGCTGGTTTTCAAAGGAAATGCTTCCAGCTTTTGCCCAGTCAGTAGGATATTGGCTGTGGGTTTGTCATAAATAGCTATTATTATTTCAACACACGTTCCATCGATACCTAGTTTATTGAGAGTTTTTAGGTTAAAATGGTGTGGAGTTTTGTCGAAGGCCTTTTCTGTATCTACTGAGATAATCATGTGGTTTTTGTCATTGGTTCTGTTTATGTGATGAATTATGTTTATTGATTTGCATATGTTGAACCAGCCTTGCATCCCAGGGATGAAGCCAAGTTGATCTTGGTGGATAAGCTTTTTGATGTGCTGCTGGATTCGGTTTGCCAGTATTTTATTGAGGATTTTTGTATTGATGTTCATCAAGGATATTGGCCTGAAATTTTGTCTTTTGGTTGTGTCTCTGCCAGGTTTTGGTATCAGGATGATGCTGGCCTCATAAAATGAGTTACAGAGGATTCCCTCTTTTTCTATTGTTTGGAATAGTTTCAGAAGAAATGGTACCAGCTCTTCTTTGTACCTCTTTTAGAATTCTGCTGTGAATCATTCTGGTCTTGGACTTTTCTTGGTTGGTAAGCTATTAATTATTGCCTCAATTTCAGAACCTGTTATTGGTCTATTCAGGGAATCAACTTCTTCCTGGTTTAGGCTTGGACGGGTGTATGTCTCCAGAAATTTATCCATTTTCTTCTATATTTTCTACTTTATTTGTGTAGAGGTGTTGATGGTATTCTCTGATGGTAGTTTGTATTTCTGTGGTATCAATGGTGATATCCCTTTTATCATTTTTTATTGCCTCTATTTGATTCTTCTCTCTTTTCTTCTATATTAGTTTGGCTAGTGGTCTATTTTGTTGATCTTTTCAAAAAACCAGCTCCTGGATTCATTGATTTTTTTGAAGGGTTTTTTGTGTCTCTATCTCCTTCAGTTCTGCTCTCTTCTTAGTTTTTTTCTTGTCTTTTGCCAGCTTTTGAATGTGTTTGTTCTTGGTTCTCTAGTACTTCTAATTGTGATGTTAGGGTGTTGATTTTAGATCTTTCCTGCTTTCTCTTGTGGGCATTTAGTGCTATAAATTTCCCACTACATACTGCTTTGAATGTGTCCCAGAGATACTGGTACGTTGTGTCTTTGTGCTCATTGGTTTCAAAGAACATCTTTATTTCTGCATCAATTTCGTTATTTACCCAGTAGTCATTCAGGAGCAGGTTATTCAGTTCCCATGTAGTTGTGCGGTTTTCAGTGAGTTTCTTAATCCTGATTTCTAATTTGATTGCCCTGTGGTATGAAAGACTGTTTGTTATGATTTCCATTCTTTTGCATTTGCTGAGGAGTGTTTTACTTCCAATTATGTGGTCAATTTTAGAATAAGTACGATGTGGTGCTGAGCGGAATATTCTGTTGATTTTGGATGGAGAGTTCTGTAGATGTTTATGAGGTCCGCTTGGTCCAGAGCTGAGTTCAAGTCCTGAATATCCTTGTTAATTTTCTGTCTCATTGATCTGTCTAATATTAACAGTGGGGTGTTAAAGTCTCCCAATAATATTGTGTGGGAGTGTAAGTTTCTTTGTAGGTCTCTAAGAACTTGCTTTATGAATCTGGGTGCTTCTGTATTGGCTGCACATATATTTAGGATAGTTAGCTCTTCTTGTTGCATTGATCTCTTTACCATTATGTAATGCCCTCTTTGTCTCTTTTAATCTTTGTTGGTTTAAAGTCTCTTTTATCCAAGATTAAAACTGCAACTCCTGCTCTTTTTTGCTTTGCATTTGCCTGGTAAATATTCCTCCATCCCTTTATTTTGAGCCTATGTGTGTCTGCACATGAAATGGGTCTCCTGAATACAGCACACTGATGGGTCTTGACTCGTTGTCCAGTTTGCCAATCTGTGTCTTTTAATTGGGGCAATCAGCCCATTTACATTTAAGTTTAACATTGTTATGTATGAATTCGATCTTGTCATTATGATGCTAGCTGGTTATTTTGCTCATTTGTTTATGTAGTTTCTTCATAGTGTCTATGTTCTTTACAATTTGGCATGTTTTTGCAGTGGCTGGTACCAGTTGTTCCTTTCCATGCTTAGTGCTTCCTTCAGGAGCTCTTGTAAGGCAGGCCTGGTGCTGACAAACTCTCTCAGCAGTTGCTTGCCTATAAAGGATTTTATTTCTCCTTCACTTATGAAGCTTAGTTTGGCTGGATATGAAATTCTGAGTTGAAAATTCTTTTCTTTAAGAATGTTGAATATTGACCCCCACTCGCTTCTGGCTTGTAGGGTTTTGCTGAGAGATCCACTGTTAGTCTGACGGGCTTCCCATTGCGGGTAACCCAACCTTTCTCTCTGGCTACGCTTAACATTTTTTCCTTCATTTCAACCTTGGTGAATCTAACAATTATGTGTCTTGGGGTTGCTCTTCTCAAGGAGTATCTTTTTGGTGTTCTCTGTATTTCCTGAATTTGAATGTTGGCCTGTCTTGCTAGGTTGGTGAAATTCTCCTGGATTGTATCCTGAAGAGTGTTTTCCAACTTGGTTTCATTCTCCCTGTTACTTTCATGTACACTAATCAAATGTAAGTTTGGTCTTTTCACGTAGTGTCATATTTCTTGGATGCTTTGTTCGTTCCTTTTCATTCTTTTTTCTCTAATCTTGTCTTCATGCTTTATTTCATTAAGTTGATCTTCGATGTCTGATATCCTTTCTTCCACTTGATAGATTCAGCTATTGATACTTGCATATGCTTCACGGAGTTCTTGTCCTGTGTTTCCAGCTCCATCATGTCACTTACGTTCTTCTCTAAACTGATTATTCTAGTTAGCAATTTGTCTAACCTGTTTTCAAGGTTCTTAGCTTCCTTGCATTGGGTTAGAACATGCTCTCAGCTTGGAGGAGTTTGTTGTCACCCACCTTCTGAAGCCTACTTCTGTGAATTCGTCAAACTCATTCTCCGTCCAGTTTTGTTCCCTTGCTGGCGAGGAGTTGTGATCCTTTGTGGGAGAAGTGGCGTTGTGGTTTTTGGAATTTTCAGGCTTTTTGTGCTGGTTTCTCCACATCTTTGTGGATTTATCTACCTTTGGTCTTTGATGTTGGTGACCTTTGGATGTGGTCTCTGAGTGGACGTGCTATTCATTTCTGTTTTTTAGTTTTCCTTCTAACAGTCAGGTCCCTCTGCTGCACATCTGCTGGAGGTCCACTCCAGACCTTTTGCCTGGCTATTACCACGGAGGCTGCAGAACAGCAAATATTACTGCCTATTATTTCCTCTGGAATCTTCATCCCAGAGGGGCACCTGCCAGATGCCAGCCAGAGTTCTGCTGTATGAGGTGTCTTTTGGCCTCTACTGAGAGGTGTCTCCCAGTCAGTGTATACGGCTGTCAGGGACCTACTTGAGGAGGCAGTCTGACCCTTAGCAGAGCTCGAATGCTGTGCTTGGTGATTTGCTGCTCTCTTCAGAGCTGCTAGGCAGGGACGTTTAAATCTGCTGAAGCTGCGCCCACAGCCGCCCCTTCCCCCAGGTGCTCTGTCCAGGGAGATGGGGGTTTTATCTGTGAGTCTCTGACTAGGGCTGCTGCCTTTTTTTTTCCAGAGATGCCCTGCCCAGCGAGGAGAAATCTAGAAAGGCAGTCTGGCCACAGTGGCCTTGCTGAGCTACGGTGGGCTCCATCCCATTTGAACATTCTGGTGGCTTTGTTTACACTGTGAGGGTAAAACCACCTACTCAAGCCTCAGCAATGGCAGATGCCCCTCCCCCCCACCAAGCTCCAGCATCCCAGGTCGATCTCAGACTGCTGCTGTGCTGGCAGTGAGAATTTCAAGCCAGTGGATCTTTGTTTGCTGGGTTCTGTCGGGGTGGGACCCGCCGAGCCAGACCACTTGGCTCCCTGGCTTCAGCCCTCTTTTCAGGGGAGTAAACGGTTCTGTCTCGCTGGCATTCCAGGTGCCAGTCGGGTATGGAAAAAGAACTCCAGCAGCTAACTCAGTGTCTGCCCAAACGGCCGCCCAGTTTTGTGCTTGAAACCCAGGGCCCTGGTGGCTTAGGCACTGGAGGGAATCTCCTGGTTTGCATGTTGCAAAGACCATGAGAAGAGCGCAGTATCTGGGCTGGAGGGCACGGTTCCTCAGGCTCAGTCCCTCCCGGCTTCCCTTGGGTAGGGGAGAAAATTCCCCAACCCCTTGCATTTTCTGGGTGAAGCAACGCCCCACTCTGCTTCGGCTCGCCCTCTGTGGGGTGCATCCACTGTCCAACCAGTCCCAGTGAGGTGAACCGGGTACTTCAGTTGGAAATGCAGAAATCACCAACCTTCTGCGTCGATTTTGCTGGGAGCTGCAGACCAGAGCTGTACCTATTTGGCCATCTTGCCAGCAATCCCCTCTGCTTTTTAATATAAATTTTATGTTTAACTTTTCTGTCTACAAAAACTCCTGCTGAGATTTTGGTTGGGATTGTATCAAATTCACAGATTAAATTGGTGAAATTTGGTGTTTTAATGAAATTAAGACTTCCAGTTGATGAATAGGGCATATGTATTTAGGTCTTTTTTGACTTTTTAAATTTTGTTGTGTCTAATATAAATATAGCTACACTGAAGCTGAGTGTGGTGGCACATGCCCACAGTCCCAGCTACTGGGGAGGCTAAGGCAAGAGGATTCCTTGAGCCCAGGAGTTTGAGGTGAGCCTCGGCAATATAGCAAGACATCTATCTCTAAAACATAAACTATAGCTACCCTGGCTTTCTTTTTTATTAATACTTTCATGGTATATCTTTCCCTATCTATGGCCCTCATTGATGTCCACATTCTAATTCCTCAGAACCTGTCAAATATGTTATGTAGCCAAGGGGAATTAAGGTTGCAGATATGTGCTGATCACCTAACCTTAAAATAGGGAAAGTGTCCTGAATTAGCCAATTGGGCCCAATATAATCATCATTGTCCTTAAAAGTGAAAGAAAGAGGCAGAAGTAGTGACTGGGTCAGAATGATGCAATGTGAGAAAGACTTGGCTCAATATTGCTGGTTTTGAAGATGGAGGAGGAAGGCCATGAGCCAGGGAATGTAGGCAACTTCTAGAAGATTCCAGAAGCAGGAAAAGACCCCAAAATAGATTTCTTTTTATTTTTTTAAGACAGGGTCTCACTCTGTTGCCCAGGCTAGAGTACAGTGTCACAATCTCAGCTCACTGCAGCCTCTACCTCTCAGGCTCAAGCAGTCCTCCCACCTCAGCTTCCTGAGTAGCTGGGACTACAGGTACATGCCACTGAACCCATCTAATTTTGTTTATTTTATGTAGAGATAGGGCTTCCCTATGTTGCCCAGGCTGGTCTTGAACTCTTGGGCTACAGTAATCCTCCTGCCTTGGCCTCTCAAAATGTTGGCATTACAGGCATGAGCCACCACACCTGGCCAAAAATGTTTTTGTATCTAAAACCTGCAAGAAGAATACAGCCCTGAAAACATTTTGATTTTAGCTCAATAAAACCTTGTTTGTATCACATAAGCCACTAAGTTTGTGATAAATTGTTACAGCAGAAATAGAAAGCTAATACACTATCCTCTTACTCATACTTTGATTATTTTATGCTCAAAACATCTCTTATTAAATAGCACATGATTTCGTTTTCCTTCTTTTTTAATAATCTGAGGATCTTTGTTAACTGGAGCATGTGATTCACTTATATCTAATGCAGTTGCTAATAGATTTAGTTTAAATCTAGCATCTTGTTTTGTGCTTTCTTTTTTGTTTTGTTTTGGGTTTTGTTATTAGTAGAGATAGGGTTTCATCATGTTGGCCAGGCTGGTCTCAAGCTACTGGCCTCAAGTTATCCGCCTGCCTCAGTCTCCCAAAGTGCTGGGATTACGGGCATGAACCATCATGCTCAGCCTTATTTTGTGCTTTCTAATTGTCCTGTGTGTTCTGTTTTCCCCCTTCTTGCTACTTAATTATGTTTTATTATTCTGTTTTTCCTACTCCTGATTTATAAGTTACATATTCTATTTCCACTATTTTACTGGATACCTAGAAATTAAAACATGCATAATTAACATATCAGATTCTAAAGTTAGTCAATATTTTACTCTTTTCTTGGACAATTAAAAATCTTTAGAACACTTACATTTCATTTCTCCCTCTCCAACATATTTGCTGGCATTGTCATGTATTTTAATTTTATTTTAAACCTCGCAAGGTATTATTATTGTTTTATCTAACCAATGTTAATATAGATTTTATCTAGATATTTACCACTTTTTTTTTTTAAGATGGAGTTTTGCTCTTGTCACCCAGGCTGGAGTGCAGCGGTGCAATCTCGGCTTACTGCAACATTTGTCTCCTGGGCTCAAGCAATTCTCCTGCCTGAGCCTCCCGAGTAGCTGTGATTACAGGTGCCCACCACCACATGCAGCTAATTTTTGTATTTTTAGTAGAGATGAGGTTTCATCACGTTGGCCAGGCTGGTCTCGAACTCCTGACCTCAGGTGATCCACCTACAACTGTCTCCCAAAGTGCTGGGATTACAGGCTTGAGCCACCATGCCCAGCCAATGTTTACCACTTTTTGTTCTATATTCATTTCTTCCATTTAGTATCATATGATTTCTGTTTGAAATATATCCTTTAGAATTTGCCTCATTGAGAATTTGATAATGAAAAACCCTTCATTTTGTCTGTATGAAAAATATGTCTATTTCAAAATCATTCCTGAAATAGCTCTTTCTGGTATATAAAGTAGTAGTTATTTTCTTTTAATGCATTGACAATGCCATTCCATTGTCTTTGGTTTCCCATTGTTGCCATTGAGAAGTCAGCAGTTGGTCTCACTGCTGCTCCTTTGAAGATGTCTTTTTCCTCTGGTTGTTTTGTTTTGTTGTTTTGTTTTTGACACAGGGTCTCGCTCTGTCACCGAGGCCAGAGTGCAGTGGTACAATCACAGCTCACTGTAGCCTCAAACTCCTGGACCCAACAATCCTCCCACGTAGCTAGGGCTGCAGGTGTGCACCATGATGCCCAGCTAATTATTATCCTTTTTTTTTTTTTTCAGAGATGGAGTATCAGTACGTTGCCCAGGCTCCTCTCAAACTCCTGGCGTCAGGCAATCCTCTTGCCTCAGCTTCTCAAAGTGCTGGGATTACAAACATGAGCCACCATGCCCAGCCTTTTCTGGGCATGGTTGTTTCTAAGATCTCCATTGTTTTGATCTTTTAAGCTTTACTGTAATCTCAGTGTAAATTTTTTTGTATTGAACCAGTTTGCGATTCACAGCAAATCTGTGGTTTGCTCTCTCAGCACTTCTAAAAAATTATTCACCTTTCTCTGTTCATACATTGCTGCTGCCCCATTCCCCCCTACTTATAGAACATCAATAAAATATATGTTAGACTTTTTCTCTCTGCCTATTAATCATTTTTCTACGTATTTGATCTTTTGTTTCTCTGCGCTACTTTCTGGAAAATTTTTTGTGCCTATTTTCAAGGTGATTAATTATCTCCTCAGCTATGTCTAACATGATTGTGAACCAATCTGGTGAACTTTTAATTTCAGGATTGTGTGTTCTATTTCTAGAAGCTATATTTGTTTTTTCTATTATATTTGCTTTTTGTTGTTGTTTACTTCTATTTCCCCGTAGATGCATCCAAGCTTATGTTTTGTTCATTTAAATATAGTAAGAATGACAGTTGTTTAATTGTGTTCAACTGTTTCAATTCTTATTGGAATTTTAATATTCCAATGACATCTTTGTGGACTTTGTTCTGTTGTTTTTCTGGTTCTTAGTTATGTTTTGTTCTCCTTTTGCATTTATTATTTTTGTGTACTGCTATTATACTAACAATAATTATTGTCAGGCATGATACTTACACCTGTAATCCCAGCACTTTGGGAGGCTGAAGTGAGTGAATCACTTGTGCTCAGGAGTTCAAGACCAGCCTGACCAACTTGGTGAAACTCCATCTCTACTAAAAATACAAAAAATTAGCCAAGCATGGTAGCAGGCCCCTGTAATCCCAGCTACTTGGGAGGATGAGGCAGGAGAATCACTTGAACCCAGGAGACAAATGTTGCAGTGAGCCGAGATTGTGCCACTGCACTCCAGCCTGGGAAACAAAGTGAGACTCTATCTCAAAAAAAAAAAATTATTTATAGGAAGCACTTAGACATTGGGTGAAGCTTCTTTTCCCCAGAGAGGATTTGCACATGCTCCTGCCTGCAGTAGAAGCACTACCCATCTAGGAACTGCTTGAGGTTTCCTGAACAAACCAGATATGAAAACCTGAGGGCTAGTTCACCCTTATGCTGAAGATACAGGCCTTTGGATTTCTGATAATATTCATCATTGAAACTATGCTTTCTTGGGAGCTTCTTTTCTTAAAGTACCATAAATCATACAATATTCCACGTGGAAAAATTCATGACTTTAACAAAGGATAAGACAATGATGTCTGGGTTCTTTCTTTTCAATAATATTCCCTATGAGATTAAGAAGATTGCAGCCTCTTTAAGCCAAAACAATATGCTATTCCAGTTTCCTTGAGAAATAGTTTATAAAACAAAAACAGTGTACAATTCAGGAGATATTTATTAAGTGTCTGCCACAGACCAGGTGCTATGGTGCTAGGAATACCATGGTGAGAATTACAGAAACCAGCCTTCCAATGACTACTGAACTTCTTTCCTGCATATAATTGGTGGCTTAAAGATTATCTTATTATTTTGATTTGGAACTGTAAGGGTAAAATAAATAAATCATCACATTTTCATTATTTTCCATTTGCTACTATTCCTCAGGGAGCTCAAAGCCTATTTGGGGAGAAAACATAAAACAGCATGGATAATTCAATTATCCACTCTTGTATATGGAAGGCCTCCTACACAGAGGATACGGGAAGTAATGATCACATGGCTGTGAGGTAAAATGTACCCAGTAATCTACATGTATTTCCTACCTCAAGTCTATGAGGTAGGCATTATTATCCCCATTTTACAATGAAAGAAACAAGTACATGGACATTCACTTTCCTGAAGTCACACAGCATGATAGGCAGCTTCTTAATAGCTCCCAAAGACCCCTTGCCTCCTAGTATTCCTACCACACACTTCCTTGTATTATCACCTCTCCTTTAGTGGCTGAAATTAGTAACTCACTTCTAATCAATACAACATGGCACAAGTGATGGGCCGTCACTTATTAGCTCCCAAGAGTGTGTAACTTCCATCTCCTCTTCTCTCTTTCTCCCCAGCTCTTCTTACTTGCTTATTCTGATGAAGCACACTGCCTTGTTATGAACTGCCCTATGGAGAAGCCCATGTACAAGAAACTGAAACCAGCCTGGCACGATGGCTGCTTCCTGTACTCCCAGCAGTTTTGGAGGCTGAGGTGAGCAGACTGCTTGAGTCCAAGAGTTCAAGACCAGCCTGGGTGACATGGTGAAACCCCATCTCTACAAAAACTACAAAAATCAGCTGGGTGTGGTGGTTTGCACCTGTAGTCCCAACTACTCAGAAGGCTGAGGTGGGAAGATTGCTTGACCCTGGGAGGCAGCGGTTGCAGTGAGCTGAGATTGTACCATTGTACTCCAGCCTGGGTGACAGAGTGAGACCCTGAAAAAAAAAAAAAAAAAGAAGGAAAGAAAGAAAAGAGAAGAGAAGAGAAACTGAAACCCTCAACTGAACAGTCCATAAGGAAATGAAGCCTGCTAGTAGCCACAAGAGTAAGCATTAAAATGAATCCTGCTCCCAGTCAGGCCTTCAGGTGAGACCACAGCCCCAACTGACACCTCGATTGCACCCACGTAAGAGGCTCTGAGACAGGAGACCCAGGTAAGCCACAGCCAGATTCCTGACCCACAGATGGGGTGGGATAATAAATGTTGTTGTTTTAAGCCGCTAAGCATTATGGCAATGTGTTACACAACAATTGATAACTAATACATGCCTAATATGGGCCAATCTGATATCTTACAGGCCTGAAACCACACTGTCTTCCCAGGCATTGCTATGCACTAACAACCAAATTTTCAGGGGTGGGGCCTTTGAATAGAAATTTCAGTAAGAGTCCAGACAACATAAATCATACAAAAGTAAAGCTAAATTTGTCTTTAAAGGTCACTTAATTAGACTCTCTCACTTTACATTTGAGAAAAATGAGGGCCAGTAGGGGTGGCTCATACCTGTAGCCTCAGCAGGTGGGAGGCTGAGGCAGGAGGCTTGCTTGATCCCAGGAGGTTGAGACGAGCCTGGGCAACACAACAAGACCTCATCTCTACTAAAAAGAAAAAAAAAGTTAGCCAGGCATGGTGGTGTGTGCCTGTAATCCCAACTACTGGGGAGGCTGAGGCAGGACAATCGCTTGAGCCCAGGAATTCAAGGCTGCAGTGAGCAGTGACCATGCCACTGCATTCCAGCCTGGTCAACAGAGTGAGAACCTGTCTTAAAAAAAAAAAAAAAGGAACAAGAAAAAAGAAAACTGAGGAACTGATAGACTTTCCTAGTGCCGTATGGTCATTTGAGCAGGGCCAGGACTAGAACCTTGTTTGTTTTCCCATCCAAAATTCTTTACGCTGTTTCTTCCTGGCTTTCCTTGGTGCTTAAAGAGGAAAAATACTCTCACTAATGTGTTTTGCATAAATGGCATGCGTGTGTGTGTGTGTGTGTGTGTGTGTGTGTGTGTGTGTGTTTTCGCAATGAATACTTGCTGCTGGGTTAGAAGACCAAGGACAATTTGCCCTAGCTGGTCACAATGAAGAGAAATTTCTCAATGTTCCCTCATTCCCTTTGTTCTCCACCTCCTGCCCCAGCAGCAAGAAACAAACACTGAACAGAATTAGTAAGAGCTCTGGATAATGGGTTACCTGGGTGCTTCATGAAGAGAAAGCAGAGGTGCCAGGAGACAGGCCAGACATATGCAAAACGGAGGAAGCTAGTTAGGTTAGCTATATTTGATAATTTATCAGCCAAAGAATTGCAGATTTGTGGCTCCTTGTCTTAGTCCATTTTATGTTGCTATAAAGGAATACCTAAGACTGGGTAATTTATAAAGAAGAGATATTTAATTTGGTTCATGGTTCTGCAGGCTGTGCAAGGAGCGTGGTGCTAGCATCTGCTTTTGGTGAGGGCCTCTGGCTGCCTCCGCTCAGGGCAGAGGTGAAAGGGAGCTGGTGTGTACAGAGACCACATGGAAAGAAAGGAAGCAAGGTGGGGGTGGAGGTGCCAGGCTCGTTCTGACAATCAGCCCTCCAGAACTAACAGAGTAAGAGCTCGTTTTAACCCCCTGCCCAGGGCATTAATCTATTCATAAGGTATCTGCCCCCATGACCAAACATCTGCCACTAGGCCCACCTCCAATGGTGGGGGCCAAATTTCAACATGAGATCTGGAGGGTCAGATACCCAAACTGTAGCACTCCCAAAATGTGGAAGGTACAGGAGAGATTTTCAGGATCCTGAGGGATCCGCAAAAGCAGAAAACAGAGCAATCTTTCTAGAGTGCATTTTTCAATAGTATTCTCCCTAAGCAACTTCTCTGCAGTGCTGTAGTGCTATATATGTCCACTAGAGGTCAGCACCTACTTCTGTGTAGAGCTGTATTGCTACACATGTCCACTAGAGGTCAGCACCTACTTCTATCTAAAGCAGGGGTTCCACCTGTTTCATCTAAAGATGAAAGATAAAATAAAAAATAAAGATCCTCCGCCTGGAGATATGTTGTCTGCCAAACAAACTGAATTTATTAAGAAACAGTCAACTTAGGTTTCCAATTTTTCTTTATAAAAGACACTCATAATAGTAGCCGTTAGAGTTTTCTGAGTACCCTGAGATAATCCGTGTTGTAAAATTCCAGCATGACCACCACCACCACTACCCCAATTTTTTTTCTAGTTAGACTTTTCACCAGAAATGTATCCACTGGAGATTTGAAATGCTGAAAGTTAAAAAGAAAGATGGGAAGAAGGGAGGGAGGGAGGGAACAAATGAAAAAAGAGATAAAGGAAAAAAAGAAAAGACGAAGGGAACTCTCTCCTCAAGAAAAGATACTTCCATTTTCCTTCTCAGTGACAGACAGACATGCGCCATTGGCTGGAGCTTCCTAATCTGTCCGTGGGTGAGGGGAGGACTGAATGCATTGAAGGAATCTGCTAGCTCGAGTAAGCTCCTAATCGCATTTGCTTGGCCAGTGACGAATGCTTTAGAGTTAGTGTGGTCGTGTTTGAAATCCACTTAATTTCATTGTCTACCTGCATGTGCGTGCTACAGGGTGTGGGGAGACGGTATCAGGCCAATTCAAGGCAATTTGAGGGAACTTAATCATCTTGACCGGGTTGTCATCTGTCCGAAGTCAGGGACTCTGTGGTATGTATCATTTTTCTCTCTGATGTCACTACAGGGTTTGGGACACAGTATGAATGGGTTAATGACAATGCATTAAAACGCAAAACGTGTTCATAAGCCACCTAATGAATAAAGAGCACCCATTTTCTGGAGTCTACAACTCTTGAGGTACATGCAGAAACAGGCAATGCACTGTATATCCGTGATTTACATGTGTATGGTCCGTATTTAATGCTCAGGTTAAGACTTGAACAGCTGACAAGGCTGGACGCAGTGGCTCACGCCTGTAATCCCAACACTTTGGGAGGCTGTGTTGGGAGGACCGCTTGAGCCCAGGAAGTCAAGGCCGCAGTGAGCCATGACCGTAGCCACTGCATTCCAGCCTGGGTGACAAAGCAAGACCCGTCTCTTAGAAATAAATATAATGGATGATTGGATGCAGAAAAATAAATGAACAAGCATATATATATTTTAAAACAAATATGTATAAACATATATAAAAACAAATATATATAAAAACATATAAAAACATTAAAACATAAAATATATAAAAATATATTTATTAACACATATATAAACACATATATTAAAACATATATATATATATATATATAAAACAGCTGACAAAACCGAGAAGTTTCGGGAAGCAATCTTGTTCATATTTTACCCGCATCACCACCCTCTGAGGTCCGCGGCTGGAGCGCATTGACAGTAGTAAAAATATTGGTCACAAGGTGGCGCTGTTGCCTTAGCGTAAAGCCTTTCCCCTCCCTCAGTACCAGCTTTAGTTCCAATTCATGAGGCCAAAAGGTCCACAGATTGGTTTACATTAATAAATCTAAGAAGGGCGAAGAGGGGGTTGACAGAAAGATAAAACCACAGCCAGTCTCTTCACCTTTGGGTTAATTTGAGACTCAATTTGATTTTCTCAGAGGAGGAAGAGAGAGAGCTTCACAGAAACTCATTTCCTATTTTTGACAGGCGTGCCCGGCTGGAAAGTTAAGTGTGCTTTGTCGGGGCTGGATTCTTTCTCTGTCCGTCTCTATCCTATTGGATCATCAGTGAGACATGGCCATGGTCTTACTCCTGGTAGAAGGGAGAGGAGGGCTGAATGTGTATATAAAGTGGCTTGGAGAGAGTGCCGCTCGGAGGGCGGAGGCCAGAGGTGACTTAAAAAGCCCTTTTGAGTTTACAATGTTTTCAAATAAAACAAAGCAGGAAAGGTTATCAGATATTCTTGATCAAGATTCAGGCAAAACCTAAATAGGCAGCAGCAATTGGCTAGATCCGTAGACGAAGGTGTATCCGGATCCCATTAAATGAATGGCCCCAATTGGGCTGAATGGCCCGACCCACCACCCTGTGCACACCTGGCCTCTTTTGTATCTGCTCTGGGACATGCTTTATGTCACCCTCACAACAGCCCGGGGAAGAGGCTGTGAGCCCCATTGTTAAGGATGAGGAAAACAAATTAATGATCTTGTCTGAGGGTACATAGCTAGGAAGAGGCGGCTCTGGGATTTGAACTCCTCTTCTCTGAGAGGATGCGTCATCTGCCTTGCTCGTGCAGCCTCCCCTGCAGGCTTCAGCAGAGCGGGTGGGGCCGATGACTGCTGTACTGGAAGGGTGGCTCTTGCTGAGACCCTGTGAGGTGGCTTCACAATTGCATGGTTGTGGGTGGGGTTATTATTACTTACTGTGACTCTCAAGCAGTGTAACATAGTGGTTAAAAGCTCTGACTCTGGGCCAGGTGTGGTGACTCACTTCTGTAATCACAACACTTTGGGAGGCGGAGGCAGGAGGATCACTTGAGGCTAGGAGGTAAAAATCCACCAGGACAAGGTAGTGAGACCTCATCTGTACGAAAACTAGAAAACCTGGCCAGGCACGGTGGCTCACGCCTGTAATCCCTGCGCTTTGGGAGGCCCAGGTGGGTGGATCACCTGAGGTCATGACTTCAAGGCCAACCTGGCCAATATGGCAAAACCCCATCTCTATTAAAAAAAAAACAAAACAAAAATTAGCCAGGCATGGTGGCGGGTGCCTGTAATCCCAGCTACTCAGGAGGCTGAGGCAGGGAAAATTGCTTGAACCTGGGAGGTGGAGGTTGCAGTGAGCCGAGATGGTGCCACTGCACTCTAGCCTGGATGACAGAGCAAGACAGTCTCAAAAAAAAAAAAAACAAAAAAAACGTAGCCGGGCCATGGTGCTGCATGCCTGTAGTCCCAGCCATTCAGGAGGCTAAAGCAGGAGGGCCAGTTGAGCCTGGGAGGTGGAGGCTACAGTGAGCTGTGATTGCACCACTGCCGTCCAGCCTGGGCAAGACAGCGAGATCCTGCCACAAAAAGAGAGAAAAAAAAAAAAAAAGCTTGGACTCTGGCCCCAGGCTGCCTGATTTGAGTCTCAGCTCTGTCACTTACTAGCTGTATATAACCTGGGCAACTCGCTTACCCACTCTGTGCCTCAGTTTCCTCATCTGTACATCAGGAATAATAGCTCCCATCATAGGGTTGTTGTGAGAATTATGTGAATGATATACATGTAAAGCACTTTATATCATACTTGGCACATTATGAAAACTATTTTTGTTATTGTTTGCAAAAAAAAAAACCTGTATTGTTTGCTGTTATTGCGATTCGATGAATGACAGTCATCAAATTCTTAGCAAAAGTGAAGTCAGAGAAAGCTTTAAATCAGCCAAATATTTTTTTAATCTCTCTAGTTTTCTCTGCACAAACCAAGACTCCTCTACTCATCCTATGAACAGTCAGCCTAGGCTTTTTTTTTTTTCTTTCTTTCTTTTGTTGAGACAAGGTCTTGCTCTGTTGCCCAGGATAGAGTAGAGTGGAACAATCACGGGTCACTGCAGCCTCAACCCACCACCTCAACCCCAGGTCTCAAGCCGTCCTCCTACCTCAGCCACCCCAGTAGCTGAGACTATAGGCAAGCACCACCGCATGTAGTGCTTTTTTTTTTTCTTTTTCTTTTTCTTTTTTGTAGAGATGGGTTCTCACTAGGTTGCCCAGGCTGGTCTTGAACTCCTGGGCTCAGGTGATCTACCTGCCTCAGCCTCCCCAAGTGCTGGGATTACAGGCATGAGCCACAGCTCCCGGGCCAGCATATGCTTTGATAAGGCTTTAGTGAAGATCATTCAACTAAACCACTGAGACAGCACATACCTTGAGCGCCTACTGTATGCCAGACCCTGGCTAGCTATGAGATTCACAGATGAAGCCCTGCTCCCTCCACCCTGCGGGCTCTCCCCATTCTGCAAGAGAGGCAGGCCAGTCACAAACAAGGAGAACAGTGAGTTAAGGGGACCCAGGCACTGTGAGGGCAAGAGGAGGTGCACCCCATTCTGCCCCAAACAACAGGGAGTGTCCCTAGAGCAGGTAACTGATCCAATACCCGTGAGGCAGGACCTGCAGCAGGAAGCGAACTCCAGAGACTTGCAGGACTTTTGGTCTTGGGCTGCAGCATGCAGGGGCTGGCAAACATGTTCTGAAAAGGACGAGCTCATCAGTATTTTAGGCTTTGCAGACCCCGCAGTCCCAAATGAATCAGCGTCGGCTAGGGGCGAATGACACTTTATTTACAAAAGCATGCGGAGGGCGGAACTCCGTCCGTGGGTCGGAGCTGATCCCTATTGCAGGGTTGGCCGACCCCTCCACAGATCAGTGGCATCCAGTCCTGGGGACGGCAGGAAGGCCGTGACGCCTGGAGGCAGGAGGCCTCGCTCATCACCCAGTGAAGGAACCGTGGCCTGAACCAGTGGTTCTCCGCTCAGGCTGTACCTGACAGTCACCCAGAGGGATCTGAAACTGCCTCATACCCCGGCCACCCCATCCAATTACATGTGAATTTCTGGACATGGGACTCTGGCATTGGTGCTTTTTACAGTACCCCAGGGGTTTCCAATTTCAGCCCACACTGAGAACCACTGGCAAAGTCTAAGGAAGTACAGGCAGGAATGTGGGAGGGAAACAAATTTAGACAGTACCATACTTGTGATGGCGCCGCTTAACAATTTATTATTATTATTGTTATTATTTTGAGACAGGGTCTTATTGTGTCACCTGAGCTGGAGTGCAGTGGCACAATCTTGTCTCACTGCAACCTCCGTTTCCCGGGTTCAAGTGATTCTCCTGCCTCCGTCTCGGGAGTAGCTAGGATTTCAGGCGCCCGCCACCACACCCAGCTAATTATTGTATTTTCAATAAAGAAGGGGTTTCACCATGTTGGCCAGGCTGGTCTTGAACTCCTGGCCTCAAGTGATCTGCCTGCCTCAGCCTCCCAAAGTGCTGGGACAGCAGGCATAAGCCACTATGCCTGGCCCACTTAACAATTTTTTGACTTTACGATGGGTTAGCAGGCAGTGTAACCCCATTGTAAGCTGGGAGCATCTATATTGGGAATTTTCGGAAGTACACAGCCCTATAAAACTGCTGGGATATGAGTAAGTAGATTTGAGGAAAGAATTAACCACATCATGCCCCCTTAACTGGGGGGGTTAAGTGTTCTCTCCCGCCTAGCTCTCAAAGGGCCTGGATCAGTGCCTACCACATGCTCATCCCCTGTTCTCCTTGTTCATAACTTGCCTCTCTCCTTCTCTCTCTCTCTTTCTCTTTCTAAAATTGTGGTAAAATATAATTATAAAATTGACCATTTTAGCCACTTTTTTTTTTTTTTGAGATGGAGTCTCACTCTGTTGTCCAGGCTGGAGTGCAGTGGCACAGTCTTGGCTCACTGCAGCCTCCACCTCCCGGGTTCAAGCAATTCTCCTGCCTCAGCCTCCCCAGTAGCTGGGATTACAGGTGCTCGCCATCACACCCAGGTAATTTTTGTAATTTTGGTAGAGACGTGGTTTCACCATGTTGGGCAGGCCGGTCTCAAACTCTCAACCTCAGGTGATCCACCTGCATCAGCGGACTTTTTCTCTTTTTAGGCAGGGTCTCACTCTATCACCCAGGCTGGAGTGCAGTGGTACAATCTCGGCTCACTGCAAAATCCCCCTCCCAGACTCAGGTGAGCCTCCCACCTCAGCCTCCTGAGTACCTGGGACTACAGGTGCACACCATGACACCTGGCTAATTTTCGTATTTTTTTTTGTTTTGTAGTGACAGGGTTTTCCCATGTTGCCCAGGCTGGTCTTGAACTCCTGACCTCAGGTGATCCACCAACTCAGCCTCCCAGAGTGCTGGGATTATAGGCGTGAGCCACCACGCCCAACATTTTAGCCACTTTAAAGTGTACAGTTCAGTGGCATTTAAGGATGTTCACATCGTGGTGCAACCGTCATCACCATCTATCTCCAGAACTATTTCATTTTCTCTGACTGAATCTCTGCACTTATTAAACACTAACTCCCCCATCTTCCTCCCTGCAGCCCCTGCAACTCCCATTCTACTTTCTGTCTCTATGAATTTGATTCTCTAGGGACCTCAGATAAGCAGAATCATACACAATTTGTCCTTTTGTGTTTGTCTTATTTCACTGAACCTAATGTCGTCAAGATGCATCCATGTTGTAGCATGGGCCAGAATTTCCTTCCTTTTTCAGGCTGAATACTATTCCACTATGTGGCTGGACCACATTTTGCCCATTCATCCATCTGTTGATGGACACTTGGGTTGATTCCACCTTTTGGCTATCGTAAATCACGCTGCTGTGAACATGGGTGTGCAAATCTCTCTTCAAGATTCTGTGGTCAATTCCTTTGATTCTATACCCAGAAGTGGAATTGCTAGATTTCTATACTTTTTCTTTTCTTTTTTTTTTCTTGAGACAGGATATCACTCTGTCACCCAGGCTGGAATGCAGTGGGGCAGACAGGATTCACTGCAGCTTCCACCTCCTGGCTCAAGCGATCCTCCAGCTTCAGCCTTCCAAGTAACTGGGATCACAGGTGCACACCACCATGCCTGGCTAATATATTTTTTTTTAATTTTTGAAGAGACGGGGTCTCACCATGTTGCCCAGGCCAGTTTTGAACTCCTGGAGTTAGGAGATCCTCCCATCTTGGCGTCCCAAAGTTGCTGGGATTACAGGCATGAGCCACCAAGCCCGGCTTTTGTTTAATTTTTGAGAAACCAGCCAGGTGCAGTGGCTCACGCCTGTAATCCCAGGACTTTGGGAGACTGAGGCAGCCAGATCACTTAAGGCCAGGAGTTTGAGACCAGCCTGGCTAACATGCTGAAATCCCATCTCTACTAAAAATACAAAAATTAGCCAGGCATGGTGGCGGGCATCTGTAGTTTCAGCAACTCGGGAGACTGACTCGGGAGGATTGCTTGAACCCGGTAGGCGGAGGTTGCAGTGAGCCGAGGTGGCACGACTGTCTACAGCCTGAGCAACAGAGCGAGACTCTGTCTAACAACAAAATTTTTTTTGAGGAAACTTGCCTGTCTTTCTTGCAGGAACGTGGCTTTATCTATGAATCCCTCCACAGCTGGTCATTCTCATGGCTCTTTCTGGCCTGTTTGCGCGTGGATTGGTGAGACCCTGTATGAAATTCAATGGCAACAAGAGGGTCATTCAGTGAACTCTTTTCTAGCACACTTTGACTTGGTGGCAGAGGAGAGCTCCAATTTGTATGGAGAACAATCCCTCAAAACTGTAGCCAGTACAACTAAAGAAACTCCAGGGCAGGGGTTGCTGGGTGGAGGTGAGAAGTTAAAAAGGAAATACATCTCAGGAGCAGAGGCGCAGGTAGGCCTGGAGCTTGTGTAAGACAGGTGCTGCTGCGGCCTAGGTGAGGAGAAGTTATGCCTGTCCGTACATGACCTACCTGCCCATTAGCAGACCTTCTTTAAGAAAAGAAAAGTATCTGGTCACGCACAGTTGCTCATGCCTGTAATCACAGCACTTTGGGCGGCGAAGACAGGTGGATCACCTGAGGTCAGGAGTATGAGATCAGCCTGACCAACATGGTGAAACCCAGTCTCTACTAAATACAAAAAATTAGCTAGGCATGGTGGTGGGCACTTGTAATCCCAGCTACTTGGGAGGCTGAGGTAGAAGAATCACTTGAACCCGGGAGGCAGAGGTTGCAGTGAGTTGAGATTGTGCCATTGCACTCCAGCCTGGGCAACAAGAGCGAAACTCCATCTCAAAAAAAAAAAAAAAGAGGTTTTTTTATTTTTATGAAATCAGTTTTTGGGCTATATTATTTTAAAAAAAATTAAATAGGATGAGTGTCATTCCCACCAATAAACACAATCAAATGGCTATAGGAGAATAACTGGAATCTGTAGTAAAAATGAGGGACAGAGACAGGCACAGAGGGGCTTATGCCTGTAATCCTAGCACTTTGGGAGGCCGAGGCAGGAGGATTGCTTGAGGCCAGAATTTTGAAATCGGCCTGGTCAACATAGTGAGATGGCAACTATACAAAAGAAAAATTAAAAAATTAACTGGACATGGTGGCATGTGCCTGTAGTCCCAGCTACTGGAGAGGCTGGAGCAGGAGAATCACATGAGCCCAGGGGAAACCTGGGCAAGATGGTGAGATCCCATCTCTAAAAAGAAAAAAAAAAATGAGGGATGACAAAACTCTTGCTTTCAAATACATTTTGTGGTGAATGAAATTGGGTTCCTGAAAGTGTGTGTTGAGCATCTCTGGGCCTGAAATGTGTGGATTCAAAGACCTTTATGAGCCCATCAGGCAAGAGGAGGAACAAAATGAGTACCAAGTAAGTTAGGGCAGATGGACTTCCTGGAACTGGGGTAAGCCTGACACCGCAGAAATGTGTGTGAGTTAAAATTAACGTTGGTAGTAAATGCCAGATTCTGATAGCAAAAAAAAAAAAAAAAAGTTAACTTTGGAATACAAAAGGATTTCAAAAGATTCAGAAGCCCACCCCGAAATATGCTGACAAAAATTAAAATATATGCATATTTAGCAAGGTATGAAATAGTTAAAAGAATAAATCAATAAAATATACATATATAGTAAAAAAAGCTTACAAAAGAGTATAAAATAGCACTTGGTTCAGCAGCATGTATACTAAAATTGGAATGACACAGAGATTAGTATGACCTCTGTAAAAATATGTATTTTTTTCTTTTATAAATTTTTTTAAAATTATACTTTAAGTTCTGGGGTACATGTGCAGAACATGCAGTTTTGTTTCATAGGTATACATGTGCCATGGTGGTTTCCTGCACCCTTCAACCCAACACCTACATTGGGTATTTTTCCTAATGTTATCACTCCCCTAGCCCCCTACCCCCAGACAAGCCCCGGTGTGTGATGTTCCTCTTTCTGTGTCCATGTGTTCTCATTGTTCAACTCCCACTTATGAGTGAGGACATGCGGTGTTTGGTTTTCTGTCGTTGTGATACTTTGCTGAGAATGATGGTTTCCAGCTTCATCCATGTCCCTGCTAAAGACATGAACTCATCCTTTTTATGGCTGCATAGTATTCCATGGTGTATATGTGCCACATTTTCTTTATCCTGTCTATCATTGATGGGCATTTGGATTGGTTCCAAGTCTTTGCTATTGTGAATAGTGCCTCAATAAACATAGTGTTCATGTATCTTTATAGTAGAATGATTTATAATCCTTTCAGTATATACCCAGCAGTAGGATTGCTGGGTCAAATGGTATTTATCCTTCTAGATCCTTGAGGAATCACCACACTGTCTCTCACAATGGTTTAACTAATTTACACTCCCACCAACAGCGTAAAAGCATTCTTATTTGTCCACATCCTCTCCAGCATCTGTTGTTTCCTGACTTTTTAATGATTGCCATTCTTACTGACATGAGATGGTATCTCATTGTGGGTTTGATTTGCATTTCTCTAATGACCAGTGATGATGAACATTTTTTCATTTGTCTGTTGGCTACATAAATATCTTCTTTTTAGAAGCATCTGTTCATAAACTTTGCCCACTTTTTGATGGGGTTGTTTTATTCTTGTAAATTTAAGTTTTTTGTAGATTCTGGGTATTAGCCCTTTGTCAGATGGATAGATTGCAAAAATTTTCTCCCACTCTGCAGGTTGCCTGTTCACTCTGGTGATAGTTCCTTTTGCTTGCAGAAGCTCTTTAGTTTAATTAGATCCCATTTGTCAAATTTGGCTTTTGTTGACAATGCTTTTGGTGTTTTAGACATGAAGTCTTTGCCCATGACTACGTCCTGAATGGTATTGCCTGGGTTTTCTTTTAGGATTTTTATGGTCCTAGGTCGTACATTTAAGTCAAGATCAATCTTGAGTTGATTTTTGTATAAGGTGTAAGGAAGGGGTCCAGTTTCAGTTTTCTGCATATGGCTACCCAGTTTTCCCAGCACTGTTTATTAAATAGGGAATATTTTCCCCATTGATTGTTTGTGTCTGGTTTGTCAAAGATCAGATGGTTGTAGTTGTGTGGTATTGTTTCTGAGGCCTCTGTTCTGTTCCATTGGTCTATATATCTGTGTTGGTACCAGTACCATGCTGTTTTGGTTACTGTAGCCTTGTAGTATAGTTTGAAGTCAGATAGCGTGATGCCTCCAGCTTTGTTCTTGCCCAGGATTGTCTTGGCTATGCAGGCTCTTTTTTGGTTCCATGTGAAGTTTAAAGTAGTCTTTTCCCAATTCTATGAAGAAAGGCAGTGGTAGCTTGATGGGGATAGCATTGAATCTATAAATTACTTAGGGAAATATGGCCATTTTCACAATATTGATTCTTCCTCTCCATGAGCATGGAATGTTTTTTGATTCATTTGTGTCCTCTCTTATTTCCTTGAGCAGTGGTTTGCAGTTCTCCTTGAAGAGGTGCTTTACATCCCTTGTAAGTTGTATTCCTAGGTATTTTATTCTCTTTGTA
Organism: Homo sapiens; assembly: GCF_000001405.40. Classification (NCBI taxonomy): domain Eukaryota; kingdom Metazoa; phylum Chordata; class Mammalia; order Primates; family Hominidae; genus Homo; species Homo sapiens. The sequence continues at coordinate 3,528,332 of NW_018654717.1, forward strand.
GCAATTGTGAATGGGATTTCACTCCTGATTTGGCTTTCTGTTTGTCTGTTGTTGATGTATAGGAATGCTTGTGATTTTTGCACATTGATTTTGTATCCTGAGACTTTGCTGAAGTTGCTTATCAGCTTAAGGAGATTTAGGGCTGAGACAATGGGGTTTTCTAAATATACAGTCATGTCATCTGCAAACAGAGACAATTTGACTTCATCTTTTCCTATTTGAGTACCCTTTATTTCTTTCTCTTGCCCGATTGCCCTGGCGAGAACTTCCAATACTATGTTGAATAGGAGTGGTGAGAGAGGGCATGTCTTGTGCTGGTTTTCAAAGGGAATGCTTCTAGTTTTTGCCCATTCAGTATGGTATTGGCTGTGTGTTTGTCATACATAGCTCTTATTATTTTGAGATACGTTTCATTGATATCTAGTTTATTGAGAGTTTTTAGCATGAAGAGGCGTTGAATTTTGTTGAAGGACTTTTCTGCATCTATTGAGATAATCATGTGGTTTTTGTCATTGCTTCTGTTTATGTGGTAGATTACTTTTATTAATTTGCATATGTTGAACCAGCCTTGCATCCAAGGTATGAAGCCAACTTGATCGTGGTGGATAAGCTTTTTGATGTGCAGCTGGATTCAGTTTCCCAGTATTTTATTGAGGATTTTCGCATCAATGTTCATCAGGGATATTGGCCTGAAATTTTCATTTTTTGTTGTGTCTCTGCCAGGTTTTGGTGTCAGGATGGTGCTGGCCTCATGAAATGAGTTAGGGAGGATTCCCTCTTTTTCTGTTATTTGGCATAGTTTCAGAAGGAATGGTACCAGCTCCTCTTTATACCTCTGGTAGAATTTGGCTGTGAATCCATCTGGTCCTGGACTTTTTTTTTGTTGATAGTTTATTAATTACTGCCTCAATTTCAGAATTTGTTATTGGTTTATTCAGGGATTCAACTTATTCCTAATTTAGACTTGGGAGGGTATGTGTGTCCATGAATTTATCAATTTCTTCTAGATTTTCTAGTTTATTAGTGTTTATAGTATTCTCTGATGGTAGTTTTTATTTCTGTGGGATCAGTGGTGATATCTCCTTTATCATTTTTTATTACATCTATTTGATTCTTCTCTCTTGTCTTCTTTATTATTCTGGCTAGCGGTCTATCTATTTTGTTGATCTTTTCTAAAAACCAGCTCCTGGATTCATTAATTTTTTGAAGGGTTTTTCTAGTCTCTATTTCCTTCAGTTCTGCTCTCTTCTTAGTTATTTCTTGTCTTCTGCTAGATTTTGAATTTATTTGCTGTTGCTTCTCTAGTTCTTGTAATTTTGATGTTAGGGTGTCAATTTTAGATCTTTCCTGCTTTCTCTTGTGGGCATTTAGTGCTATAAATTTCTCTCTACACACTGCTTTAAATGTGTCCCAGAGATTCTGGTATGTTGTGTCTTCATTCTCATTGGTTTCAAAGAACATTTTTATTTTCGCATTAATTTTGTTATTTACCCAGTAGTCATTCAGGAGTAGGTTATTCAGTTTCCATGTAGTTGTGCGATTTTGAGTGAGTTTCTTAATCCTGAGTTCTAATTTGATTACCCTGTGGTCTGAGAGACTATTTGTTATGATTTCCATTATTTTGCATTTGCTTAGGAGTGTTTACTTCCAATTATGTGGTGAATTTTAGAATAAGTGCAATGTGGTGCTGAGAAGAATGTATATTCTGTTGATTTGGGGTGGAGAGTTCTGTAGGTGTCTGTTAGGTCTGCTTGGTCCAGAGGTGAGTTAAAGTCCTGAATATCCTTGTTAATTTTCTGTCTCATTGATCTGCCTAATATTAACAGTGGGGTGTTAAAGTCTCCCACTATTATTGTGTGGGAGTCTAAGTCTCTTTGTCGGTCTCTAAGAACTTACTTTATGAATCTGGGTGCTCCTGTATGGGGTACATATATATTTAGGATAGTTAGCAATTCTTGCTGCATTGATCCATTTACCATTATGTAATGGCCTTCTTTGTCTCTTTTGATCTTTGTTGGTTTAAAGTCTGTTTGATCAGAGATTAGGATTGCAACTCCTGCTTTTGTTTGCTTTCCATTTGCTTGGTAAATATTCCTCCATCCCTTTATTTTGAGCCTTTGTGTGTCTTTGCACATGAGATGGGTCTCCTGAATACAGCACACTGATGGGTCTATACTCTTGATCCAATTTGCCAGTCTGTGTCTTTTAATTGAGGCATTTAGCCCATTTACATTTAAGGTTAATATTGTTATGTGTTAATTTCATCCTGTCAGAATGATCCTAGCTGGTTGTTTTGCCTGTTTGTTTTTTTTTTATTGTTTTTTTTTAAATTATTATTATACTTTAAGTTTTAGGGTACATGTGCACAATGTGCAAGTTAGTTACCTATGTATACATGTGCCATGCTGGTGCACTGCACCCACTGACTCGTCATCTAGCATTAGGTATATCTCCCAATGCTATCCCTCCCCGCTCACCCCACCCACAACAGTCCCCAGAGCCTTTTTGTTGATGGAGTTTCTTCATAGTGTCGATGGTCTTTACAATTTGGTATGTTTTTGCAGTGGCTGGTACCGGTTTTTCTTTCCACGTTTACTGCTTCTTTCAGGAGCTCTTGTAAGGCAGGCCTTGTGGTGACAAAATCTCTCAGCATTTGCTTGTCTGTAAAGGATTTTATTTCTCCTTCACTTATGAAGCTTAGTTTGGCTGGATATGAAATTCTGGGTTAAAAATTCTTTTCTTTAAGAATGTTGAGTATTGGCCCCCACTCTCTTCTGGCTTGTAGGGTTTCTGCAGAGAGATCCACTCTTAGTCTGATGGGCTTCCCTTTGTGGGTAACCCAACCTTTCTCTCTGGCTGCCCTTAATATTTTTTCCTTCATTTCAACCTTGGTAAATCTGATGATTATGTGTCTTGGGGTTGCTCTTCTTGAGGAGTATCTTTGTGGTGTTCTCTGTATTTCCTGAATTTGAATGTTGGCCTGTCTTGCTAGGTTGGGGAAGTTCTCCTGGATAATATCCTGAGGAGTGTTTTCCAACTTGGTTCCATTCTCCTCATAACTTTTAGGTACACTAATCAAACATAGATTTGGTTTTTTCACATAGTCCTATGTTTCTTGGAGGCTTTGTTCATTTTTATTCCTTTTTCTCTAGTCTTGTCTTCTCTCTTTATTTCATTAAGTTGATCTTCAATCACTGATATCCTTTTTTCTGCTTGATCGATTTGGCTATTGAAACTTGTGTATGCTTCATGAAGTTCTCGTGTTGTGTTTTTCAGCTCCATCAGGTCATCTATGTTCTTCTCTACACTGGTTATTCTAGCTAGCAATTCATCTTACCGTTTTTCAAGGTTCTTAGCTTCCTTGCATTGGGTTAGCACATGGTCCTTTAGCTCGGAGGAGTTTGTTATTACCCACCTTCTGAAGCCTGCTTCTGTCAATTCATCTAATTCATTCTCCATCCAGTTTTGTTCCCTTGCTGCTGAGGAGCTGTGATCCTTTGGAGGAGAAAAGGCATTCTGGTTGTTGAATTTATCAGCTTTTTGCACTGGTTTCTCCCTATCTTTGTGGATTTATCTACCTTTGGTCTTTGATGTTGGTGACCTTCGGATGGGGTCTTTGAGTGGACCTGCTGTTCCTTTTTGTTTGTTAGTTTTCCTTCTAACAGTCAGACCCCTCTGCAGCCAGTCTGCTGTAGTTTGCTGGATGTCCACTCCCGACCCTATTTGCCTGGCTATCACCAGTGGAGGCTGCAGAACAGTAAAGATTGCTGCCTGATCTTTCCTCTGGAAGATTCGTCCCAGAGGATCACCTGCCAGATGCCAGCCAGAGCTCTTCTGTATGAGGTGTCTGTCAGCCCCTACTTGGAGGTGTCTCCCAGTCAGGATACACAGGGGTCAGGGACCCACTTGAGGAGGCAGTCTGACCCTTAGCAGCACTCAAACGCTGTGCTGGGAGGTCTGCTGCTCTCTTCAGAGCTGTCAGGCAGGGACCTTTAAGTCTGATGAAGCTGTGCTCACTGCCTCCCCTTTCCCCAGGTGCTTTGTCCCAGGGAAATGGGGGTTTATCTGTAAGTCCCGCCTGGGGCTGCTGCCTTTTTTTCAGAGATGCCCTGACCAGAGAGAAGAGAAATCTGGGTCTGGCCACAGCAGTCTTGGTAAGCTGCAGTGGGTTCCACCCAGTTCTAACTTCCCAGCAGCTTTGTTCGCACTGTGAGCGTAAAACCACCTACTGAAGCCTCAGCGATGGCAGATGCCCTGCCCCCTGCCAAGCTCAGATGTCCTGGGTCAATCTCAGACTGCTGCTGTGCTGGCAGCAAGAATTTCAAGCCAGTAGATCTTAGTTTGCTGGGTTCCTCAGGGGGTGGGACCCGCCAACCCAGACCACTTGGCTCCCTGGCTTCAGTACCCCTTTCTAGGGAAGTGAAGGGTTCTGTCTCCCTGACGTTCCAGGGGCCACTGGGGTATGGGAAAAAAGAACTGCAGCTAGTGTCTGCCCAAATGGCCACCCAGTTTTGTGCTTGAAACCCAGGGCCTTGGTGGGGTAGGCAGTGGAGGGAATCTCCTGGTTTGCAGGTTGCAAAGACCATGGGACAAGCTCAGTATCTGTGCTGGAGGTCCTCAGGCTCAGTCCCTCACGGCTTCTCTTGGGTAGGGGAGAAAATTCCCCGACCCCTTGCGCTTCCCAGGTGAGTCGACGCCCCACCCTGCTTCAACTCGCCCTCCATGCACTGCACCCACTGTCCAACTGGTTCCAGTAAGATGAACCAGGTACCTCAGTTGGAAATGCCCACCTTCTGCGTCAATCTTGCTGGGAGCTGCAGACCAGAGCTATTCCTATTTGACCATCTTGCCAGCAATTCTCATCAAAAATATCTTTTTAAGTTTAAAATAAGAGGAGTTTTTTTCTTTGTCAAACTCTCCCTGGTATATCTTTCTAGAAAACACCATTTATGTATGCCAGTTTATTTACATGTACTATTTTTTGTATTTGCATAAAAATATTATACACACTATTCTGTACCACCTTAGAGCTTTTTGTTAATTTGTGGGGTTTTTTGCTTTGTTTTTAACTCAAGAGAGAAAAAAAAAGTAGCAAGAGAAGAACATGAACAATTAAGGCAGGAAAAGGGCAGAGTTCCATGAATTCAAATGCTGTTCATAGGATTCCACTAAACTTTTATTTTAACACAACTTTTTTATCAAAACATCCCTTGAGCAATTAAAAGTGTCAGCACCTACAGCTGGGGCAGAGGATGGCGAAGACAAAGGTCACCAGTAGCTTCAAATTTCTCACAAGCACGTTAGATATGAACACAATGTCAGCAGGCTCAAGCATCTCACCCATCACACGGGATGAGAAAAGAAAAACTACTCATGAACTGTGTTTAAATGGCCTCTTGGCAGCATTCCCACTCTTCTTGTGACTAAAGGAGAGAAGAAATACCATTGAAATACTATCTGACAGGGTGCCTCACACCTGTAATCCCAACACTTTGGGAGGCCAAGGCAGGAGGATTACTTGAGCCCAGGAATTGGAGACCAGCCTGGGCAACATGGCGAAACCCCATCTCTACAAAAAATGTAAGAATCAACCAGGCATGGTGGCTCACACCTGTGGTCCTAGCTACTCAGGAGGCTGAAGTGGGAGAATTGTTTGAGCCCAGGAGGCAGAGGTTGCAGTGAGCCAAGATCATGCCACTGCACTCCAGCCTGGGTGACACAGCCAGCCCCTGTCTTGAAAGAAGAAAGAGAAAAGGAAAAGAGGAAGGAGAGGAGAGGGGAGAGGAGAGGAGAGAGGAGGGGAGAGGAGAGGGGAGGGGAGAGGAGAGGGGAGAGGAGAGGAGAAGGGAGAGGAGAGGAGAGGGGAGGGGAGAGGAGGGGAAGGGCATCTGTATTGCTAGTGTTTCCAGAAGAACATTGTCGAGCGTGCTCTGACTTTCCGCCTCTTTGGACAGCCATGCGGGGAGAAGCACAGATTCAACATGGCCTTCGTGGGGTTGTTCATGTCTTCCTAGCTTTTCACAGTACCTTTGTGAACGTAAAAGTCCTCTTGCAGTGGGAATGGAAATAGTTATAAAAGAAAATCGTCCAGAAAATGTGCGGTTACAGTTGCCAGGCATTTGCCTAAAGTACGTCTCCAAGTTCTCTATATTGGGACGGCCGCTGCAGGTGAAGGTATTAAATATACTGTATTTGTTTTTCAAGATTCCCCACAACCTTGAATTTCAGGAGAAGAAATTCTGCTCAATCCTTGTCAAAAGTATATCATTCTGTTTTTCTTCCTAGTGTTTTTTTTTTTTTTTTTTTTTGAGATGGAGTCTTGCTCTGTTGCCCAGGCTGGAGTGCAGTGGTACGATCTTAGCTCACTGCAACCTTTGTCTCCCGGGTTCAAGCGATTCTCCTGCCTCAGCCTCCCAAGTAGCTGGGATTATAGGCATGTGCCACCACACCTGGCTAATTTTTGTATTTTTAGAAGAGGAGGGATTTTCACCATGTTGGACCAGGCTGGTCTCAAATTTCTGACCTCAGGTGATCTCCCTGCCTTGGCCTCCCAAAATGCTGGGATTACAGGTGTGAGCCACAGCTCCTGTAATCCCAGCCCAGCCTTAGTTTTTATTTTTATTTTTCCCTTGAGACAGGGTCTCACTCTGTTGTCCAGGCCAGAGTGCAGTGGTGAAATCTTGGCTCACTGTACCCTCAAACTTCTGGCCTCAAGCAGTGCTTCCACTCAGCCTCCCAAGTAGCTGGGACCACAGACACATGCCACCATGCCCAGTTAATTTTTTTTATTTTTTGTAGAGAGGGAGACTCACCGTGTTGCCCAGGCTGGTCTCAAACTCCTGGACTCATATGATTCTACCTCCTTGGCCTCCCAAAGTGCTGAAATTACAGGCTTGAGCCACTGCACACAGCCAGTTTTTTTTTTTTAATTATTATTTTCCTTTTGGTTTTTTAAAATAGAGATGGGGCAGGGCACAATGGCTCACGCCTGTAATACTACCACTTTGGGAGGCTGAGGTGGGTGGATTGCTTGAGACCAGGAGTTTGAAACCAGCCTGGCCAACATGGTGAAACCCCGTTTCCACTAAAATACAAAAATTAGCCAGGCATGTTGGTGGCACATGCCTGTAATCCCAGCTACTCAGGAGGCAGGAGAGTCGCTTGAGCCTGGGAGGTGGAAGTCACAGTGAGGCAAGATTGCTGCTGCACTCGAGCCTGGGCAATAGGGCAAGACTCTTTCTCAAAAATAAAATAAAATATAGACAAGGTCTCGCTATATTGCCCAGGCTGGTCTCGAACTCCTGACCTCAAGCATCCTCCTGTCTCAGCCTCCCAAAGTGCTAGGATTATAGGTGTGAGCCACCATGCCCAGCCCTTCCTTTCTTCCCAGTTTCTAGAACCATGCATTCAGGATCACCTTTGCCTACTTGGTTATAAAAGCTAAAATATAAGAAACTCGTACATTTTATTCAACAATCATTTTAGGAAGCACCTACTGGGAAAACAGATCTCTTGGAAATACAGGGATGCGATGTCTGCCTCCGCCCTCAAGGGAAGGCTCACTGCCAGCTGAGCCAAAAGACTTGTCCTGTCCTTGTCCTCAGCAAATGCCACCTCCAAGTTGTTCAAGCCCAAAACCCCGAGGCTACAACCTGGAGAAACCCTGAGGACATTATGTTACGTGGAACAAGCCAGTCACAAAAGGACAAATGGACAAATGACTCCACTTATGTGAGGTCCCAAGAGAAGTCAAATTCCTGGAGACAGGAGTGGTGGCTCCCAGGGACTGGGATGGGGATGAGGAAGACAGAGCTTCAGTTGGCGAAGATGGGAAAGTTCTGGAGAGGGATGTGACACTGGCTGCACAGCAGCATGGATGCACTTACCGCCTCTGCGTTGCACACTTGAACACAGTTGAGCTGGTGAATTTTGTCTTTTCATCCAGCAGTTGCCTCAGCATGAAGTTCCATCAGCTCTACCTTCAAAGCATGCCGAGTCTGTCCTGCAGACTCTGGCCAAGCAGTGGATGAAAGGAGCATGCTGACACAGGTATTTTGTCTGACAGCGTGGCGAGGGGACTGCACAGCTCAGCACTGCTGACGAGAGTCCTGTAGCTACGGAGAGAATGCAGCTCCCATAAGCTGGCCTTGCTCGCATTTATTTAGTACAGATTTAATGACAAAGGCTTGGAGCAAACACAATTTGTGGATAATAAATATTGTTGACTCCCCAAGTAGAGAGCAGTCCTGCACACGAATGATCAAAGGTTGGTTTCTGGAGACAGGAGTAAACAAATTTATCTAGATATGTTCCTTTACATTCCCTTGTTATCTACCCTTTGCTCTCAGGCTCCAGATAAGAGAATTTGGCTGCCTTCAGCCAAATTTTCTTTCAAAGCTTTTGCAAAACCTCCCAGCCTTCCAAGAAGGTTTGTGTCTTTCCCTGCAACTTTTTCTTACAACTTTCCCCACCACCCTGACTAACTCCTACATCCCCCCCTTTTCTGTTTTTTGCATCAGGTTTTGTTGATTGGAGAGTACAGATGAGTGCAGCAAACCAGTTTGTCTGGCGTGGCAGTTACTGCTCATATTCTGGCTTTGCATCCTAGAATTAGTAAATAACATAAGACAAACATTAGTATAATCTGTAACATTCTTTTCCAATCAAGGAGTGACCCCCAGGAGTGGGAGTCTATCCAGGAGAGATGTTCTTGCACATCCTGCCATATGGCTGTTTGTTGGGCTTGTAGATCTATGGCATTTAGGGATTGTAGAATTTTAGTTTTAAGTTGACTTATGTCTGCTCTGAAATTATCATGTAAGATTCCCCGAGGGGTTGTTTCACCTCATCCCAACTACACATCGATTGATTCCAAGGTGACACAGATGTGCTTATGCTCCCAGTCCCAGTTTCATTGCTGTCGGAATGCCAGTGCATCTTGCCACTCCCCTACGTATTCCGAGGCAGCATCAAGGGTTCGAAGGCATGCGAGAGTCTTTTCATCTATACCCTGCTGTAAGAGAAGTTGATTAGACACATTTTTGGCCAAGTTATCTACAAAGGTAGCTGTTTGTACTGATTCAGTAATAGAGGCCACAGCAACACTAGCAGTTGCCAAGATGACTATGGCTGAGACTATAAAGGCTATAAGTGTGCCTATGAGTCTTTTGGGTCTGACCTGGGACAGGGCACCTTCTAAGGCGGCAAAGGCAGAGAAGCCTTGCCAATTGCGTGTCAAATTCACAGGTAAGAATGCCTCAGATTTACTCCTTAATACCATGACACTAGTAATATTTAAATTAGATATATTGTAATTAGTATTACATGAGACGAACCAAGCCTGTCCCTGCACTCTAGTCAGAAACGTGGAGTTTAGGGGTGTAATGGAAATATTAGTTCCCATAAGGAAACCATATGGATGGGTAGTGCAAATCAGGCACTGATCTGTGTGATCATGAATAACAGTCATGGTATAGGAGCAACTATACTATGGGAGGTACTAAGATGTCCCAGGAGCCATAAAGTGTCTTGGGGTGGCATGGGCTTTACTTGGGGCCTGGGATATCCCATCCCCCAATCAGTGCAAATCATAGAGGAATGGGACGTGGCTATGAAACTGTGATTGATGCTGTGATAGATGTGGACATGAGTATGGTCGCCCCACAAATGGCAGTGGGGGCTCCAGTCTAAGATGTTATAATTGCCTAAATGGAGGCCACAGGCTTGTCCCCCATGACAGACCTCCCAGCCAAAGTGGAATCCATTACTTTGCCAGCTATGTTCTTTAGCACAGGAAGGAAGGTTGGGGAAAGTGGCATTGTTTGCATTGCCTGGTTTGAGGCTACCTGTAACCAAGAACCTTAAGGCATTTCCTTTGCCATGATGTAGCCACAATTGTGATTGTGTAGGTACACAGTAAGGGTTAGAAATTTTATAACTTACACACGGTGGGAGGATAGTGGAGTGATATATAGTGTTACTTGGCACCTTAGTGCAATGTGTGCCATTAATGAGGGATCCCACTGGGGGTAAGTCAGTCCCTCCTTGCCAAGCAGTTACATTATTAGAGGCTGGGAAGGGGTGTCTGCCCAAGTAACAGGGAAGAACTTTTTCAGGTGCTATGATTTGCGGGTGCTAAGGATCTAAGAGATGTGTCCAATAGAGAGTAACAGGTGCAGATTGCAGGCAGAACAATGGCATAAAAAGGATCAATACCCTATGTGAGTTGCAATGTACAACAGAGAGCATAGCAAGGAATAAATTATCTGGAGTGACTGGTGTCTGTGTCCGGAGCAGGATTCACTCAGCCTCCTGAGTTGTCTTCTTTAGCATCCCCCAGGTAATGTCTGGGGCTTGTGTCATCCCAGGAAGCCGCATCGTCCAGTGTTGCGGGTCCTGCAGGGTCATTCCCTTCATTTCTTGTGCCAGGTTGGGTCCTAGCCACGCCATGGTAAGGTTTGATGCCTCATGCTGGAATCCAAAGAGGACCTGAGGGGGTGTGAGCACAAGCATATCCTCTTCCCCACATTAACAAATCATTTGGACCACAGCATACATTACTGTTTACATCTTTCCATAAAACTGCGGGTCTTATGTCTTGAGAGGTTTTAGCAAAGTGCTTTTCTATAGCTGATTGAAATTTATCATTTAAATTTAAGAAATTAAGGGTAAATAAGGCTTATGCTAGTAGTGTTGCAGGGTTCTTACTCATATTCCCCTTTTTTGTTTTCGAGCCTATTTTTAAGAGTGGAATGGACATGTTCTACTATGGCCTGTCTTTGGGGGTTATATGGGATGCCTGTGAAATGTTGGATGTTCCACATGTGACAAAATTGTTGAAATAGTGAGCTGGCATATGCCAGACCATTATCAGTTTTAATTTTTGTAGGCTGCCTCATAAATGCAGAAGTTAAGGGAAGATGTTTAATAACATATTGGGTGGACTCTCCAGGAAGAGCATGTGTGCTAATTAGGTGAGAATTGGTATCAATGGATACATGTACATATTTAAGTTTTTCAAATTCAGGGACGTGTGTAACATCTGTTTGCCATAACTGATTAGGTTCTAGTCTTCTAGGGTTAATGCCTGTTGAAGGAGGGTGTCACACACATCCATGTGAAGAGACCACCAAACAGGCTTTGTGTGAGCAGTAAAGCTTTTTAATCACCTGGGTGCAGGTGGGCTGAGTCCGAAAAGAGAGTCAGCAAAGAGAGTTAGGGGTGGGGCAGTTTTATAGGATTTGGGTAGGTAGTGGAAAATTACAGTCAAAGGGAGTTGTTCTTTTGCAGGCAGGGGCAGGGGTCACAAGGTGCTCAGTGGGAGAGATTCTGAGCTGGGAGAAGGAGTTTCACCAGGTAATGTCATCAGTTAAGTCAGGAACTGGCCATTTTTACTTCTTTTGTGATTCTTCAGTTGCTTTAGGCTATCTGGATGTATACATACAGGCTTGGGTTCAGAGGCCTGACATTCCTGTCTTCTTATATTAATAAAAAAAAATAATGTTGAAGTGTTGGGGCAGCAAAAATTTTTTGGGGGTGGTATGGAGAGATAATGGGTGATGTTTCTCAGGGCTGTTTCAAGTGGGATTAGGGGCAGCATGGGAACCTAGAGTGGGAGAGATTAAGCTGAAGGAAGATTTTGTGGTAAGAGGTGATATTGTGAGGTTGTTAGAAGGAATATTTGTCATATACAATGACAGGTGATGGCCTGGATATGGCTTTGTATGAATTGACAAACTAAACAGAAGACACAAGGTCCCAGTAAGAGGAGAAAAACAGGTATTGAAGGACTAAGAATTGAGAGGACCAAGGATATCCAATCAGAGTGCCTAAAGGGGTTTAGTGTGATTATTTGCTTGGTTGGCAAGTTTTTGGGCTCTATCCTTGAGTTTTTTTATGTTGTCATATGTCAGTCCAGATTGATAAAAACAACACTCTTCATTTAAAAATATAGCGAGTCTCCTTTTTTTTTTTTTTTTTTTAGCAGTGAGTAAGTTGAGGCCTCGGCGATTTTGGAGGAAAGAGAAATGCAAAGACAAGAATTGTTTGTTAAAGAAGGATTAGAAATGGCTAGGAGAGAGTGAGTGAGATTGACAGTGTGGTGGAGATAGCTGGGGAGAGGTAGAGAGTGGTATAAGAACGGGAACGAGAGTAAGAGTGAGTATAAAAGTAAAGAATAGGAATTCATCAGGGTGAAAGTATTGGAGTACACTTTTTGGAGTATTGGTGAAGATTGCCAGTGAAGATCTTCTTTTTTTTTTTTTTTTTTTTTTTTTTTTTTTTTGAGACGGAGTCTCGCTCTGTCGCCCAGGCCGGACTGCGGACTGCAGTGGCGCAATCTCGGCTCACTGCAAGCTCCGCTTCCCGGGTTCACGCCATTCTCCTGCCTCAGCCTCCCGAGTAGCTGGGACTACAGGCGCCCGCCACCACGCCCGGCTAATTTTTTGTATTTTTAGTAGAGACGGGGTTTCACCTTGTTAGCCAGGATGGTCTCGATCTCCTGACCTCATGATCCACCCGCCTCGGCCTCCCAAAGTGCTGGGATTACAGGCGTGAGCCACCGCGCCCGGCCGCCAGTGAAGATCTTCTATCCACTTCAAGAGAGACCTAAGGGTGGTGGTTTGAGGTAAAACCAGGAGCCACTAAATACCAAGAGCCTGAGAAACTGCTTGGGTGACTTGATTAATAAAGGCCAGTCTGTTATCGGACTGTATAGAGGTGGGAAGTCCAAACTGAGGAATTATGTCTGACAGAAGAGAAGAAATGACCACAGTGGCCTTCTCAGACTCTGTGGGAAAGACCTGTACCCATCCAGTGAAAGTGCCTACCCAGACCAAGAGGTATTTTAGTTTCCTGACTCAGGGCATGTGAGTAAAGTTAATTTGCCAGTCCTGGGCAGGGGCAAATCTCTGAGCTTGATGTGTAGGGAAGGGAAGGGGCCTGAACAATCCCTGAGGAGTAGTAGAACAACATATGGAACACTGAGAAGTGATTTTTTGAGGATAGATTTCCATGATGGAAATGAGAGGTTTTAAGAGGTGGGCCAGAGGCTTGTAACCTACATGGAAGAGGTTATGAAATGACAACAGAATAGAATGGGCCTGTGAGGCTGGAAGGAGATATTTTCCTTGGTCCAAGAACCATTTGCCTTGTGTGGAAAGAGATTGATAGGGGGAAGTTTCAGTGGGGGAGTGGGTGGAAGTGACTGATGAGAAGGAGAAAAACTTGCCATGAGGGAAAGAAATTGAAATGCTAGCTGCTTCTTTAGCTACCTTATCAGCATAAGCGTTGCCCTGAGCGATGGGATCTGATGCCTTTTGATGGCCCTTGCAGTGAATGACTCCAGCTTCCTTTTGGAAGTAAAGCGGCCTTGAGAAGAGTTTTTATTAAAGAGACATTAATGAGGGAGGACCCTTACGTAGTGAGGAAACCTCTCAGCCCATATAATAGCACGGTGGTGCAGGATATGGAAGGCATATTTAGAATCAGTATGAATATTGACACGTAGTCCTTTTGCAAGAGTGAGGGCCTGAGTTGAGGCAATGAGTTTGGCTTGCTGAGAGGTAGTGGGGTGGGGCAGAGCGGTAGATGTGGAAGATACTATAGCATAGCCTGCCTTTGCTGGTGAGTGGCAATTAGGCCTGGTGGAACTGCCATCAATAAACCAAGTGTGATCAGGGTGAGGAACAGGGAAGAAGGAAATATGGGGAAATGGAGTGAATGTCAGGTGGATCAGAGACATATAGTCACGGGGGTCAGGTGTGGTATCAGGAATAATGTGGGGGGCCAGACTGAAACAGTAAAGTTAAGTTGTTTGGACAGAAAGGCTACAGGCTGCAGTCCTGGTTCTTGTGTAAGAAATGCCACCACACAGCCCTGTACTTCAGCTGTGTTTAATGAAAAAGGGTTGGGATGAGTTAGGGAGAGCTAGTGTGGGAACAGCTTCTAGGGCTGTTTTTAAGGAACAGAAAGGCAAGTGGGGAAAGGATTTAGGATCTATGGGGTCAGCTAGGTTTCCTTTTGTGAGTTTATATAATGGTTTTGTTAGCATGGCAAAGCCAGGTATCCAAAGATGAAAGTATATCTGACCATGCCCAGGAAGGAAAGGAGTTGTTGCTTTGCAGAAGGGGTTGGGTTTGGGAAATTAGCCAGACATGATCAGCATGGAGAGTACGTGTGTTTTTATGAAGAATTATGCTGAGATAGGTAATGGATGTGGAAGAAATTTGGGCTTTGATGGGGGATACGTGATATCCTTTTGAGAACAGATGTTGGAGGAGCAGGAGGGTGTCCTGTTGGGAAGATTTGTAGGAGGGGTTCTAAAGTAGAAGGTTGTCAAAATATTCAATAAGGTGAGAAGCAGATGGACGGAAAGAAAGTAAATCACAAGGAAGTGCTTGACTGAAGTAATGGGGGCTGTCCCTGAAGGCTTGTGGCAGTACAGCCCAGGTAAGTTGCTGAGGCTGATGGGTGTCAGGGTCAGTCCAGGTAAAAGGAAAGAGAGGCTGGGATGAGGGGTGCAGGGGAATAGTGAAGAAAGCATCTTTAAGATCAAGAATGGAATAGTGAGTTGTGGAGGAAGGTATCGAGGACAGGAGAGTATATGGGTTTGGCACAGTGGGGTGGATAGGTAAAACAATTTGGTTGGTAAGGCACAAATCCTGAACTAACCTGTAAGACTTGTCCGGTATTTGGACGGGGAAAATGGGGGAATTGTAAGGAGAGTTTATAGGCTTTAGAAGCCCATGCTGTAGCAGGCGAGTGATAACAGGCTTCAATCCCCTTAGAGCATGGTGAGGGATGAGATACTGGTGTTGAGCAGGGTAAGGGTGATTAGGTTTTAATGGGATAGTAATGGGCATATCATCGGTTGCCAGGGAGGGAGTAGAGGTGTCCCATACTTGTGGGTTAAGGTGGGGGGATACAAGAGGAAGACGCAAAGGAGGCTTTGGGTTGGGGAGAATGGTGGCAATGAGATGTGGCTGTAGTCCAGGAATAGTCAGGGAAGCAAATAATTTGGTTAATATGTTTCAGCCTAACAAGGGAACTGGGCAGATGGGGATAACTAAAAAGGAGTACATAAAAGAATGTTGTCTAAGTTGGCACCAGAGTGAGGGAGTTTTAAGGGGTTTTGGAGCTTGGCCGTCAATACCCACAACAGTTGTGGGGGCAAAGGAAACAGGCCCTTGAAAGGAAGGTAATGAAAAGTGGGTAGCCCCTGTATCGATTAAACAGGGGATGGACTTACCCTCCCCTGTAAGAGTTACCCGAAGCTTGGCGTCCATGATGGTCCACGGGGCTTCCGAGGCGATCGGCCAGCATCAGTCTTCAGCTGCTAAGCTGAGGAGATCTGGGAAGGAGTCGGCCAAGGAATGTTGGGTTTCAGCCCCAGAAGTTTTAGGAGTGGCGGTGATGTGAGTTGGACAGTCCAACCTCCAGTAGGGGCCCACACAGACAGGGCACAGCTTAGGAGGAATCCTGGGCTGTGGCATCCTGAGGCCCAGTGGCCAGGCTTTTGGCATCTGAAGCAAGGTCCACGAGGAAGTTTTGAAGGAGCCCCGGGAGCTGTGGCTTGGATGTTCTGAAGTTCTTGTATGCTGGAGACGTGGTTGTGGGTTGTCTTACAGGGGTGGCAAGTAGCTGTAACTCAGAGATGCGTTGTCATTTGGCTGCCTCCTCTCTATTATTGAACATCTTGAAGGCGAGGTTGATTAATTCCTGTTGTGGGGTTTGAGGGCTGGATTCCAATTTTTGATGCTTTTTTCTAATGTTAGGAGCTGACTGGGTGATAAAATGCATATGTAGAATGAGACGACCTTCTTACCCTTCAGAGTCTAGGGCTGTAAAGCATCTAAAGGTTGTTGCCAAACAGGCCATGAACTGGCCTGGGTTTTCATATTTGATGAAAAAGAGTCTAAATGCTAACTGATATGGGAGAGGTCAGATAAAGAAAAAGGAACATTAACCTTGACTTATGCCTTTAGCTCCAGCAGGTGGGGGAGGGCTAGTTGTAGAAGAAAACTGTAAGCTGGACCAGGGGTGAGGAGGGGAGGTGATAAAAGGATTATAGGGTGGGGAGCAGAGGCTGAGGAAGAATTGGGACCTGGCTCAGCCTGGTGAGGAGCAGCCTGGGGAGGAGGGGAGAGGTCAGATGGGTCCATAGAAAAGGAGGATTCAAAGGACTCAGAGCTTGGGGTGGAGACTGAAGGAACAGACAGGAGAGAAAGAAGAAAGATTTGGGATGAGTCACATTGGGAGCACAGACTAGGGAGGAACCAATGTGTAAAAGAATGCCCAGACGTCAGGCACTTCAGACCCATTTGCCCATTTTTTTAGACAAAAACTATCCAGGTCTTGCAAAGTGGAGAAATCAAAAGTGCTCTTTTCTGGCTATTTAGAACCATTATCGAGTTTGTATTGGGGCCAAGCAGTGTTGCAGAAGAAAATAAGATGCTTAGGTTTTAGATCAGGTGAGAGTTGAAGAGGTTTTAAGTTTATGAGAACACAGGCTAAGGGAGAAGAACAGGGAATGGAGGGTGGAAGGTTGCCCATAGTGAAGGAGGCAAGCCCAGAGAAAAGAAAGGGTGGAGACACAGAGAAGGGGGATGGTGAGCAGCCCTGGGCTGCAATGTGGGTGAGCAGCCAAAGCAGGTGTCCCCACAATTGAGTTGCCACCAAGGGAATGTGGGTGAATGACCAAGACAGGCATCCCCACGATGATCAGACACCAATGGAATGTGGGTGAATAATCAGGCAGGCATCCCCGCATTGATTAAACACCAAGGGAAGACTGTCTTCCTGAATCCATGACTGGCACTGGAGTTTTTGATCCACAGATAAAATGTGTCTCCTTTGGGAGGCTGAGGTGGGTGGATCACGAGGTCAGGAGATCGAGACCATCCTGGCTAATGTGGTGAAACCCCGTCTCTACTAAAAAATACAAAAAATTAGCCGGGCGCGGTGGCGGGCACCTAT
Organism: Homo sapiens; assembly: GCF_000001405.40. Lineage (NCBI taxonomy): Eukaryota > Metazoa > Chordata > Mammalia > Primates > Hominidae > Homo > Homo sapiens. The sequence goes on from NW_018654717.1 coordinate 3,545,306, forward strand.
AGTTCCAGCTACTCAGGAGGCTGAGGCAGGAGAATGGTGTGAACCCAGGAGGCGGAGCTTGCAATGAGTCAAGATCGCGCCACTGCACTCCAGCCTGGGCGACAGAGGGACACTCTGTCTCAAAAAAAAAAAAAAAAAAAAAAAAGTGTCTCCCTTGTCTCTACTAGAGAGGAAAAAGAACTGGAATTGGAAGGACAAGGAGATTGAAGGGTAGTGAGAGAGGAAGAGTGAAGGGTAGTGAGAGACGCTGGAAAAGAGTGAAAAGACTGCTTACCCGATTTGAAGTTGGTGAGATATTCCTTGGGCTGGTTGGTCTGAGGACCCGAGGTCGTAGGTGGATCTCCTCATGGAGTGAGGGCGAGGACAGGTGACCAGTCTTCCAAAGGAGTCCTCTTGTCCCGGGTCTTCGGCACCAAATGTCATGCGTGTCCATATGAAGAGACCACCAAACAGGCTTTGTGTGAGCAATAAAGCTTTTTAATCACCTGGGTGCAGGCGAGCTGAGTCCGAAAACAGTCAGCAAGGAAGATAGGGGTGGGGCAGTTTTATAGGATTTGGGTAGGTAGTGGAAAATTACAGTCAAAGGGAGTTGTTCTCTTGCAGGCAGGGGCGGGGGTCAGAAGGTGCTCAGTGGGAGAGCTTCTGAGCCAGGAGAAGGAGTTTCACCAGGTAATGTCATCAGTTAAATCAGGAACGGGCCATTTTTACCTTTGTGATTCTTCAGTTGCTTCAGGCCATCTGGATGTATACCTGCAGGCTTGGGCTCAGAGGCCTGACAGAGGGGATGTGCCTGTGAGCTGGCAATCTGGGCATTGCAGGATAATTTGTTTAGCTCCTCTTTGGGTAAGATGAAATTGTTTAGACAAATTCCTCCAATTTTGGTGGAAAAATTGATGTGACGGGGTGATTTGGTCAATTAGTGACGTCATAACCGGCAGGTCTGCTTGATCATTGCCGTAAGCCAGGGGGCCAGGCAGTGAGCTGTGGGCTCGAATATGTGTGATAAAAATAGGATGTGTATGTTGATCTAGCAATTGCTGAAGTCAAAGAAAAAGTGCACACAGGGTGGGCCTGAGAGTGGACTTAATGAGGGCTGTCTCAAAGTTCTGCGATAAATAAACAGAGTGAGCAGAGTCACTAACAATATTGATGGGCTGAGTGGAAAAGGTCTCCAGGGCCAATATTAAGGCTCCAACCTCAGCTCTCTGAGTGCTAGTAAGTCCAGAACGAGTGAGGGAATTATGCAGTCTCCACCATTTTCCATTTTTCCCAGAGCCGTCAGTAAAAAGCATTAAAGCGTTAGGTATGGGGGAGTGAACTACTTTTGTAGGCACATGTTCAGGAGTATGAGATAAGAACTGAATTAGTTTGTCAGCAGGAAGGACATGCTCTGTATGGCCTGCATAATCAGAGTGCTATCTGAAGATCTAGAGATAGGGGCAGTACTGCTTCAAGTTGCGTTTTACTCAAAGAAATTCTTGTGACATCAGGGTCATAACCTAGCAACTAATTGCATTGTCTACAGCCTGTATAGAGGACTTCACTAACCAGCTGGATATAGGGAGATAGTGTTTTAGTTCCTGTATGTGAGCAAAAAACCCATTCTAGAAAGTGCAGCCCTGGGGCCATCTGTCCTGGTAATCCTGTTGGGGAATGTTTAGTAGGAAAAACAAACAATTGAACTGAATATCGTGGATCTATGTGATCTAGTTGCCTCTGAGAAATAGTTAGCTCTATTTCCTCAATTTCCCTTTTTGCTGCAGGAGTTAAATACCTGGGAGAGTTTAGGAGTGTATTGCCCTTTAGGATAGAAAACGGGTTTTGTAACTTATTAGTAGTTATGCCCAAGGTGGGGCAAAGCCAATTAATATCACCCAGTAATTTTTGATAGTCTTTAAACATACGTAAGTTGCTTGTATTTAATGCAACCTTTTGAGGTCTTATTGACTGGGAAGTTAATATGTATCCAAGATATTTCCAAGGAGAAGACAATTGTACTTTTTCAGGTGCTATGATGATTAAACCTCTTAACTGTGTATTCTTTATGACAGACGCATATAAACTTAAAAGCACTGGCTCCGTTGGGGCTGCTAGTAAAATATCATCGACAAAATGAATAATCTTGCAATTAGGAAATTCTTTTCTACTGGGAAACAAAGCCTGATTTACATGATACTGACGCATGGTAGGACTGTTCAGCATTCCTTGAGGAAGTACTTTCCAATGAAATAGGCAAGCTGGCCTTTCATTATTGATGGCTGGTATTGTAAATGCAAATTGTTCTCTGTCCTGTTCTACTAGGGGAATAGTATAAAAGCCGTCTTTTAAGTCAATAATGACTATAGGCCAATCTTGAGGAATCGTTGCGGGGGAAGGGAGGCCCTGTTGAAGGGACTCCATAGGTTGCAAACAAGCACTGATAGCCCATAAGTCATACAAAAGTCTCCACTTGCCAGACTTTTTGGGATTGACAAAAATGGGTGACTTCCAAGGGCTGTTTGATGGTTCTGTATGGCCGGCTTTTAATTGCTCCTGAACTAATTCATGGGCTCGTTGTAATTTCTCTCCCTTTAAAGGCTACTATTCTACCCAAATAGGATTTTGAGAAATCCACCTCAGGGGTAGGGGAGGAATAGCAGTGGCCATGATTAGAAAGCGGTCTGCAGAGTGACCTCAATTAACCCTTTTGTAAATGGGCTAGTGGCTCCGTTTTCTCTAATGCTTTTTCTTATCTCTTTATAAGTGTTGGAAATAATGGGGTCATATACCCGATGGCCTTCTCGATCTCGCATTACCGGGCAGGCTAAGAGCTCCCCTTCTAATGCCGCTTGCCTAAGACAGGGTCCCATAGCTGTAGCATATCCCTTGTCTTTTTTCCAATTTATTGGGGGAGGGGGCTTAGGCAAAACCTCTGTTTCCTTTGGTATTTTTGCCTGGTAATGGCTGGGCTGAGGGAGAAGGAGGAGGCGGTAAGGTAGGTGACAGTTCCTCCTCCCTTCCCTTTTTAGGCTCTTCTGTGTAGAGGGGGGCAAAAGCAGCCCTAACTAAGGCCCATAAATTAGAGATGCTACTGGGAGCCGTTGCCCTTGTGCATGATGTTGTTTAAGATTTCTCCCCACTTGTTCCCAGAGCTCTACGTCTAGTGTCCCTTCTTCCGGGAACCATGGGTTATGGGAAACAACAGTTTGCATTAGGTCCCTTAATTGAGCCTGCAAAACCACTAGCTTTAAATAGCTGTTTCAATACGTTTATATATTGTTTCTGTTGAGGTGATAACTGTTGTCCCACGATGAAACTCCAGCCTGAACAATTCCCTTGAACTTGGAAATCCCGAATGGGCACCAATGACTTACTGACTGTGCAGTCTCTTCACCTTTGTTTTTGAGGGTTCTGTCACGATCTGTTGCAGTGTGCATCACATGGGGCACCACCTGCTGAGTCTGTCCCACAGACTCCAGCCAAGTCACAAATGAAAGGAGTACACTGACACAGATATTTTGCCTGACAGCTCAGCTAGGGTACCGCGTGGCTCAGCACCACCAACGAGAGTACCGCAGTCGCCAAGAGAATGCGGCTCCCATAAGCCGGCCCCACTTGCATTTATTTAGTACCGATTTAATGACAAGGGCTTGGAGCAGACACAATTGGTGAGTAATAAACATTGTTGACCCCCCGAGTAGAGAGCAGTCCTGTGTGCAAATGATCATAGGTTGGTTTCTGGAGATAGAGTAACCAAATTTATCTAGATATGTTCCTTTACATTCCCTTGTTATCTACCCTTTGCTCTCAGGCTCCAGATAAGAGAATTTGGCTGCCTTCAGCCAAAATGTTTTTCGAAGCTTTTCAAAACTTCCCAGCCTTCCAAGAAGGTTTGTGTCTTTCCCTGTAACTTTTGCTTACAACTTTTCCCACCATCCTGACCGAACTCCCTACAAAAGCAGCTCCCAGGTATGACCTCTCCCCAACTTCTCCTTGTCGTCCTAGGCTGGCCACAGGGCCCTTGCCTGGCCCCTGCCCTGGCCTCCTTGTGGGGCTCACTGCTCAACACCCGTAAGAGCAGAATGACCTCCCTTTCCAGCACTCCAGCTGCGAGGGCCTCTCCCTTGTCCCCTGAGTGCCCTGAGCACATTCTTGCTCCAGCCCGTGCTGCTCCCCCATGCCTGGGACCCTCTCCCCAAATCTGCCCTGGCCCTCGCCTCACTTCGTCCACAGCTCACTCCAGCGCCTCTCCGAGTGCCTTTTCCCGGCTGCTTCCTCTGAAGTGAAGCATTACTCCCTCCTGCGCCACCTCCCCTTCCCTTCCCGACACTCTGCTGCACTTTTCTTCAAACCCGACATTCTGTTTTATGTTGATTTGTTCCAGCCATATGTTCTTAGCCTTCAGATGAGCTTCAGGAGAGAGCTCACAGCGGCATTGCTAGCATTTAAAGAGTGCCTGCCACCTAATAGGCACATCCAGTATAGAAGAGCTGTTTGAATAAATGAATGAATGAATGAATGAATATGAATAAAACAGCCAGACAGACTTCGTAGATTTCCACACAATTGGCCTTTCCTATCTCCATAGGTTATTATGAATAATATCAAAGGGTGTACACCCACTGTGATATAAGGAGTAATATCTCCTTAGGATATTACAAATACTATCACAGGGTGTACACCCACTGTTATATTAGGAGTAACATATTTCTTTGATATTACAAATAATATCACAGGGGAACACCCACTGTGATATTAGGAGTAATATCTCCCTTAGATACTATGAATTATATCACAGGGTATACAATCCTTGTGATATAATTAAATATTACGAATAGGCCGGGCGCGGTGGCTCATGCCTGTAATCCCAAAACTTTGGGAGGCCAAGGCCGGCAGATCATGAGGTCAGGAGATCAAGACCATCCTGGCTAACACGGTGAAACCCTGTCTCTACTAAAAATACAAAAAAAAAAAAAAAAATTAGCCTGGCATGGTGGCGGGCACCTGTATTCCCAGCTACCGGGAGACTGAGGCAGGAGAATGGCATGAACCCGGGGGGCGGAGCTTGCAGTGAACCAAGATCGCGCCACTGCGCTCCAGCCTGGGCGACAGAGTGAGACTCCATCTCAAAAAAAAAAAAATTATGAATAATATCACAGGGTGTACACCCACTGTGATATTAGGAGTAATATCTCCTGTAAATATTTCGAATAATATCACAGTGTGTACAGCTCCTGTGGTATTAGGGGTAATATCCTCCTTAGATATTATGAATAATATAATAGGGTGTATACCCACTGTGATATTAGGGGTAATATCTCCCTTAGATATCATCAGGAATAATATCACAGGGTGTACACCCACTTTGATATCAGGTTTAATATCTCCCTCAGATATTAGGAATTATATTACAAGGTGTACACACAGTGTGTACACCCTCTGTGATATTAGGAGCAGTGTCTTTTGGTACATAGTATGAATAATATTACAGGGTATACACACAGGGTGTACACCCACTGTGTTATTAGGAGTAATGTCTTTCTTTAGATTTTATGAATAATATCACAGAGTGTTCACCCACTGTGATATTAGAAGTAATATCTTCCCATAGATACTACAATTAATATCACAGCCTGTAAACCCACTCTGATATAGAAGTAACATCTTCTTGTAGATATTAGAAATAGTATCACAGGGTGTACACCCACTATGATATTAGGAGTGATGTCTTCCCTTAGATATTACTAATAATATTACTGGGTTTACACCCACTGTGATATTAGTAATAATATCTTCCCTTAAATATTATGAATAATATCACAGGGTATACACCCACTGTGATATTAGGAGTAGCATCTTTCCTTAGGTATTATGAATAATATCAAGGGTGTACACCCACTATGATATTAAGAGTCATTTTTTTCCTTAGATGTTGCGAATAATATCACAGGGTGTACACCCACTGTGATATTAGGAGTAATATCTTCCCTTAGATATTGCAAATAATATCACAGTGTGTATCTAATATCAGAATATCTTACCAAAGATGTGTTATATCTTTGATATTACTGCTATTATCACAGTGGTTGTACACCCTGAGTGTACACCATGTGGTATTATTCATAATATCTTCGGTATTACTGCTAATATCACAGTGGGTGTACACCCTGTGATATTATTTATAATATTTTTGATATTACAGCTAATACCATAGTGTGTGTACACCCTGTGATGATATTCGTAAGATCTTCGGTATTGCTACTAATATCACAGTGGGTGTACACCCTGTTGTATTATTCATCATATCTTTGATATTACTTCTAATATTACAGTGGGTGTACACCCTGTTTTGTTACTCACAATATCTTCACTATTACTGCTAATATCATAGTGGGTGTACACCCCAACCCTGTTTTATTATTCATGATATCTTTGCTATTACTGCTAATATCACCTTGGGTGTACATCCTGGGTGTCCACCCTGTGATATCATTCATAATATCTTTGATGTTACTGCTAATATCACAGTGGGTATGCATTCTGGATGTACACCCTGTGATATCATTCATAATATCTTTGATATTACTGCTAATATCACAGTGAGTGTACACCCTGTGATATTTGTAAAATCTTGGATATTCCTGCTAATTTCACAGTGGTTGTACACTGGGTGTGCACCCTGTCATATTATTCATAATATCGTCTCTATTACTGCTAATATTACAGGGGTATATACCCTGGGCGTGCACCTTGTGATATTATTCATAATATTTTTTATATTACCGCTAATATCACAGTGGTTGTACACCCTGTGATGTGATTCATATCTTCGATATTACTGCTATTATCACATTGGTGATTACCGTTTAATATTATTCATAATATCTTTGGTATTACTGTTTATATGACAGTGCGTGTGCACCCTGTAATACACCCTGTACACCCACTGTCATAAATTGAAATAAAATAAAATTGAAGATTACTTCTAGTATCACAGTGTGTGTACATCCTATGATATTGTTCATAATATCTTCAAGATGACTGCTAATATCACAGTGGGTGTACACCCTGTGAAATTATTCATAATAACTTTGATATTACTTGTGAGATCACAGTGGGTTTCACCCTGTGATGTTATTCATAATATCTTTGATATTACTGCTAATGTCAGAGTGAGTGTACACCCGGGATGTACACCCTGTGATATCATTCATAATATATTCGATATTACTGCTAATATCACTACTCAGGAGGCTGAGGCAGGTAACACTTATGGCTCAAACCCAGGAGGTGAAGGTTGTAGTGAGGTGAGATGGCGCCACTTTACTCCAACTTGGGCAACGGTATGACTCCGCCTCAGAAAAAAAATTGAAAAACAAAGTCCCAGGAAGTCCTGTATCTCTGAAACAACTACCTTTAGCCTTCCATGACCATCTTTATATATGTGATTTTCTTATGTAAACTTGCTAGAAAAGGCAAATCTATAGAGACAAAAAACGGATTAATAGTTGCCTGGGACTAGAGACACGTATGCGTAACACTCTTATTTTTACACATACATACAGGTGTATGTATATATGCTTGATGTTCCGACAGAGAGTCAAGATTGCTGTCTTTTCTTGTGGCTTGTCAATGATTCTGTTTCATATTTTAGTTAGATGATAGGTAGATGTAAGTATATATGTATTAGCATACATACATATGGTATTTTGTAAATATGTCAGGCACATTGTTAGAGAATACTTTCTTTTGACTTTCCTTCCTCCTTTTATACCCTGTAAACAAACAATTGTTAACAATTATGTGACCTTCCCTCTTTCTCCATGCTCATAGACTCATAGTCAATATAATGTAGCATTGGGTGTAATAGTATAATCCACATACACCATTTCCTGTGTGTTTAGTTGTATGTGGGGTTTTACTCAGTATTGTTTGCTTCATAAAAACAGGACCATACAATACATAATTTTCTGTGTTTTGCTTCCCTCAATATATTGTGGAAATCTCTCCAAGTCAAGTGATAAATCACCTAATACAGTCTTAAGTTTTAGTTATTTAAATAATTTATTCACATAGCTCAAAATTCAAAAGGCACAGAATTGTGTATAATAAAACGTCTCTCAACCATGTTCCTTGGGGCAGCTAGTGTATCCACATGAAAACCTGCACATGGATGTTTACAGACGCTTTATTCGTAAAAGCCTTTTCAGATTGGCTTCTTTAACTTAGTAATAAGCATTTAAGTTTCCTCCATGTCTTTTCATGGCTTGGTAGCTCATTTCTTTTTAGCACTGAATAAAATTCCATTGTTTGGATGGACCAGAGTTTATTTATCTAGGAAATCTTAGAGCTTCCCAGTTTGGGCAATTATGAATAAAGCTTCTATAAATATCTGTGTGCAGGCTTTTGTGTGGACATAAATGTTACTAGTGTCACCAGATTTTCCCAGACTCCTCCAGAAGATATTCTTTGCATATACAAGTCAGTACGTGAAGGTATTTATGAATCTATATTTACGTAATCTCTTCCCCCATCCACTGGTTTTCACTTTTTTACACCAACATTTTTTACACCAACACATTTGTCATAAACATCCTGTATTTGCCAATCTAGTAGGTGTAGCTCGAATTATTACCTTGTTTTAAATTGCTTTTGTTTTCTTAGGAGACTGAGCATTTTATATATATTCAAGAACAATTTCTATTTTTTCTATGAACTGTGTGTTCATAAGTTTATAATTTTCACCTAACTTTTTTCTCATAGATTTGCAAGAACTCTTTGTATATTAAGGAGATTAGTCCCCTATCTATTGCAAAACATTTGTAACATTTTTGTCAGTTTGTCATTTGTCATTTGTCTTTTGGCTTCACTTGCAATCATTTTTTAAAAACAAACATCTGTTTGAGTCCCTCTGTCAATTCTTTTTCTTTTCTTTTTTGAGACGGAGTTTCATTCTTGTTGCCCAGGCTGGAGTGCATTGGCGCGGTCTCAGCTCACTGCAACCTCTGCCTCCCCGGTTCAAGTGATTCTCCTGTCTCAGTCTCCCAAATAGCTGGGATAGGCACTCATGACCATGCCAGGTTAATTTTTGTATTTTTAGTAGAGACGGTGTTACACCATGTTGGCCAGGTTGATCTCGAACTCCTGACCTCAGGTGATCCACCTGCCTCGGCCTCCCGAAATGCTGGGATTACAGGTGTGAGCTACTGCGCCCAGCCCCTGCTTTCAATTCTTTAGCGTATCTGCTATCCTGTCCTTTTTTCTTTTCTTTCTTTTTTTTTTTTTAGAGATGGGTTCTTGCTCTGTTGCCCAGGCTGTGCAGTGGTGTGATTATAGCTCACTACGCTCTTGAACTCCTGGGCTCAAGCAGTCCTCCTGAGTAGCTGGGACCACAGGTGTTCACCACCATGCCTGGCTATTTTTTAAAATTTTTTTGTAGAGATGGAGTCTTGCTCTGTTGCCTAGGCTGGAGTGCAGGGGCGTGATCATGGCTCACTGCAGCCTCAAACGCCTGACCTCAAGCAATCCTTCCACCTTGGCCTCCCAAAGTGCTAGGATTACAGGCATAAGCCATCACATTTGGCCTATCCTGCCCTATTTTAAAGAATATTTAGACAAAGAAAGCTGCCTCTATCGTAGCTTGAGCCCCTTTCTGCAGATATCTGACCCGCAGACCTAACCCAGCAATGGATGAGAGATGTACACTAACACAGATATTCTGCCTGTCAGTCCCGCTAAGGGGCTCTGCTCTGAGTCTGGAGCATCCCGCTGATAAGCCAGCGCAGTTCACATTTATTTAGTACAGATTAAATGATAAAGGCTTTGAGTCAACACATCTGTGGGTAATTGACCTGGTTGCCGACCCCTGAGTAGAGAGCAGTTATGCACCTGCGGTTGATCAAAGGTTGGTCTTAGGACCTCATGAGTAAACAAGCTATTTAGATAAACTTCCCCACATTTCCTTGTTATTTGCTTTTTTGCTATCAACTAAAGGTAAAGAGGATTAGACTGCCTTCAGCCAAATCTTTTACTGAAGCTATGCTAACCTTCTGGCTTTCCAAGAAGGTTTGTGTCTATATCCTATAACTTCATCTTACAATTTTTCTGGCCACACTGACTGATCCCCTATATCTTTCTTCTGAAAAGAAGTCTTCAGATTGGCTTCTTTAACTTAGTATTAAGCACTTAAGGTTTCTCTATGTCTTTTCATGGCTTCATAGCTCATTTCTTTTTAGCACTGAATAAAATTTCATTGTTTGGATGGACCAGAGTTTGTTTATCCATTCTCCTACTGTAGGATGTCTTGGTGGCTTCCTAGTTTTGACAATTATGTGTGCAGGTTCATGTGGACATAAGTTTTCAACTCATTTGGGTAAATACTAAGAAATGAATGAGAGTTCCTGTTGTTCCACATTCTTGTCAGCATTTGGTGTTGTCAATGTTTGGGATTTGGGCCATGTGAATAGGTGTGTAGTAGTATCTCATTGTTTCAATTTGCATTTCCCTGATGATTTATGAAGTTGGCCATCTTTTCACATTCTTATTTGCCATCTGTGTATCTCCTTGCCCATTTTTTACTGAGGTTGTTAATTTTCTAATTGTGGAATTTTACAACTTCTCTGTGTATTTTGGCTAACAGTGCTTCATCAGTTATATCTTTTGCAAACATTTTCTTCTACTCTATGAGTTGGCTTTTCATTCTCTTGACAGTGTCTTTCATAGAGCAGAAGCTTTTAATTTTAATGAAATTTAGCTTATCAATTATTTCTTTGATGGATCATGTCTTTGGTGTATCTAAAAAAGTGATTGACCAACTCAGGGCATCGAGATTTTCTCCTATGTTATCTTCTAAGGGTTTCAATTCTGAGTTTTACATTCAAGCCTATCATCCATGTTGAGTTAATTTTTGTGAAGTGTGTAAAGTCCGCATCTAGGTTCATTTTTTTTTATTTGCATGTTGGATGTCCACTTGCTGAAAAAACTCTTTTCTCCATTGTATTGCATTTGTTCTTTTGTGAAAGATCAGTTGATTATATTCATGTGGGTCTGTCTCTGGGCTCTCTATTCTGTCCCATTGATCTATTCCCTGCCTCCCCCCTTTCCTTTCCTTTACTTTCCCTTCCCTCCCTTTTCCTTTCCCTTTTCTTTTTCCTTTTCCCTTCCCTTCCTTTCCCTTTCTCTTTCCCCTTCCCTTTCCCCTTCCCTTCCCTTCCTTTCCTTTCCTTTTTTTTATTTTTTGTTGAGATGGAATCTCACTGTCACCCAGCCTGGAGTGCAGTGGTATGATCTTGGCTCACTGCAACCTCTGCCTCCCCAGCTCAGGGAAACCTCCTGCCTCAGCCTCCTTCAGCTGGAACCATAAGCACACACCACGATGCCTGGCTGACCTTTTGTATTTTTGGCAGAGATGGGGTTTCGCCATGTTGCCCAGGCTGGTCTTGAACTTCTGAGCTCAAGCAATCCTCCCACCTCGGCCTCCCAAAGTGTTGGGATTACAGGTGCGAGCTACTGTGCTCAGCCATCGATTCACTGTTCTTTCACCAGTACCACACTGTCTTGATTACTGTAACATTATAGTAAGTCTTGAAGTCAGATAGTGTCCGTCCTCCAGTCCTCCAACTGTGTTCTTCTCTGGGTCTTCTGCCTCTCCATATAAACTCTGGAATCCATTCATTGATATCTACAACGTAGCTTGCCAAAATACATCAACAGCAGAACCTTTTCCTTGAACAGCCCACCTAGCTCAAAGCTGTCATGCCCCATGTACACATTTAGAGCTTTCAATCAACTTTTTAGTTTGTGAAGTCAAAATAACTAAGACAGATCTCAACCTATTTATTTATTTATTTATTTAAGACAGAGTCTCATTCTGTCATCCAAGCTGGAGTGCAGTGGTGTGATCTTGGCTCACTGCAACCCTACCTCCTGGGTTCAAGTGATTCTCCTGCCTCAGGCTGCTGAGTAGCTGGGATTATAGGCACATGCCACCACACCTGGCTAATTTTTGTATTTTTAGTAGAGACAGGGTTCCAGTCATGTTGGCCAGGCTGGTCTCAAACTCCTGGCCTCAGGTGATCCTCCCTCCTCGGCCTCCCAAATTGCTGGGATTATAGGCATGAGCCTCCGCACCTGGCCAGGTCTCAACCAATTTAGAAAGTTTATTTTGCCAAGGTTAAGGACTCTCCCATGGCACAACCTCAGGAGGCGTGATGACGTGTGCCGAAGGTGGTCAAGGAACAGCTTGCTTTGATACATTTTAGGGAGACATGAGACAACAATCAATACGTGTGAGATGGACGTTGGTTACGTCCAGAAAGGTGGGACAACTACAGGTGGGGGAGGGGACTTCCAGGTCATAGGTAGATAAGAGACAATCTTTTGAGTTTCTAATTAGCCTTTCACTGAATACGTGATTTATACGTGAGACAAGGGTAGAGGAATAGTCACTTATGCCTTGGTCTGGCTCAGTGAAACAATAGGGCAGAGGAAGAAACCAGATATGCATGAGCCTCAGGGATGACTTTGAGTTCTCTCTGTCCTTTGTCCACAAGGAATTTCCTTATGAGTCAATTGTGAAGGAGGTATGTACCTTTTTTTTTTTTTAATTTTTGTAGTTATCTTTTATTTATTTATTTATTTTTTTAGAGATGGAGTCTTGCTCTGTTGTCCAGGCAAGAGTGCAGTGATATGATCTTGGCTTACTGCAAACTCGGCCTCCCAGGTTCAAGTAATTCTCCTGCTTCAGCCTCCCGAGTTGCCCGGACTACAGGCACCTGCCACTACGCCTGGCTAATTTTTGTGTTTTTAGTACGAGGATTCACCATGCTGGCCAGGCTGATCTTAAACTCCTAACTTCAGGTGATCCACCCTCCTTAGCCTCCCAAAGTGCTGGGATTACAGGCATGAGCCACCGTGTCTGCTGTAGCTATCTTATTTAGGGAAAAAATGGGAGGCAGGTTTGCCTGATGTAGTTCCCAGCTTGACTTTTCCCTTGGCTTAGTGATTTACGGGGTTGCAAGATTTGTTTTCCTTTCACAGGTTCCATACCCTTTCTTTAGTTTTTAAAAATTTGAGATACAACTTAAACGTACACAAATTATAAGTGTAGAGCTCGGCCAGGCGCAGTGGCTCATGCCTGTAATCCCAACACTTTGGGAGGCTGAGGCGGGCTGATCAACTGAGGCCAAGAGTTCCAGACCAGCCTGGCCAACATGGTGAAACCCCATCTCTACTAAAAATATAGCAATTAGCTGGGTGTGGTGGCACACACCTGTAATCCCAGGTACTTGGGAGGCCAAGGCAGGAGAATCACTTGAACCTGGGAGGTGGAGGTTGCAGTGAGTCGAGATTGCACCACTGCACTCCAGCCTGGGTGAGAGAGTGAGATTCAATCTCAAAAAATAAAAATAAAAAGTGTAGAGCTCGGTGAATTATATGTATTTATACACCTATGTTGTGTGTCTGTCACCCAGAACAAGATGTGGATTTTTTTTGCCTTTTCCTAGGCCACGTCGTCCCCATCTCTATGGATACTCCGCTCACTCGTCTTGTTCAGCTTCTTTTTCTTATGTTCTTGAATTTCAGTTGCAAATGTTCACATTGCACCTCTTCTAATTTCTGAAGTTTTAAATAGTGACTGTGGCAACTGTCAAAGCTGCATTATCAACAATGAGAGTGGATTGTGTTACCGTTCACAATACCCAGTAGCCCTCCATGTGGGAGAATCAGACTTCTTTCTCCTCCCCATTGAACTTAGACATGGCCATGTGACTTGTCTTGCCAATAAAATGTAAACAGAAGTGGTGTGTGTTGGTTCCAGGAAGAACCTTGAAGAGCATGTGTGTGCTTGGTCATACTTTTTCCCTCTCTGCCAGTTACCAGAATATTCCAAGTCGTGGCTGCTTTCCCTGCTTGGATCCTACATGTGAACTACATCATGTGAACAGAGTACCCAGACACCTGTGACAGACATGTTGTATGAGATAGACACCTTTATTTTTATTCTTTCTCAATTGAGTGAACTGCTGGGCTCCAGCAATCTTCCTGTCTCATACTCCTGAGTAGATGAGTGTGCACCACCATGCCTGGCTATTTTTTAAAATTTTTTGTAGAGATGGAGTCTTGCTCTGTTGCCCAGGCTGGAGTGCAGTGGCATGATCATAGCTCACTGCAGCCTCAAACTCCTGACCTCAGGCAATCCTCCTGCCTTGGCCTCCCAAAGCCTGGGATTATAGGCATGAGCCACTGCACCCAGCCAAGAAAATTTTTTTTTTTCTGAGACAGGGTCTCACTCTGTCACCCAGGCTGGAGTGCGGTGGTAAAAACATGCCTCACTACAGCCTTGACCTCTTGGTCTCAGGTGATCCTCCCACCTCAGCCTCCCGAGTAGCTGCGACCACAGGTGTGCACCATCACACCCAGCTAGTTTTTAAATTTTATGTAGAGATGGGATTTTCCCATGTTGCCCAGACTGCCTCAGCCTTTCATAGTGCTGGGATTATAGGTGTGAGCCACTGTGCCTGGCCCAAAAATTTTAATTGTCATAAAATTCACATAAAATTTACCATCTTGCCATATGAACCATTTTTTTAATCATACTGTTCAGTAGTTTTAAAAACATTTAAATTGTGCAACCAATCTCTAAAACTCTTTTCATCTTGCAAAACTAAAACCCTATATTCATTAAATAATAACTCCACGTTCCCCCTTCCCCAGCCCCTGGCAACCACCCACCTACTTTGAGTCTGAATTTGCCCTTTCTAGGTATCTCATACAACTGGAATCACACAGTATTTGTCTTGTGACTGGCTTTTTTTCACTTAGCATAATGTCCTCCAGGCTCATCTATGTCACATTATGTATCAGAATGTCATTCCTTTTTAAGGCTGAATAAACATTCCATTGTGTGTATATATAAGTATACATGGGCTGCGTCTACCTTTCGGCTATTGTGAATGACACTGCAAGGAACATTGTTGTACAAGTATCTGTTTAAGCTTCTGCTTTCAATTGTTTGGGGTATATATATACCCAGAAGCAGAACTGTTAGATCATATAGTAATTCTATGTTTAATTTTTTCAGAAACTTTCATTCTGTTTTCCATAGTGACTGCACTATTTAATTTTCCCACCAACAGTGCATAAGGGTTCTAATTTCTCCATACCCTTGCCTTAAAAAAAAAAAAAAAAAAGATGTCATCTTAATGGGTGTGAGGTGCTACCTCATGGTAGTTTTATTTGCATTTCCCTAGCAACTAGTGATACTGAGTGTATTTCATGTGCTTATTGATCATTTGTATATCTTCTTTTCTTTCTTTCTTTCTATTCTTTTTTTTTTTTTTTTTTTGAGACAGAGTCTTACTTTGTCACCCAGGCTGGAGTGCAGTGGCACAGTGCTGGCTCACTACAATCTCCACCTCCTGGGTTCAAGAGATTCTCCTGCCTCAGCCTCCTGAGTAGCTGGGATTATAGGAGCCTGCCACCATGCTCGGCTAATTTTTGTATTTTTAGGAGTGACGTGATTTCACCATGTTGGCCAGGCTGGTCCTGACCTCCTGACCTCAGGTAATCCATTTGCCTTGGCCTCCCAAAGTGTTGGGATTACAGATGTGAGCCACTGTGCCAGCCTACATGGTAGAGTTAAAAGCTCCGAGAAGAACATATGGAACCCTCTCTGCTTCTGGCCCTGCCCCCCTCTGTCGGCCTCTTCACCTCTCCACTGTCATCTCACCCAACGCTCAGCCACGGCCAACTCCTTCCAGCTTCTTGAACATGATTTGTTCTTTCTTACTGCCATTCCTTTGTATATGCCTTTCCTTCACCTGGAAGACTCTATCTTTGCGTGGCTAACTTCTTTTTATTCCCAAAGCTTCAGTGCAATTCTCTTCTTCCTTTGAGAAAATTTTCTTGATTCTATTCTTCTGCCAGCCAAGATCAGATGCCTCCATCATCTAAAGTACGAGACACATATTTCATATTTCTTTTATAGTTCAGTTCAATTTA
The DNA here is from genome assembly GCF_000001405.40 of Homo sapiens. Classification (NCBI taxonomy): domain Eukaryota; kingdom Metazoa; phylum Chordata; class Mammalia; order Primates; family Hominidae; genus Homo; species Homo sapiens. Next base: position 3,561,287 of record NW_018654717.1, read on the forward strand.
AAGATGAGTACTTGGCTGGGAACTAGGAAGACCATGACAGTGACACATGGCTCAGGTCCAAGTGGCTCACTGTGGTGGTAGAGGAAACATACAATTACGTGGATGGTGATGTAGTTTAATGAGGTACGTATTGGGCACAGATTGGACTCAAAGGGCTGAGTGGTCACATGGCACCAGGTAGGCAAGGAATGGCTTTTCTTGAAAGATATTTGAGCTGGGACTTGAAGGATTCTCTGAGTGAGAAGACTTACCTCAATTATTTTGCATTAACTTTGCATCCATTGCCTCCTTCCCCATTACTTGGGAGGTGCTTACGTACCATGAAGTCACACACTCTGGTCCTTGAAACTGTACTATCTGCAAGAGGGCTGATGTGACAGAGGAGGAAGAGGAGTGATGGAGGGGGAGGAAACATGAACATTGTATAACTCAAGATTGAGGTAGTGTAGTCTCTTGTATCCTATTCTAAGTAGGCTAACTCTTTTCTTCTGGGTATGTGGTTTAATTCAATAAACTAAATGATTTATTAAAATAAGTAATAAAAAGTATTTGAGCTTTTTCATTTGGTTTGGACTTTTGTGCTCTAGGAACTCTGGGATAGTCTGCCTGGTAGTATCTGTGGAGGCTACCACTGAATCAAGGTAACTTCCCACGTGACATAGTTCTCTAATCAGAGTTGTGCTTTCAGAAGATTTTGGTAGTGGGGGTGAGCAACTGCTAGTCCAGGCATGATCTCAAGGGATGAATGAGAGATTTGATGGCTGAAATATTTCTACAAGACTTAATAGCTCTTTGTAGAAGGTTAGAAGAAAGAGGAAAGAGTGTGAAGAATTAAAGATGGTCATTTTAAGAATTAGTGTCATTGGGTGGGAATGCTATTTATAAGTCCAAATGAAAGCCAGAAGTTTGGATTCTGGTGTCTGCCCTGCCTCACTGTAGCTATGTGGCCTTCTACAAATTCTTCATTAAAAAAATAACAGAGCTGGACCAGGTGATCTCTAAAGATCCATTCCAGTTCTCAGAGTCTACGAAAAGCTATTTTGCACTCCTATCCTCATCCTTTAGCATGTGGTCAGCTTAGGGTATTTGAAGGTGTTTTAACAAGATCTAGCTACAGTCCGTTTACTAAAGGACAGGCTGCCAGTGTGACAGCCTGTTCAAATGCTGCTTGGAAACAGAATGAGTGCTCTATGTTCAGGGCACTGTGGCAGGTGGTGTTGGGGATCCCATGGTTCCTGCCATGAAAAAAAGAGCCATCTAATCAGAGACAAGTCCAAAGCACATAGATAGCCAAGCAACTATAATCAGGACTATAAAAGTGCAATTTATCAGAGTAAAAGATTTGGAAGAGATTTAAATTAATAAAAAGTGTTGGATAAACCTTTGCCTTTCTCTCACTCATGGCTGTGACCATAAGAAATGCTACTAGATGCTGATGATGAAATCAGGCTTAAGTCAACTTGAGTGGCAACCAGGATTTTTGCTCTCCTGCTATGAGAAAACCTCAAACCTCTCTTTGTTCCTTCTTTTCCTCTAAGCCTCCTGCTCAAGTTTTAGAAAATGTCCAACTGGCCAAGTCTTTCCATTATCAAAGATGTGGTTACTTTGATCACCCTTTGGATAGTTTCCTTCCTGAACTCCTAGATACACTTACTGAATGGGAGGCCCTCCCCTGAACTCCTCCCCTACCCGTCACCAACATTTGCCTTGAGTCTATGGCAGACTTCTAGAGTCTAACCCTGATACAGTAATAGTTTTAGGCTTTTCTTTCTGGGGATTTGGATGACTTCTGGGGAACTTTGCTATACTATGCTCATCAACATCAACACTGATGAAGATGGACATCTGGTTCCACTCTGCAGCACTCTGGGCTTCAGTTAGGCAGAAACTTTTTTTTTTTTTTTTTTTTTTTAAGACAGAGTCTCGCTCTGTCGTCCATGCTGGAGTGCAGTAGTGCGATCTTGGCTTACTGCAAGCTCTGCCTCCCAGGTTCACGCCATTCTCCTGCCTCAGCCTCCTGAGTAGTTGGGACTACAGGTGCACACCACCATACCCGGCTAATTTTTTGTATTTTTTTTAGTACAGACGGGGTTTCACCATGTTAGCCAGGATGGTCTCTATCTCCTGACCTTGTGATCTGCCTGCCTTGGCCTCCCAAAGTGCTGGGATTACAGGCGTGAGCCACCGCGCCTGGCCGGCAGATTCTTTAAGGGGTCTGAGTCAGTCATGGATATGCTTTCTTCTAATCTCCCATTCTAGCCAATCAAGTACTTTTTCTTAGGGGACAGAATGGAAAGACAGTTTTCAGATTAAAAAAAAAAAAAAAGAACATACTATGCAAGTTAACTCATTTAATTCTCAAAGCAACTCTATGAAATAGTAGTAGTAGTAGTAGTAGTAGTAGTAGTAGTAGTAGTAGTAGTAGTATACTCATTTTTAATGATGAGGAAAGTGAGGCCCAAGAAGAATAAGGAACTTCTCAAGGTCACATGGCTAGTAAGTGGTAAAACCAAGCTATGAACTTGGGCCTTCTGATTGCAGGGCTGGAGGTTTTAATCCTACAGCCTTTCAGCTAACTAGTTATGAAATTGACCCAACAGCCCCATACACAGTTGTTTTTGGATAAACATAGAAATGGACCCTTCTTCTCTTAAAGCTTAAAACTTATATTTGTTTTATCTTAGTTCTTTCCTCAGGAAAGGAACCCTCAGGCCTCTCAAAACGTATCATAGAACTGAAACTCACCAGATCAGCACATCCAGACAGTGAGATGCCCAACACCTCAATCATCATGATTGCTTCCTTGCCTCTCCCTCGTTCCTGTTTTTTTACGCATTACTTCCCTGCTATATAAACCCCTAGTTTTAGTTAGGGAGATGGATTTGAGACTGAACTCCCATCTCCTTGACTACAGCACCCTATTAAAGCCTTCTTCCTTGGCAATACTCATCATCTCAGTCATTGGCTTTCTATGCGGCAAGCAGCAGGGCCTAGATCAAAACCCAGGTGTTTTGGTAACAGTCACCCTAACAGACTAGACACCTAAAATTCTCATTGTTCTACTTCCATCTTCTCCTCAGACCCCAAAAGCGTTCGATTTGTATCACCTTGTACATCTTTTAAGTAGTCCTAAATTAAATAACTGTATGGCAGCCAGCATCGTCTGGATGTGCTGCTGGTGAGTATTCCTACTTGACAGATGAAAGGTAGAGACATGGCCTTCATAGAATTGCCTTGGAGTTATGAAGCAATTCTGTACTGTAGGGCAAGCACTGGTTTCCTGACTTCAGCCTCTACATACTCCCAATGACTCATAACCACGGTTACCTTATACTTTTACTTTGTGTTACATACCACTGATTTGCAGGCAGAGTTATGAAAGTACAGGTGAATAGACTTATTTTATAAATGGGTCCTTGGGCGGGAACAGTATGCCAAGAATCATATTAACAAAATTAACATCTTTCATATTGTCCGATGCAAAGTTGTTTTATTAGCACTGTATGGTAGATGGTAGTTGGTAGAAATGAAGACGTACACACCATCCCCTTTTCCACTGTTTTTTATATATCCAAGTGTTCAGAGCTAATGCAAACCAGAAGACCTGACACTTACGTTCCAACTTAATGGGAATGGATGACCCAACTTTCATTATTTCCAGTATAGTGTCAGGTGCTCTTTCAGCTTGGAGGTCTATTGTACAGTCTTATACGATAATGAAGAAAAGTGAACCTAGCCAAATGATAAAGGTTGACAGGTGCTATAAATAGGACACGCTACCTCTAATGTGAGAAACTAGGTCACAGCATCCAGACACTCAATGTAGACAACGTAATCCAAAAATACTTCTTCAAAACTGGCTACCAAGAAGCACCCATCCCTTTGATTAATAGGATCTAGTTTTCCAGCAAGTAATTTCCTTCAGAAAATAAACCCAATCCAGCAAGTGATTTACAGCTGCTCCATCCCACTTCCCCCAATCCCCAACCCACAGTGGTTGATGCTACAAAAACAGGCCCTTGGAATACATCCATGTCATAAACTAACCCAGGCTTTTGAAATTTTAAGTTACTGTTTTATATTCCACTTGCTTTTTGTGCACAATTCAGATTTCTATTTCTATAACCCTTTCTATAACCCCTTATTCACAAAGTTGTCCCCTCTATAATTTCCTTTTCTATAACCAAAAGGGAACACCTGAGTCTAATGGCATTTAGAATCTGATTGTTGTGTGAGATACTGACATAAAATCATGTGGTAGAGTCAAGTCTGTGTTTTTATTCCTGCTTAAACACTGAAACTCCATCTGTGATTGGTGATTGGTACATAGCAAATGGTACTTAATTTTTTTTTTTTTTGAGATGGAGTCTCACTCTCTTGCCCAGGCTGGAGTGCAGTGGTGCGATCTCGGCTCACTGCAAGCTCTGCCTCCCGGGTTCACACCATTCTCCTGCCTCAGCCTCCCGAGTAGCTGGGACTACAGGCGCCCACCACCACACCCGGCTAATTTTTTGTATTTTTTGTAGAGACGGGGTTTCACCGTGTTAGCCAGGATGGTCTCGATCTCCTGACCTCGTGATCCGCCTGCCTTGGCCTCCCAAAGTGCTGGGATTATAGGCGTGAGCCACTGCGCCTGGCCTTCTGGTACTTAGTCTTATAGTGGAAGGTATTCTGGGATATAACATAACTAATTTAACCACTTCCAGTTTCAGTTCCTCATCTGTGAAACAGAATTAAAAGGCCAGTTTTGCAAAGTTTTTGGGGTTACTAATGAAAATGTATGTATACAAAGTACTTGGTTCACGTAGGGGCTCAATGATGGCTATTGTTATTTGCAGGGTTACTAGAATACTTCCATTTAATTATGTCTGTTTGTTGCTCTGACAAGCCCTCTGGCAAAAAAGTTACTGTACAGATAAAATTCTAGGTTCAAATTTGCTATGTAACGGACCCCTAGGCATGGAGAAAGAAGAGGGGAAGAATGGAAGGATTTTCTTAGTCCTCTGCGCCAGGCACTGTGCTAAGTATTTAATACTGACTGTTGCATGAAGCAGGCGTTCTTCCCCTCCGTCTCCCCCGAGAGGTGGAGAAGGTGAGTCTGTGAGCAATCATGTTGTGCAAGGCCCCTGGGCTGCCTTTGGACCTGGTAGGAGGTCTGGCTCTAAAGTGTCAGCCTGTTTGTTTAAGAGATATTTCTGAAAGGAACCCATGTTGCCCGTGCTATTGCAGAAGTTATTCAGTAACTGCCATGTGGGCTGAGACGTGAGGATAAGTCACTTAAAACCCAGGTCTCACTGGAAGATGGAGAGGGAGGGTTGGTATTTGTATTCTGACAGTTTTTCAAGTCAGTTGTGTTAAGGTTGGTCAGGCAGAAATGAACAAGCAGGGCAAAATGAAAATACTTAAGAGCTAACTGCTATCCACACAAGTGTACTTTAAAAATGGTTTTATTGAATATTAATCATTTACAAGTACAGTGAGCTAGACATTAAGCCAAAGCACAATTGCAGGTTAAATATAATCACAAAGATGTCTTAAATAGAAACCCACCAGGCAGGCAGGTTAAGTTCCTTGATGCCCTCCTTTGGAAAGAAGTGGAGGGTGAGGGAAAAAGGACTTCCATTTCAGGTGACGAGATGATGACTAGAGGACTTTAACATGCTGTAGGTGATTTCCCATGACCACAGCTGTAGGATTGCCAGATTTAGAAAAACCAAACAATGAGAAAAACCAGCATGCTCAGTTAAATTTGAATTTCAGACAAATAATGAATGCTTTTACTGTAAATATATGCCAAATATTGCATGAAACATTCTTAACGTGAAATTGTTTCTCTGAAATTCAAACTTAACTGGGCATCTTGTACTTGATCTGACAATCCTACAAATAGATAAATACAAAAAAGAAAGGAGAGGGGGTTGTAACCCCTGCCACTGTTGGGTCACACAGAGACTAAAAATAAAAACAACACGAATAATGAACCAAAGAGTCACTACACTGGTTGCTCACACAGACCAACATCACAATGAGAAAACACAATTACTACTCCGAGTGCTGTTGCCAGGCAACATAACATTTTCTCAAAGCTGGTTTTGTAAATGTTTTGAGAAACCTTGATAAAAGTACCTTTTTAGTTTGTAGGTATCAAAGACAAACATTACTACTACAAAGATAAGATGAGCTTGAAACAATGGGAGCAGAAGCAGGTGTTATATGCACATGAAGAGTTTCAGTGTTTTGTGTCACGGAGACAATGTTTACATACTCAAGGTCATCTTCTAGGTCTAGGCTATCGGCCTCAAAGATCTGTGTTCTTTCCTAACTTTGAATGGGTTTTCTAGCCTTTCATCCTGAACTTTGGGAGGGGTGCGCGGGTGTGTGAGGGACACCCCACTACCAGGGTTCAACTGCATTTCTCTGCAAACACTCTGAATCAACACAAGGGCTTTCAGGGCTGCCTGCAGAAATGGGTAGACTGATGTAAAAGAAATCACAGAACAATCTGAATTCTGGAACGTGAAAGAAACCTCTTTGAAAGGATGGGAGGTAGGGCAGGTGCGAAGACGTGAAGTGTAAAGCAAAAAAGAATGTGAAAGGAGGAAAAGCCGAAATGCAATCTACAGTGCGAATGTTATTTCAGAGGAGGCAGAACTCTCTGGCAATGTATAAAACTCGTCATACTACGACCATATTTGGTCGTGCAAAGTATATAAAATCATTAGCTTCCTCTAGGTTTTCACTTTAGCATAACCATAATTTACATTTTAAAACAATTAAAAAACACAGCTTGCATATCACTCATATTCTACAAGGTATCACAGTTGCTGTCGTATCCCCACATACACAACTGAATAGGCTTTGAAATCTTTCCAGCACTTCTCCAAACCAGAAATCTGGTAGCTGAGGAAGTTCCAATATGGAGAAATTGAAATGGATTAATTTTAATCAGCTCCATTGCATGTAAGGGAATATTACTTATGAAATATACCATCATAAAATAAGATGAACAGGTCTGAAACACATGGAGACATGGCCGACTCACTGACACACCTTTCAAACACTAAGAAATGGGACTACAATGTTTTATTTATTAAAATATAAAAGGTTAAAAAGTTTCCGCCATAGTTAAGGCTTTCTAGAGGGGAAAAATTTAATTTATTAATGGCAGAGTGCACAAGTTGCTGAAGAAGCCTCATGTTCTAGAATAGTAGTTTTCGAGTGCATTTGCTTTCCATATGCTAGATGTGTACAATAGCTCAAACATCACTTTCACAATTACTTTCTTTTCACTTCTGTCACTGATCTGACATTAAACAAATTTGACTTTACTCTTTAAATACGTATCTGACATGAAATCCTATCTTAATGGCAGTTTTGAATACCTGCCAAATTAGTAAGGTCTATAGCTTTACGTGAGACAATTAGTCCAACAGAAAACACAAGAAGAAGGCTATTTGTCACAGATATCACACAAGAGGGATTCGGATACAATGGGGGAAAGGTGCTTGAAAATACACACCACTTCTGTTTGCAAGGCCATTTACAGGAATCCAGATAGTGCACATGTTAAAAAGGCGGGGGTGGGGACAATGCCCAATAACCCTTCGTGCCATTGGGAGAGACACTGAAACAGAAAAACCTAGACAACTTATTGCATTCTAATGCCGTTCTCCGGCATATATCAAAATTTTATTTTTTGTAAAACGGATACAATAATAGAATGTTAATCTACATTATTTGCTTGCCATATTCAGGCATTTCTCTGTATACTTCAATGCACTTTGTATTTTGAGAGCAAAGGGAAATCAGTCTAGCCACTAACATCAAGCTCAAAGAAGTATAAGGATGCTATTTCATGAAAACATCCTAATGTTGATTCTACTTATGCTGCTTGAAAAGCTAGAAATTCCAAACTCCAAGAAGGAAAAGGAAAACAAGAATCCTGGTTGCACTGCTGTTATTTTGCATCGAATCAAAACTCTGGGTTCCATGCTGTCATTTGTTAACAAAGCGGCAGTGTTCTGAGCAAAGCGCATGAGGCCTAATACCCATTCCTGGTTGTGATACAAAAGCTAGGAGGTATCTGGTCTCCTTTTTTAAGACCCAAGATGAGGAGAAAATGAATGGAGTCAAAGGTCATTGCTGGAGCTAATTTTAATTCCAGACTAGTAATTTAGGAAAGAGGGAAGGAGGTCAAATACAGGGAGAAAGTTCGGGACCAGGGCACTTAATTTATGCCTGAGTCAAGTATCCAGCAGGCCAACAGCAGGTAAACTGGAACCATCAGGTCTGGAGAAGCCCTTTAGTTTTGGAACTCGGGTAGAGCCGGTGGAGACGTTCAGATTCTTTCTTCCATGTGGTTAGGGAAACAGAGGGGCCATTTCGGGGTAGGCCATATTGGATGATCCTAACTTGCTAGTATTTCTATATAGTACATATACAAAAAATAAAAGACTTCAGCCTAATTTAATGCCATGCTTTTATATTGGAAAGGGTTCTTCATACGGCTACAGATGAAAATCCCAAATGTAATAAACTTGTCCTAACTTTTGAGTGCACTCATGATGACCTTTGGTTTTCAAGTTCTGAAAAAAATGTATTTGGCTCCTCTGATATATCCATTAACCCACTCTCTTAAGCAGATGAGTAATATATGCACACTCTTTCAAGAACTACTATATACTTGAATCATTATAGGACAAGAAGCACCGCAAATGTCTTCCTTACACAGTACCTTCACCTGGCACACAGAGCATGAGACGTATAACACTGGCAGTTTAAATACTGAACCACAGTTTAACTTCTCAAGTGTAAGGACCAAGATGAAAACTGGCGCATCCATTCATCTAGTTAGTATGATGGAAACAACATACAACCACAGTTAGGTAGTGGTTTATCTTTTTAATGAAGCCATAAAGCTTTCCATATCTATATCATATTAACTCTTTTACTTAACTAAAAATCACAGCTGTGTTTACCATTTTAAACTACGTCTGGGGGAAGGTAAGTAAGACACACTTGACAGCTACTGAAAACTACACAGATGGCAATTTCTTCAACCCTTTGTTACAGCAAAAGAGAAGGAAAGAAGGGGAAAAAAAGCCCTCTTAATGAATATCAACTCTCAAAGCTTCACCTGGAATTCTAGTGCTATTAAACAAGTAGCCAAGACACAAACACCCAGCTTGGGTCACTGAAACTTCAAAAGAAGCAACAACTGAGGCTAATTCTCGATTTAATTTTGAGGACCCATAAAAATTCAGCTACAAACATTCAAACTAGTCTGGATGCCTAGTTCCAGCACTGGGTTGAAGCCAAAATCAAAGCAAAATGTATATATTTTAAGAGTCTATTTCTAGAAGTTTTGCATGTAACCATTTTATTTTGCTTCAGGAGATTAAAGGAGGTCACAGCTTAATCACCTTGCATTAAACCCATCGTTTTCAGGGCTTTGAATTGCAATGGCAAGTTTGTGTCACACTGTCTTTCCTATTCCTCCTCGTGTTTATATTTCTTTCGCTTCAAAGCAGAGTAGATGCACAGTATATCAAGTAAATAAGTTAGTGCACTCAATTCATATTCAGTTAAGGTGAAAAGGGCAAGTGTAAGAACTATAAAGGATCATTTTTTTTATAAATGTCAATGGCACTTGGTAAATGTTGATGAAAATAAACAGTAATTTCACAAAGAAAATTGTATGGTATTTCTTTCTCACCTTCATTGAAAAAATAACAGAAAGGGCTTTGGTTTCAATTTTTGTTCTCCTTGTCTAAACACACTAAGAAGTTTGAAGAAATGGTTCAGAAATTTAATGCAAGGATCTTTATGAACTATTTGAAGCATGCCACTCAAAATAAACCCCAAATCTGGAGTAAACAAAAAAGTCCTTGCATTTGTGTGTATCTATCCACTATTCGAGTCTGAATCCCAGCATTCTCAACTAAAGAAACAATCAAGTGGTATTTTTGTGACCCTCATCAAGTGCAGTAATTTCACTGACTTTTGAAATAAGGCAGCTAATTTGGAGGGGTAACAATCCCAACAGTACAGATTAAGGGAAGGGAAGCATGTATTTTTTGGAGGCATCCCCTGGATCCATTGGGGCTGCCATGATACAGAACCACACGCTCCTCACCCTCCTTAATGCAGCTCTTCCTTCACAGCCTCCCCAGTTTTTTCACCTTGGAACTCAAGCCCGTGTCAACCTGCATCTCCAGTACTGTCCCGAAGACCTCTGTGGCAGGCTTGTGTTGGAAAGAGCAAGTGGCCTTCACCGGCTTTGACTTCTCTGAATTTAGGCGTTCCTAAGTCAGGTTGGTGTTTGTGCCCTTCTCTTGTAAGATAGGCCAATTCATAAAAAGGTACTAAAACTTGATGTTTTTTCCTTTTCATCTCAATTTATGATAACGAGAAGTGCAGCTACAGAGCAAAATAAAAAAATTTTAAAAAGTGGAAACTGAATCTTGCTCAGCCAGAAGCTTGGGTTGCACTGCTAATGATTTTGTCAGCGTGACTTTGTGCAAAATATCCTCAAGAAGGCTCTGGCTCATTTTCAAAGTAACCCAAAAAACACAAAAAAACAAAAAACAAACAAACAATAGCCAATGATGCATGTCTGGCAAATCAAAAACAAGCTTGTTGCCTGTCGTATGTGTATATTTGTTATAGACACGTCATGCATAACAAAACAAATGTAGTGTGTGAATTGTGAACATTTGAAAAAGCATTGGTTTTCTTATTTTCCATTTCCAAGTCTAGATCGAAGCAATCTTGTTTTAGAAATGGATAATTGCAATGAAAATGAGCCTGAGATATGTTAAAAGGCCGCCCCTGTAAACATTTCCTCAAAGGGAACAGTAGCAGTTGAGTATGTATCAGTTACTCATACTATTCATCACTATAGCAATGCTTTATAGAAGACAAACAGCTTATTTCTAGGCTGTCAGGGACTTCTAGAATATTGATGTTGTTATTAGAAACAATCCTCTGTAATCCAGTCCCAGGTTGAAATCTGATCTGGCCTTCACCAGCAGGCATTCACTAGGTCTTCTGCTCTGCGGCTGTTGCGGTCTGGGAAGGGGCTTCTGGCTTCATGATCTGGTAAGTGATAAGATACTCTGGGTATGCCTGGGAAGGACAAGAAGAAAAACAAATCACCCTTCTAGTAGGCACAATATTAAAGCCTTGCCGAATGTGGAAGCCTCAAAGGCTGTTAATCGTGACCAATATTCTATATAGACTCAGTTTCTTAATAGGTGCCTGAACAATTTGAGGTTCACCTACTTAACTGTAAATAAATGTGTATAAACCCTACAATCTAGAAAACTGAATGTTATTTCTACTTCGAATACTGTCAATTAAGCTCCATTCATCCCTTATTAGAGAGCCATGTGTCATAAGCAGGGAAACTAAGGCCCGAGGTAGCACTAATATCTTTTTCACCTCACAGAGCATTGGTGCTGTCACACAGCGTGTGTTCAATAAAAGTTTGCTAAATGAAAGAAAAATTTTGCTGAATCCAGTCCAAATTAATCATAGAAGATGATGTAACCCACTGAGCTAGAAGGAGTAAGGGTGAGATGTACTGAGTCACCAATAACCCAGAAACAACAGTTTGGGAACAATATTTAAAAACTGACTACTCAAAGGCATCATTTACAGGAGAGATAAGGGCTCCGATTTAGACTGGCCTCCTTCATATTCTCTTTCTCTTTTTTCTTGCAGTCAGTAAAACACAAGGCTGTGTCTGGAATGGGAAGAGTTCTTCTTGGTGGGAGCAGGAAAAAGGAGGCTGATCAGAGGAAGCTGCTGAAAACCTAACCAGAAATTGCAGTGAAGGCAGCAATTTGGAAGGAGAGGTAGGACACCCCTTAGTGAGTAGACTACATAGGAATTCTTCAGCCCTAACTATAACATGACGATGAAACTAGATTCAGTAGTTCAGAGTGGTCTGTGACTAAAAGAAGACTCTTGGGTGAGCAAAGTGTTTTGGGGACCAAAAATAGTTTGTTCAATGCTGACCAACAAACTACTTGCATATAGATACAGGATAAGATAATAAAAGGAAAGAAAGATAAGTAAAAACTGAATAGTAATATTAGGATTTTTTGTGAGAACTAAATGCAAAAGTCTTAGAATAGGTCTGGCATAGTAAGGATCTATTATTGTTATTATTTTTATTAGTATTATTCATTAGAGAGTACTCCCTCCTAAAAGCTCTCAGCAAGGACTTTAAAAATAACAAAAAAACATAAATGTTAAGTTCTGTCTACATATATATATATATATATATATATATATATATATATAGAACCATTCATAATATTCTTTTCCGTAATTCCAGTCTGCTCTGATTTTAGTTAAAAACAACAACAGTTTCTATTTTAGTACATTTAGTGGGAAGAAACGAAGATTGAAAATCTCTCCTGACTTTCCAATCTGAAGTCTCAGTAACCAGTCTGTACTTTTATTTTTGTGAGAATATTACAGTTTCTCACAAAAGAAACTATCTGTAGTTTTATCTTAAGACATACACTTAATTTTTGAAATGGTTTACTAAAACAATCTAGGTCAGATACCTACTGCTAATTCTAGAGTTGGGTATAAAAAAATCTAGCAAAGCTCACATACTGGTAAAAACTGAAAATACTAATTAATCAACCAGGTGGCTTAATGGTCAAGAAAACTATTTATCACTAGCATCCGTGTATTGAGCATCTACCACATAAGAACACTCTGGTGTGAGATGTGGACCCTGCTGTGAAGGAGCTTACCATGCGGACAGACAAAAACAGGAGAAATGTAAAAAGAACGCAGGCTGGCATATGCTGAGTGTCAAAAATGAGTGGATGCCCACCCCTACTTCCTTTTATCCGAGTGAAGTTTAATATCTATAATACTTTCTATGACATTTTACTTGCGGAAAAGCTGTTGAAGCAAAGGAGTCAATAGTGCCGGTGTCTGCATTTAGGTAGCTCATGATTTAAGGGGATCCCTGACACACGTCCATCTTAGTCAGGTGGATTCTAAGATTCTAATGGCATGAGTTCCTTAAAGGTCCTTATCTAAATGCTCCCGGTTCCTAATGATTAGGCTACTGAATTGTTTCTGTGTGCCCTTTAAGTTACTAATTAATCAATTACAGTCCAGAGGGATTAAGGGTAAGGGAATTACTGAACTGCAGAACTAGAAGGGCCTAAGATGGACCAAAAACCGTCATTTTCCGTCAGGTCACTTTAAATCCATGCTGGTTATACCAGCGTAGGATGTATGTATGTATTTATTTACTTATTTTTTAAATACACAACCACTTCTGCTAACTCATTTTCTGAATTTTCTTCTTAATCCAAATCCCTAACACTAAAATTTGAATTCAAATGCTCTCAGTTTATGTCTCATAGAGGTGAGGAAGGGACCGTCATGCTCTCTTGAATGATTCTGTATGTTTGGAAACCATTTTAGAAATCATTCTATTCTATAGTCTTTTCTTTTCCAGGTTAAGTAATTCTGCATTGTTCACATCAGTTCAGTAAAGTAGCTGAAATCTCTGGAGAAACCAATGAGCAGAGAACACCTCTCCTTCATGTCTAATGTGAAGTTTAAAGTACAACATAAACAAATACCACTGACATCTTAAGTCCAATCATATGTAATAATCAGAGCCATTTTTCTTTCCAAGTACAGTTCAGTTAACCTTCAATATATCTTTTCAATCTTCAAGAAAGAAACATTCCCACCAATAACGAATACTACTACTCAAATCATCCTCAATCAAAAACACATAAAACGTGTGTGTTTTTGAAAGTTAAACATTAAGAGTGAAAGATGATTTAGAGTATGACTAAGGAGAATGAAATAAAAGTTAGCAAAGGAAAACTTCCCTATAAAATTAGCAAAAACTGCTCATGAGAAAGTACTCAATTAGCAGACGCTAGAGTTAACACGATCCATGTGTACAAGTATACCTGAATATGGAAGAGCAATTATCCTCCCCGGAAATAAAATAAATGCTGAGTGCATTTTTTTATTTAGGCATTTTTTTTTTCTTTCAAATAAGTTTTGTACTAATCACTCTCTAAAATTATTTCATGAGACACTCTGACTAAATTATCAAGTCAAATTTTACCTGGGAGATGGTTAATTAGTAAATTTCAGAAAAGTAAACTTAAACTTATCTTCTAAGTATTCCTTATTATTTCTTTGTACCCAATTATGAAATAAATATTTACCACTACAGATAACTTATATTTAAAACATATGGTAAAGAGAACTGAAACCACTCATTAATGCCCAGTGATAACCATCTTATGTTGTGGGTGAATCAGAGATAACTTACAGTATATTTAAAATACATGGTAAAGAGAACTGAAACCACTCATTATCACCCAGTGATAACCATATTCTTATGCTGTGGGTGAATCTATGTTTGGTATATATTATGTAAATGTTAAAAAATATCAGACATATGAATATGTTTATTTAACAATTCTGCTTTTGCTTAATATTTAGGTTGTTTAAATTTTTTATTGTGATAAGACAGTGATGACTATTCATATATTCATGTATATAGTGTGTGTTTGTGACTATCACTGATTATTCCAATACAAATTTCTAGAAGAAGTATAATTACTGAATAAAAGTTAAAAAAAAGCTTCTTTTCTAGAAGTTAAAGGTTTATGATTTAAACAGAAAAATATGACAAATTTATTCCTTCCTTTTTGTAAACTTTTTATTTGGAAACAGCTACCAACTTACAAGTAAGTTGCAAAAATTAAAATGGTACCAAAAACAGCTACATAACCTCACCCAGATCTACGTTTGGGAAGGTTTTATTTATCTCATTTGCTTTATCATTTGCCCCTTCCCTATCCCTGTATACTAGATACACCCACACCCACACATACGCACTACACACACACACACACACACAGACACACACACACACACACACAAACACACACACACACATTCTCCCCAAAACGTTTACAAGTTATATACATCATCATGGTCCTTTATCCCTAAATATGCCAGTATATATTTTCTAAGCATAGACATATTGCCTTACGTAAGTACAGAATCAACCTTATAATTTTACATTGATACAATCCTTTTATTTAATGTCCATATTCCAATTCTGTCAGTTGATCTAATAATGTACTTTCTCTTCCAATACTGGATGCAGTTGGGGGCAGAAGGTTAACTTCGTTTTCATGTCTCTTGGGCCTCATGTAATCTGGAAAGTTAGCACAGCCTTTCTTTTATAATATTAACATTTTTGAAGAATACAATCTTTCAACATTAAAAAAAGTAAAACATTCCTCATTTTGATTAGACTTACATCATGTATTTTTGGCTGGAATGCTGCAGAGATGTCGTGCCTTTAGAGTATCCACCTAGAGAGATAATATAAGCCTATCTGTCCCTCATTGGTGATGTTGATTTTGATTATCTGGTCAAGGCATTGTCCCCTTTCTCCAATATATAATTACTCCTCCCCCCAGCCCCCTTTGAAAGTAAGTCTGTAATAAGAAAACCACGCAAATATTCTTCTCCTTAGTGAAACAATCCCCATATTTAGCATCCATTAATAATTCTTGCCTGGTCTAATAATGGGTACATGATGAGTCCCATGTCATCCCTCCCTCCACCCGTCCTTCCCTGTTTCTCCCTCCCTCCTTCTCTCTCCCTCTCTCCCCCTCCATCCCTCCCTACCTCTGTCTCCTCTCACTCCCTCCCTTTCTCCCTCCCCCATCCCTCTGCCTATCCCTTCTTCCCTCCCACCTCTTTCTCCCTCTCACTCCCTCCCACTCCCTCCCTCTCCCCCTCCCTCCCTCTTCCTCCCTCCCTCTCTCACTCTGCCCCTCTCCCTCCCTCCCTCTCACTCTCTCCCTCTGCCTCCCCCTCTCCCTCTCTCCCTCCCTCTCTCCCCCTCCCCCCCTCACTCTCTCCCTCTCCCCTCTCATTCTCTCCCTCTCCCTCTCTCTCCCTCTCCCTCTCACTCTCTCCCTCTGCCTCCCTCTCTCTCTCCTCCTCTCCCTCCCTCTCACTCTCCCCCTCCCTCTCCCACTCTCCTCTCCCTGCCTCTCTCCCCCTCCCTGTCTTACTCTCCCCCTCCCTCTCTCCCTCTCCCTCCCTGACTCTCTCCCTCTGCCTCCCTCTCACTCTCCCCCCTCCCTCCCTCTCTCACTCTCTCCCTCTGCCTCCCTACACCTCTCTTTCCCTCACTCATTCCCTTATCCCTCCCTCCCTCTCTCTCCCTCCCTCTCCCCCACCCTCTCCATTCTCTCTCCCTCCCTCCCTCTACCTCTTCCTCTCTCCCTCTGTCCGTCTCCCTTCCTTCCTCCATCTCACCCTACATTCCTCCCTCTCGCCCTTCCTCTCTCTCCCTCCCTCGCTTCCCCTCTGCCTCCCTACACCTCTTTCCCTTACTCCATCCTCCTCACTCATTCCCTCGTCCCTCCCTCCCTCTCTCCCACCCTCTCCGTTCTCTCCCTCCATCTCACTTCCTTCCTCCATCTCTCCCTCCTGACCTTCCTCTCTCTCCCTCCCTTCCTCTCTCTCTGCCTCCCTTCCATCCTCACTATCCCTCCCTTCCTTCCTCTCTTTCTCCCTTCCTCTTTACTTCCTTCTTTCTTTCTCTCCCCGTCTGTTCCTTCATCTCTCTCTCTCTCCCCCTCCCTTCCTTCCTCTCTCTCCCTCTCTTCCTGTCTGTCCCTCCCTTCCTTCCTTCTTTCTTTCCTTTCCTTCCTCTCTCTCTAGCTCTCCCTCCCTTCCTTCCTCTCTCTCCCTCCCTCCATCTCTCTCCCTTCCTCCTCCTTTCTCCCTTCATTCCTCCTTCTTTCTCTGTCCCTCCTTCCCTCCCTCTTTTCTGTCTTCCTCTCTCCATCCCTGCCTTCTGCTCGCCCTTTCTCTCTCCCTCCCTATCTTCCCCTCTCTCTCCATTTCTTCCTCTCTCCCTCCCTTCTCCCTCCCTTCCTTCTGCTCTCTCTCCCTCCCTTCCTTCTCTTCCTCTCCCTTCCTCCCTCTCTCCCCCCTTTCTCTCTCCCTTCCTCGTCTCTCCCTCCCTTCTTCTCTTACTCCCTCCCTTCCTCTCTCTCTCTTACTCCCTCCCTTCATTCTCCCTTCTACTTCTCCCTTCCTTCCTCTTTCTCTCCTTCCCTTCCTTCCTCCCTGTACCTCTCCCTCCTTTCCTTCCTCTCTCTTCCCCCTCTTCCTTCCTTCCTGTCTCCCCCTCCCTTCCTCTCTTCTTTCTCCCTTTCTTCCTTCTTTCTTCTCTCTCCCTCCCTTCTTTCCTCTCACTCCTTCCTCTGTCTACCTCCCTCCCTTCCTCTCTTTCCCTCCCTCCCTTCATTCCTCTCTCCCTCCCATTTGCTCTTTCTCCCTTCCTTCCTACCTCTCCCTCCCTCCCTTCCTCACGCTCTCTTGCTCCCTCCCTTCCTTCCTCTTTCTACCTCCCTTCCTTTCTCATTCCCTCCCTTCTTCTGTCTCTCCCTCTCTCCCTTCTTTCTTTCATATCTCTTTTGCTCCCTCCCTCCCTTCCTCTCTCCTCCCTCCCTTCCTGCCTCTCTCCCTCCCTTTCTATCTCCCTCCTCTCCCCCTTTCCCTCCCTCCTTTCCTCCCTCTCTCTCTCTTCCATCTTGTTTCCTCCCTCCCTCTTTCATTCCTTCCCTCCTTCCCTCCCTTCTATCTCTCCCTCCCTTCATCCCTCTGTATCCCATCCTCCCTCTCTCTTCCTCCGTCTTCCTCCCTCGTTTCCTTCCTCCTCCTCCCTCCCTCCCATCCTTCCTCTCTCCCTCTCTTTCCTCTCTCACTCCCTCCCTCTCTCCTTCCTTTCTCCTGTCTCTCCTTCCCCTCCTCCCTCTCTCCCTCGCTTCCTCCCTCTCTGCCTCCCTCCCTATCTCTCCCTCACTACCTTCATCTCTCTGTCTCCCCCTCTCCCTTCCTCTCCCCTTCCTTCCTCTCTCCCTCCATCCCTTCCTCCCTGCCTTCTGTTCTCCCTCACTTCCTCTCTCCCTCCCTTCCTTCTGCTCTCCCTCCCTTTCTTCTGTCTTTCTCCCTCCCTCCCATCCTTCCTCTCTCTAGCCCTCCCTCCCTTCCTCTCTCTCCATCTCCTTCCCTTCCTCTCTCTTCCCCTCCCTTCCTTCCTCTCTCCCCCCTTCCTTTCTTCCTCTCTCCATCCCTTCCTCCCTCTTACTCCCTCTCTTCCTCCTTCTTTCTGTTCCTCCCTTCCTTCCTCTCTCCCTCCCTCCCCCTTCCTCTCTCCCTCCCTTCCTCCCTCTCTTTCTCCCTCCATTCCTCCCTCTTTCTCTGTCCCTCCTTCCCTCCCTTTTCTCCCTCCCTCCCTTTTCTCCCTCCCTTCCTTCCACTCTCTCCCCATCCCTTCCTTCTGCTCTCCCTCACTTTCTCCCTCCGTTCCGCTCTCTAGCTCTCTCTCCCTCCCTCCCCTCTCTCCCCGCTTCATTCCCCCTTCTCCCTTCCTCCCCCACTTCCCTTCTCCTCTCTCTCCTGCCTTCCTTTTTTTCTCTCTCCTTCCTCCAATCCTTCCTTTCTCACTCCCTGTTCCTTCCTCTCTCGCTTTCTCCCTTCCTCTCTCTCTCTCTCTCTCTCCCTCCCTTCCTGCCTCTCCCCTCCATTCATCCCTCTCTCTCTTTCCCTCCCTCTTTCCTTCCTCTCTTCCTCCCTTCTTTCTTTCCTCTCCCTTTCTCTCTTCCTTCCTCTCTCGCTTTCTCCCTTGCTTCCTCTCTCAGTCTTTCTCCCTCCCTTCCTCTCTCTCCCGTTCTTTCCTTCCCTTTATCTCTTTCCCCCTTCCTTCTTCTCTCCCTCCCTTCTTCTCTCTCTTTTCCTTTCCTCTGTCCCTCCCTTCCTTAGTATCTGTCTCCCTTTCTTTCCCTCCCTTTCTCTCTTTCCCTCCCTCCCTTCCTCTCTCTCTCCCTCCCTGCTTCCCTTCCTCTCTCTCCCTCCTTTCTTCTCTCTTCCTTCCTTCCTCTCTCCTCCCTCCCTTCCTCGCTCTCTCTTCCTCCCTCACTTCCTTCCTCCCTCCCTCCTTTCCTCGCTCTCTCCCTCCCTTCCTCTCTCTCTTCCTCCCTCACTTCCTTCCTTCCTCTCTTCTCTCCCTCCTTTCCTTCCTGTCTGTCTCTCTCTCTCTCCTTCCCTCCCTTCCTTGGTTTCTCTTTCTCTCATATACACACACATGCTTATATTACTACTTACCCATAAATTTACATGGGTGTACACACACGTTAGAAACCATGAGATCATAGTAATACTTCCAATTTCAGTCCACCCTTAGAGTCTTTCTTACCTTCTCCATTCCATATTTGTATGTCCCTTCTTCTACCATGAGAATTTTGGCTCCTCAAATCAATACATCAACACATCCGCTCATGTGCTCAATCCTATAATATGCTTAAGAGTTTCACTGTTTTGCCCACGGTATCTCCATCAACACATTTACTAAAAGGAGTTCAGGATTCCTTTGTCAGTCTTCCCCCAACAGCATTCCCTACCCTGCCCATGACTGAAGGCACAGTATAAAATACTGTTTTCATAGGTTATATATATTTAGTTATTTCCTTCTTTATTTTTCTCTTTTATTGTAGTTATGGTATTCATTTGAAGTTCACTTACATTCAGACAAATTGTTTTTGTTTTTGGACAAATCCTGTGGCATGTACATCCATGAAGACCCACTAACAGCAGCTGCCCTGGCATGCTGCCCACGAAGTGGCACAAGGCATTAGTTCAGAGCTGCAGGCCTCAAAACGGCATGAGGGCCCAAGCCTTTGTTTCTCAGCTGCCCTCTTGTTCACACTGTGTTATGTGGCTGACAGCTACTAATGGGTTTTAGGTAAAAAGTTGATGTCAAAGAATTATTTTGATACCTTTATTTTGTATCTGAAGTAATTAATACTAGCACACTGTGTGGTGGATATTTCACTGAAAAGTGTCTCAAGTCTTACACGGTCTCTGTGCTCTATTGACATGTTTGTGAACTTGGTTATGCTTGTTTGATGAGTAACATACCTGTTCTCCTCTGTAGATGACATATTCAGCATATGCCAGCCCATTGACGCTCGGTCTACCAATGACTGAGTGGTGCCCTGGAGGCGCGTGGGCCATTTTCATGGTGCTAAACTGCAGAAAGGATTTCCCAAGGGTCACTCTACAGAAGAGCATTTGTCTAAGGAAAAAGAAAAAAACAATGCTTTGAAGGAAGCTTTAAATCTTACAATAATATAACTGCTAGATCTATTAATTTTTTAAAAATTTAACATAAGGCAAGCTAATTTAAATGTCATTTTCAGATTTATGAGTAGGAATGGGATGGAATTTGATATAATGATTTGCTATAAACAGTTACCAGACTCAATAGTTACACTTAAAGTTTAAAGTAGTTTTGGTATGGCTTAGGAATCGGCCATAGAAAATGCCTGCTAGGGAGATCAAGACCATCCTGGCTAACACGGTAAAAACCTCGTCTCTACTAAAAATACAAAAAGTTAGCCGGGTGTGGTGGCGGGCGCCTGTAGTCTCAGCTACTTGGGAGGCTGAGGCAGGAGAATGGCACGAACACGGGAGGTGGAGCTTGCAGTGAGCCGAGATCGCGCCACTGCACTCCAGGCTGGGCGACAGAGCGAGACTCCGTCTCAAAAAAAAAAAAAAAAAAAAAAAAAGAAAATGCCTGCCAGTAAGTTTTGCCTGGTGGAAAAAGGGAAAAAACCAGAGAAAAAACTGAGCCCTTGCATGGATGGGTAGGTGGAAAGTGAAGAAAATAAGCTGATGGAAACAACACCTGAAATTAAGATTGGGTTTATTCATTACAGGGAAAAAAGTAGAAACTGGGATGAGGTAAACAGTAATAATAAAAGTGGATCATGAACGAAAGTACTTAGCTTAAATGTATGGCTGAAAATCATAATAGTCTGGGTGAAACCTGAATTAGAGCAGATGTTAAGTATCACAGAGTAAGAAAGACTGACTGGGAAGAAAGTCTATTATATACACCAGGGGTTAGCAAGCTATAGCCCATGGCTCAATCCAGCCTGCAATCTGGTTTTGTAAATACAATTTTATTGGCACACAGCCATGCATTCATTTACATATAGTCTGTGGTTGCTTTTGCGCTACAAGGGCAGAATTGAGTTACTGTGACAGGGATTGTATGACCTGCAAAACCTAAAATAATTATTATATATCCCTTAAAGAAAATGTCTGCTAATCTCTAATATAAGCAATAAACATTTTTACAAATTAGTACAAATGATCACACTGTTAAATGTAAACAGTTACAATTCAGTCAAATTGTTTTTAGTAATGGAGTATAAGCTTTGTGTTATAAGTAACCAGAGATTTTATCTTGAGTCAACTAAAATTTGTGCTGGATCCAGGACAACTGGGTCTTATCTGGACTGGCTTTTTGAGTTGGATGCTATTGATGATCCTCTGGGATGCTGGCTTGGTCTACTATATTCTCCTGCAGGTCCCAGAGAAAAGGGCTTTGCTCTCCATCAGAAGGAGGCTTTTTGAGCTCCATCTCTCTCTACATTTGTGGCAGTGCTATGTTGTCGTTAGATTCTGCTAGTCTCTTACGTCACACAAAGGTGAACTTGACAGGCCCTGGTCTTCTGCTTCCTGCCCCAGGGCTCGCCTGTTGCTGCCGAGGCAGGAGATGACGTGGGACCTGCTCAGCCAGCGGTGAGCTGCAGCTGCAGATGGGCAAGTAGAGAGCTGGCTCAAGTCTGCTCACTGGCTTGTCTGGTGCATTGTGGTGCATTCTGCAGACGCAGCAGCCTAAATGGTAGGGTTACCAATTAGCCCTGGTGGCAAATTTTGACAAATGCAAGACAGGAGCCAGCAGACAAATTCGTCTCTTTCTCTCACTGATATACTACTGTTGTGAGATGCCGTAGTTGATACAGCCTCTCCGGAGATGCCTCATGGACTGGGCAATCGACTGCACTCACTATGAGACTGTGGCCAGCTCATGAATGCACCTCACTGCGGTTGCTCTGCTGTCTTCTCCACCTCAGTTCCTTTTGGGCCCTCATTCCTGCTTCCCTGGGGCTGCACTGGCCAAATACTAGTCACATGCTTTTGCTTGAGGCTCTGTTTTCCAGAAATCCTGGCTAAGACTTAAACTTGTGTGTCTAATTTTAATGAGCGACTGTTAATTTTCATTGAGGTTCACTTTTATTGCTTATTTAGGTTCATTTTTGTCTCCAGAGGAATTAGGTTTGAAGCAAAAAAACAAACAAAAAAACCCAAAAATACTTTTACATGCTATACATTCTTGAAAATTTCTCTGTATTCTTTTTTTTTTTTTTTTTTGAGACGGAGTCTCTCTCTGTCGCCCAGGCTGGAGTGCAGTGGCGCGATCTCGGCTCACTGCAACCTCCGCCTCCTGGGTACTCACCATTCTCCTGCCTCAGCCTCCCGAGTAGCTTGGACTACAAGCGCCTGCCACCACGCCCGGCTAATTTTTTGTATTTTTAGTAGAGACGGGGTTGCACCGTGTTAGCCAGGATGGTCTCAATCTCCTGACGGCATGATCTGCCCGCCTCGGCCTCCCAAAGTGCTGGGATTACAGGTGTGAGCCACCATGCCCAGCCGAAAATTTCTCTGTATTCCTAACCACAGAGGTCTTAATGGAAGGAAGTTTCCTTCCGGGTATATGACATCCGACTCCAAATGGCTGATGGCAATAATTTTGTTCAAAACACAACTGAGAGATAAGTTTTAAGGTCAATAATCACAATTTCAAGGTTACTGGGGCTTTTCTCCCTCAGAGATCCTTGTTCTGAAATTATTTGGGTCTTTTTAAGGTCTTAACCAAATTACAAAGTATCTTATTAACCTGGCTTGTTAAAAAGAATGCATTTGGTAAGTAAGTTTACACAGAAATGTAATAAATCCCAATCTTTGTACAGTATAATTCTTTTGTATTTTTTCATTGCCAAGGAAAGGGAAAGTACTTTTTTCGCCACTGACATCACAGAGATTATACCATTATTCTCTCCAATTTTTGAGTTTTAAAAGTCTATTAACAAGGCCAATATTCATTTGTTTGCTATTAATTCCAAAGTTGATATTTTAAGTTGCCAAGGCTAATTATATATCCTGCCTTAAAACAACAACATCACCAGCAACATCAGAAGTAAATTAAAGAGTCTATGTTTTTTATAGAAGTGTGTCTTCATTCAAATGTGACTAGAGCTAGCAGTTCTTTGTTCCACAGAAATCATCCTTAGCCTTGCCATATTCTGATTACAGAGGAAGAAAAGTGAAGCCCAGGGAGAAAGCCAAGATGCAGGGAGTTTTATCATAACCCGTGACTGGAGGCCATGTACCTGGTTTTTACCCCTAGTTATCTGCTCTGTTGTTATTGCTCCTGTCAGAAGAGGCTGATCAGCTGTTCCCACCCATTCCCAGAACCAACGGGATTTACCGGGATGCAAGACTGAGGATAATCTGTGACTTCTGCAGAGCCTGATAAACCAATTTGGGGCTGGGCACGGTGGCTCATGCCTGTAATCCCAGCATTTTGGGAGGCCGAGGTGGGCAGATCATGAGATCAGGAGTTCGAGACCAGCTTGGCCAACATGGCAAAACCCCATCTCTACTAAAAATACAAAAATTTGCTGGGCGTGGTGGCAGGTGCCTGTAATCCCAGCTACTGAGGAGGCTGAGGCAGGAGAATTGCTTGAACCCAGGAGGTGGAGGTTGCGTGAGCCAGGATCGTGCCACCGCACTCCAGCCTGGGTGACAAGAGCAAGACTTCATCTCAAAAAAAAAAAAAAAAAAAAGACAATTTGGTTCGTGACCTAGGGGTGGGAAACGTTACACTAATGGCAAGATGCTTACCTGTGACATATATAGCATGACCTGTCCTTGTGTGTAGGGCAGCCTGTTCCTCCTCCAATTCCATAAACATATTGGTTGCTTTTTGAGGAGTTTTCAGCAAAATAAATCCCGGCCCCAAACATTCCTCCTATGTATGCATGTCGCTCATCAAACCCTTTATGAATAATGGCATTAATGAAAGGAGAACCTAGAAATACGAAGACAGAAAGATTCGTTTTTGAACACTTTTCTAGAAGCTCAATTACCTGCACACTATTTGCATCGGGCAGGTTAATATTAAGAAATGAATGGTGTATAAATGAAAAGTATTTTCTAAGAAGGTCTATTATACATAATAATGTACTAGTACAAAATTACAACAAAAGTAATTCACTAGGTGGCTCAATTTGCAATTTAAGTACTAAAATAATTTTAGATCAAGTATTTTCACTGTATATGCACTGGAAAGTCTGTACTGATGTGTGATACATTAGAAAGCTGGTACCAAGAAGTAATTATTTGAACAAAATAATCAAAACAAGCCGTTTTTAACACAACCGTATTATAGTCAATTTAACGTAGGTTTTTCCCTTTACTGACTCCTGCAAAGGCCCAGGGAGACGTCCACCGTCCCTGCCACGCTGCTTACCATGAAACAACATGCGCTCATTGTGATGGTTGTGATTCTCCTCAGACACTTCCTTCTGTCGGTGGCAGAACCGCTCCCTCAACTTCTTGTTGACAACTTTTTGAATCTTTAAGGATGAAGAAGAAAGAAACATTATCGGTGAAACGTGCATTTATGATTTAAAATGAAAAGTATGTTTTCCTTTTAGGAAGGTTCAATTTTTATTTTGCTTAAGACATAATTTAAAAGTGATAAAGCTACCATGTCAGTGTAATTCAGAAAATACTCTAGCTGTTAGTGACATAATTTTCAGTTACAGTTTTTGTTGTTCTATACCAGACCTGGCTGTTACCTCTAAATCACCTCAGGATTAAAAAAAAAAATAGGTAAAAAGGTTATGTTTAGGCATCTCCCCAGACTTAATACATTTTAGGAGATGGGGATCTGTAAATCTGTATTTTTTTTAAAAAAGTTCCCTGGGTTATTCTGATGTGTACCAGTATAACTTTTACAGGTCTGTTAACTCAAAGGGTTAAACCAGTTCTCTACAGGTTTTATTCATCTTTATGATACCCCTTTGTAAAAAGCTTGAGTCATCTGTTCCATATTATAAATTGAGATACCGAGATTAAGAAATATATGTATTCTGAGGTAATTACTGGTTCAATTAGATTGAAGATCCAGGACTTTGATGCAACTCTCAAATGATAAAAAACATTATTGTCAGCTATGGCCTGTATTTGTGCATGAGCAGGGAGACCAATATCCACGTAAGTATCACTAGTAGAAGCTGATTTAGCCTCCTGTTTGTAGCTTTGACGCTTTCAGAATGTCTCTATTTTTAGTGACGTATTGTCTTGGGGAGTTAGAGATATTGTAGTGAGAAGAGTGCTATCTGACTTCAGACAGGTGACGAATTATCTTTCACAGTTTGAAAATATGACTTAATAAACTTTTTTCATTGTCTAGATTTGGTTTTTAGGCAAGCCTTGCAATCCAGTTTTCACCATGAAACTTTAAAAACTTACTCGAATGACATTGTATCTGTTGAAGATGCCGCCAGCATTACCACCATCTCTGTGTTCTCGAATAGTACTTTGCATCTACAGAACAAAATAACTAATTTTATAAAAACATCCCAGTGTGTAATTCTAGACAATGATGAGTCTAAAATTCAGTATTAATAAATAAATAGGAGTTCACTATAAATTGATGAACAAGTTTAGTGGATAAGTATTTTTGGTGAGAAAATAATTTCAAACATAAATATTAAATTTATGCACTTTCTATTTACTTTTAAATAAAAGTTCTGAAAGAGTTTTCTGTAAACACAATGGGGAAACATATTAAAAAACACATTAAGTCATCTACAATTACTATCTTATCTTATTGAGAAGAAGAACTAACACTCTGATTAAGTCAAACAAAAACTCCTTAAATGCCCGTTGGACAAATGCTAAAAATAAACAATTTTTAAAAAATATTTGTTCTGTAGGTGAAATATTCCATATTATCTCAATAGTCTTCAGCTTGGGATCTCTAAGTATATTTACACAGACCAGGGGACATTGACTATAATGTACTACTAAAGGGAATAACTGTCTTCTGACTACTCTCTAAATTAAAAATAATTATGGAAAAGAAAAATGTTTTAAAGATCTAAGTTTCTCAGAGAATTAACTCAATAAAAAAAATGAATTCTCTTCCTTACTGCTCCACTTGTGAAGAGTCACTACATTTTTGACATTGTTATCAAAATGTACTAACTGCTAGGAGAATTAGGTAGTAAGACACCGGACCCCATGATGCCTTCCTGATGCGCTACGTATGAGCTGAAATACAGCCCTGGGGTCATGGTCCTGAGTTCCCTATGCAAGTTCCTAGCCTGGGAATGAAAATAAAATGAGCACTAATTAAACAAACAAACAAGAATTAGGCATACCTTTTTCTGCCTAGGTATGTGCATAACACAATTGGGTAGCTTACTTATAACAATGGCATTAGGCTGTTTGTTTATGCATAAGCCGTCAGTGGAGCAGGAGTCTCACTGGCATCTGACCACCAGGAGGGTTACACAAACAGCCTTCATAGGGGCTCAGAAGAACTGTGACTGGAAAAATGTTATGCAGAATAATGAGGCAGACCCAGAAGCATACGTGACGATTAGGCATATTATTTTATAGTCACATTTATAACTGCATAAAAACAAGGATGAGAACATATTTGCTCTCTATGAGGCAAGAGTTTTTCATTCTATGTCATTCTTAGGTGGCACTGTAACAATATAAGAAAATAGTTGTAATAGGCTCCTTATTTATTTTGCATGAGATTCAAGAAAATCTCCAGAATAAAAAGACAGATGGGCCCCATGCATTAGAAAACCTAGGCTTATGATGTGAAAACCATGGGGCGCCGTCATATTTTAATTTTGGCAATATTCTACCACAGTGGCTAAGACAGACTGATTAATAGGCATGTGACCGCAAGGCAATGTAAGACGAGGTTAATTCCAGAAAAAGAGGTTTATCCACAGATTTCAAGAAAAGCAAATGAAAGATTTCTGATGTATATTACCTCTTCTTCCACTGACTGATATTCTTTATCTTCTGGAGCAAGATCCAGCAAAATCGTTCCCTGATTAACACAGTGAAAAGTCAAATAAGGATTGGTGCCTGTCGGAGAGAAAAATTAACATATAAAACAAAAGTCTACACTACTCAGGCTCTATTTTATAAAAAAAAAAAAAAAAAAAAAATTCATAATAAGTAATTGAGGTTTTGGAACAAACCTAAACTATCTGCAATTTGAACCTGATAAATTCGGTTACTTTAAACAAATATACTCAAAGACAGACAGGAGAAAAAAATGAAGATGTTTGGGGACTGATTTTATCTGTTCTTTTTTTTTTTTTTTTGAGACGGAGCCTCGCTCTGTCGCCCAGGCTGGAGTGCAGTGACGTGATCTCGGCTTACTGCAAGCTCCGCCTCCCGGGTTCACACCATTCTCCTGCCTCAGCCTCCCTAGTAGCTGGGATTACAGGCGCCCACCACCACACCCAGCTAATTTTCTGTATTTTGTTTAGTAGAGACAGGGTTTCATCATGTTAGCCAGGATAGTCTCAATCTCCTGACCTCATGATCTGCCTGCCTCGGCCTCCCAAAGTGCTGGGATTACAGGCGTGAGCCACTGCGCCCAGCCCAATTTTATCTGTTGTTACAGAGCTTCTTGTACAGACTGCAGAGTTCAACAAATATTTGTTGAATTAAACTCTATCATGAACATACATGAAGCTATGTCTGACACAAAAAAAAAGAAAAACAGGCACTGACATCACAATATAGTCAGATCTAAAATATAAAAATTATCCTCTAAAAACTCTTGTAAGATGGCTTGAAATAGCCACTTACAATTGCTTTAAATCACATTATCTTTGTTAGTTTCATGGATGAACTAAAATACAGATAAATAAGCAAGACTCAAGCACAAAATCTTCCAGTTTGAATTTCACATCACTCTTTTATAATTTGATTAGCTCTGTAGATTCTCCTTCCTTGCTTTCCTATAGTGAAGGTGCTTCTAACAAATAGAGAAATGGGTAAAAACAGAGGGGAAAGAGGCTTGTAACGGCAAAGTACAATGGAAAAAGACAAAGCTGACAGTCATGTGGGAGGGAGGAAAGTTCAAGTTAAGAAAGGTTAGATTGTAAAAAACCATGTTAGCAATGTTTGATTCTATCCTAAAAGAAACAGGATTCTATTACAGGGGTTTAAGCAATGGAGTGATATGATCATATAATCATTTTGAAAAGATTGTGTTCACATTGTAGAGAAGGTACTGGAAGGAAGCAGGAAGCAAATGTAAAGGCTGGAGATAAACCAGGTGGCTGGGACAGTCCACGAGAGAGAATGGTGGCTTGGATCAAGTGACAGTCATGGGAAAGGACAGAAGTACAGAGATTCCAGAAAAATTGAGGATACAAAGTGTTGGGAGACAGGGAAGACTGACTCAGATTTTTCCAGCTAGAGGGAGCATGAGGCCAATAACTGAGATGGGGAAGGGACAGGAGGTACAATAGTTCAGTGTATGGTTCTGGGACTGGACTGCCTGAGTTCAATTATCAGCCCCAATACTTACCTTGTACCACTGATTTCTGAAATTTTTTTTTTTTTCTGAATAGCTTACCTTGTTGTCCACCTAAGAGTCTTTCTACTCCTTTGATTAATTTGTGGCGGTGCCCATATGCATTGATGCCTATTTCTTTCAACTCTTCATGACCCATATCAGCCAACACATCTAGTGTAATCTGAAAAATGAAACAAAATTAGCTAGGATATCTTTAACAGTTCTTAAGAGGACAAAAGCTTTTCCAATTGCCTTCAATGCTACGAGTACCATTCAAATTAAGAAAATTCTTTTGTTCCCTTTATAAACATGAGCTTACAATTTTTTTAAAGTTGTCTTGATAGTCTCATCAGCTTTTCTGCTTACTTGAAGTACTCTTTGATTTGCTTTTTGTCCATGAGAATTAAAAAGGGAGAAACAATACTATAGAAATACAAAATGATCATCACTATATTTCCTTTAGATTATTTTGTTCTATCATCTACTGCTTGCCTCAAGATAGAGGAGGAATCAGTAGCTTGAAAATGGGAAAACACCAGATCCTAGTATCCAGCAGGGAGTAGAAATGAACGGTGGGGGAAAGGGAGAGGCGTTCAGCACAAGTAAACAACGCAGGAAAAGGAGAAAGCAATTTTTAGATGAAGATAAGGAAGAACTTCTCAGTGCTAAGAAATACTCAAGCCCGGGACAGGCTTCCTTAAAAAGCAGTGAGATTGACATCTCAAGTATTTGGTTAGATTACAAACTGTTTTAAAGAGGCTACATTTTAAAATTCCAATTTGGATAAGAAAATTAGATTCTTTTTAAACTCTCTCATAAATTCTCAGACTTAATCCCTTCTCCTTAAAATACATTCTGTTTTTATACAACATAGTGCTTTTTAATTTTTGGTTAGTTTTTAACTTTTGGTTATTCATCCTTGTAAAATGGAGATGATTAGTTGGCTCAAAATAACCTAATTCCTTTATGGACTAAAGTAGCTGGGACTCTACTACCACCCAGTGGCTACATTCTGAACACACAGGATGAACGCGGGTAGCCACATTTCTTGAAGGCTGAACATGCAATTTTCCAGCCCTGATGAAGCTAGCTTTGTGACAATCCATATACTAGTCTACAAGATTAGTCTTTGATTTTCCCCTGCCTTGGAAAACCAAGAAATCCTTTTATAGACATGCAGTTTCCAACTCAAACAAGATCGCTTTTTTCCACTTTTTAACTTGCAAGTAACATTTAAAAAACTGACAAATTAGGCCTGGACCTCTGCTGATTTTTTTGTCAGAATAAAATATGAGTTTGATCTTTCCAGTGAAATGAGCATATATCACTCGTTCTTTGGAAATAATTTTCTATATTGCTTCTAAGTGGCCATTTAAGCAATAATTGCTTCATTGCACAAAGCGGGCAATTCACATCCAACCACCCAAAAGAAAGGTTTCAGCAGAGCTTTAAAAACAAAACAAAACAAAACAACAAACCCCAGTTCTGAAATACACATCTTTGAGATGGAATAGTTCACAAAATAATAGGAGCCTTTACATTCTTAGCTAGACATGATTTTAATATAATTTGGAAACTATGTTATTGATGTCCCATTTTTTTCTTCTAAATATTCTAAACTAACTTCAGTTTAAAACCAAGGGTCTCATATCTATGTGGTAACTTCAACTTAGAGAATTCTCAGACTTTACTTTTTTTTTTTTTGTTTTGTTTTCTTTTGAGACAGAGTCTCGCTCTGTCGCCCCGGCTGGAGTGCAGTGGCGCGATCTCAGCGGCTCACTGCAACCTCCGCCTCCTGGGTTCACGCCATTCTCTTGCCTCAGCCTCTCAAGTCGCTGGGACTACAGGCGCCCGCCACCACGCCCGGCTAATTTTTTTGTATTTTTAGTAGAGATGGGGTTTCACCGTGTTAGCCAGGATGGTCTCGATCTCCTGACCTCGTGATCTGCCCGTCTTGGCCTCCCAAAGTGCTGGGATTACAGGCGTGAGCCACCGCGCCTGGCCCTCGTCAGACTTTTCTGGATTGATACATACAGTGCACGTCTGGAGGAAGCAGACACCAGGCCAGCAAAACACAATATTCTCTACAATGTTCTAGAGGAGTAATGGAGAATATTTAATATATTTATTCATTTTATAGCTCTAATCATAAAATGAATACAAAAAACCCAAACCAAACCAACAAAACAACCTGAAAAGACTGATAGCAAGTCACTTAGTTTAGAAGGCAAGGCTGAGAGGAGCTCTCACACCTAACGTGGAAAGTGCTCTCCTACCTCCTGGCATTTGTGTCTTCACTGTAATCCCTTCCCCGTGTGAGACAGACTTATGAACTCACTTCTAACAAATATAATACAGCAGAAGTGATGGGAAATTACTTTTTACATTAGGTAATAAAGAGACTGTGGCCTCCATCTTGGGCGCTCACGCTTTGGACTGCTCACCCTAGAAGAACTGGCTGCCACGCTATGGCAGACAGACTCAATGATTCCCACCTCCTTACATCACATCCTGTGTGCTCCCCTCCCCTGGAGTGCAGGCTGGCCTAGTGACTTGCTTCTAACCAAGCAAATACAGCAATGGTGATGAGAAGTGACTAGCAGATCATCTTTCTCTTGCTGGCTTTGATAGAGCAAGAAACCATGTTATACAGGCTCACATGGCAAGGAACTGAGGGCTTCAGTCCAACAGACTGCAAGGGACTGAATCCTGCCAATAAGCACGTGAGGGTATGGAAGGGGATCCTTCTCCAGTAGAGTCTTTAGATGAGATACTGACCCTGGCTAATGCTCTGTAGCCTTGTGAGAGATCGTGAAGCAAAGGACACAACTAAGCTGTGCATAGACTCCTGACTCACAAAATGTGTGCTGTTTTGAGCTGCTGAGTTTGCGGTAATTTATCAAGCAGCAGCAGGTAAGTAATACTCCATAAGGTCACTGTGGAGAGGCCCACAGGTGAGGAATCAAGGCCAGTCAACCAACACTGTGAGAGAGCTTGAAAGCGGGTCCCAGCCCTTGCCAGGTGAGTCCCCAGGTGAGACTGCAGACCTGTTGGACAGTTTACTGCAGCTTCAGGACAGACCTTGAGCCAGAGGCACCCAACTAAGCCATGCTTAGATTGTTGACATACAGAAACTGTGGAATAATACATGTTTGTTATTTTAAGCCATTAAGTTTTGGGTAATTTGTTACACAGCAGTAGATAAGTGATCTACCTACGCTATCTTGGCATTTATCCAATTAGATACTTACAGTCACACAAAAGGAATGCATATGAAAATAAGTAACTAAAGAAACAAAAGAAAATGTTTATTAGGCTATCCTGAAGGATAGAAGAGATGAAAAGCTATCAACCTGTGGAATCTAAAAAAAACAAAAAGGGAATGGGACAACTTTCTATACTTGCAACTGAATATAAATATACATTATTCTTGCAATTCCATCCAACCATTCATCATCCAACCACCATCCACACAATATTTGTTGTGTACTCGCTACATAACAAGCACAGTTCCGAGCACTTTATTTACATTTCCTCATTTAATCCTTACAATGACAGATAATGAAGTACTATTAATGTATTTATGAGGTCACTGGTACTTAGAGAAGTCATAAAAATAGTACACAGAAGAGCTGAGATGTATAGCTGTATCTGTCTTTTCCCTGTTTATATTCTTTAAAAGGATGACTAGAAGGTGGACATGATTAAGCGTTAAATTTAGTCGCAGTGAGTTACATGGTGTCCAATTTGTCCACATATCTATCAGGCAGTGGCCACTGAAAAACCTTCAATGAAAAGCTAAGAAATTCAGATTTATGTTAGCTCATTCACATATAAAATGTTTAATGAGTACCTTCTTTATGCTATGTATTTCTTTAAAAAGTAACTAAATATTTCATTTAATTCTAAAACAACCCCTTATAGTTGGAAAGTTACATAGTTGGTCCAAATAACTGATAGTAAAAGAGTGGGGCCATGAAACAGAGTGCTAACCAAAGTTCATGCTATTTACTTGAGGTAACCAAGAAACAAAAAGTGGGTCAATGTCTTGGACAATCCCTAAGAGAACTCTCGTGAAGGTGACCTGCTTGGTCACGGTTGCAAGGGGGGCTGGGAAGGAAGGAGCAGGAAGGAGATGAGGAAAGGTTCTCAGAAGAAGGTCATAATTCAGCTAAGCAGCAGGAGCTCATCAGTCAGGGGAAGGAGGGAAGTGGGCTTAAGACAGAGGGAATACCATGTGCAAAGGGAAAATCAGTTAAAAGAATACAGAGTATTTGAGGGACCTTAAGTACTGTAGTTCAAAATGGTTACAGGAGAGTATGTATCAAGGATTAAAAGGAGCACAGCAGAGCAGCAGGCACAGAGAGGATCTTAAAGGGCCTTATCTATCAAACTAAGAGGCTTAGAAGTATACCAGAGGCTGGCCAGGTGTGGTGGCTCATGCCTGTAATCTCAGCACTTTGGGAGGCCAAGGCGGGCAGATCACGGGGTCAGGAGTTTGAGACCAGCCTGACCAACATGGTGAAACCCCATCTCTACTAAAAATACAAAAATTAGCCGGGTATGGTGGCCTATGCCTGTAATCCCAGCTACTCAGGAGGCTGAGGCAAGAGAATCGTGTGAACCTGGGAGGCGGAGGTTGCAGTGAGCTGAGATCACGCCACTGCACTCCAGCCTGGGCAACAGAGCTAGACTCCATCTCAAAAACAAACAAACAAAAAAAAACAAACAAAAACAAAAAAAGTATACCAAAGGCCCTGGGAAGTCTTTTCAGCAGAGTAATATGATCAAAGTTGTATTTTAGGAGGATGAGACTGTTGGCATTATGAAGGGCAGATTTGGAAGGGAAGGCAACTGGGAATAAGAAGAAGATAAAATGGCATGGAAGGGATGAATCTGAAAGCAACTGGAGAACTGTATTTACAGGGCCTGGTAAATAGAAATGGTTAAAATAAAAGGAATGAAAGTAAGATTATTCCAAAATTCTGTAGCTGGGTAACTATGAGACTTTTGCATCAACAAAAGAAATAGAAATATCTGGATGGAAAGCAGGTTAGTTGGATTTTAGACATGTTGCTTCAAGACTCAGGAATTTTATATATACCCCT
Organism: Homo sapiens; assembly: GCF_000001405.40. Taxonomy (NCBI): domain Eukaryota; kingdom Metazoa; phylum Chordata; class Mammalia; order Primates; family Hominidae; genus Homo; species Homo sapiens. The sequence continues at coordinate 3,594,983 of NW_018654717.1, forward strand.
ATCAGCTGTTAGACATTTTTTTTTCTGAAAATCATATTTAAATTAACTTGCTCCTTTTTTAAAACCTTGACTTAGTTATTATACTGAGGAAATCACAAGCTTGTTGGGCTAGTTATTTCTATCTAGTATACATTAAAATAAAATTACTAAGAATAAAGATTATCCACGTGTCAGTTAAAGTCATCTTGCACATAAAGCAAAGGTCACTGCAAAAAGAGCTACCTCTAGCTTCTGAGAGTCATTTTACTTTGGGTGGGGAGAGAAAACTAGTTTTAATGAAAAAGACGTCCTCTTGCTTGGGCTTAAAAGGTTGTATGGTACAGCAGGAGTAATAAGAACTAACTTTATAATCAAGTTCACAATGAATTATGGGAGGCCATGCTTTTGTCTTCAAGAATTTGAAATCAAAATTTATCTGGTCACTTTCCATGAAAATACATAGGTTAACCATAAAAATGTCCACAAGCAGTCTTCCAAGTGATAGCATTTATGTTCTAGGAATTGCAGTGTAAATAAAATCTGTCTTTCCCATATAAAAAGTGTTCCTACCTATGTTCATAGGTACAAAGCTATGTTATAAAGGAAGGGCCAAAGTCACATGGGTACTATATTTCATTAACTAGAAAGGATACTATATTATTCAACATAGAACTTGGCAAAGTATCTATGGGAAACAGGACAATTTAGTTTAGAGACTTCCAAGAGAGTAACTGTGAAGATAGGAGGTGAGGCTATGATGTGCCGAAGGTTTTCTTCTGGGACCAGAAATAAAATAACTACATTCCACACCCCACTGGCATCCATGAGTAGGAACACAGGCAATGAGACATAGAAGCATGTCAAAGAGCATCAGAAAACAACGGCTCCCCTGGCTTAAGCCAAACAGATATGAATTAAATGCGTTCAATGCATGCACCCTCACTCCTCCCCGACTATACAAATACATTGACCATCATCACATATTACTGATATAGAATGTTAATGGGAGAAAATGCTAAGGGTTAAAGTTATGGAAAAGGTTATCAAATTTATTTATAATGGAAGGCTAGATAAATAACATTTGCAATTAAAATAAAAATAAATTTGATTGCTTGATGATTGGGCCAGACACAGTTCAATACAAAGAAAGGTAGTATCACCTGTCTGGAGGGAAAGAACTGTGCTTGGTAATATACATTAAATGCAATCGTCTATGTATTGATCAATAAAAGGCTATAGAAATTATTCTGGCTAAAAGAAAACCAATGGAACCATTTACTCAGAATGAAACTGCAGTAAAAAAAGAACAATGAAACTGATGAAACCAGGACAAGCTGTCAGAAGGAGTGACTAGGAGACTAAACTATTAAACTATTCAAATCAATAAAATGTGATAAATACGCCACAGGAAGTCAGTTACTGACAATGCGAATATACGATATAAATTTAAAAAGAACACATAAAATTATAATGCAAACTGACTAAAAGAAGAAAAATGAACATTCTTTAGAAAACTTTCATCAGTAAATTGGAATTATTTGTTTGAGTTAAGGTCTTTGGTTTATTTAGCAAAGATGTGTTTGAAATTTTACAATTATTGTGGAAATGATTTGGGAAGAACAGCTATAGCTGTAATATGGGAACAGCAGAGTATAATGGTTTTAAATCAGCTTTCACACCTTCAGTTAGGGAATAAGGATGAAGCAGTCTTACTATTTAGGATATTGTCCTAAGAAAGCTCCAAACCAGAGGATGAATAAATGGTTGGAAAAGAAAATGATTTTATAGACAGCAGTCTATAAAGTCCTAACCATTAGACGCAAAGGCACCTGTGATGCATCACTGTATTAAAAGCTGACACAGCAGCACAATATTACTGAGGATTTTAACTCTCTGAACATTTATAAGCATTAGGTTTTACAGGTAAAGGAAGTGATAGGATAAATGTCATTCAGCCCAATTTTACACAGCTAGTAAGAGGGTAAAAATAATTAGAATTAAGGTCTTCTTTTAGTCCAGTGCTATCCCTACTCGGCTGTTCTTATCATTAAGAGCATTAAAGATGAACTATAATGAAAAAATGTAGCTAAAAAAAAGAGAGAAAGCAGAAAAAAAATCTTAACAGTATAATTGATATAAATAAGAAAAAAGACCTGGTTTTTAAGTTAACTCCAAACTGACTATAAGCCTAGAAGGGAACCATAATGGGCCAAAGGTGCCAGTGAAATACTGGAAAATTATGTCATATAAAGAATAATTGAAAAAACAGATTTATTCTAAAATAGGGGAAGATGTGTAGAGGTGGGTGATTGAAAGGGTGACACCTCTGATAAGTTGACTAGGTCTTAAAAAGATATCTAGGGCCATATTATGTTGTAGTGGGCTGAATGGTGGCCCTCAAAATGATACGTCTATGTTCTAATCCCCAGAACCTGTGAATGTCACCTTCCTTGGAAGAAAAGTGTCTGCAGACGAAATTATGTTAAGGGTCTAGAGATGAGGAGATCACCCAGGATTATACTGGTGGCCTCAAATTCAATGCAAATGTCCTTAGAAGAGATAGAGAGGACAGGAAGGCAATGTGAAGATGGATGCAGAGACTGGAGTAGCATGGCCACAAGCCAAGGAAGCTGCCAACCATCAGAAGCAGGAAGAGGCATGGAATAGATTCTCCCCTACAGCCTCTGTAGGGAGTATAGTCCTCTGAAACTGAATACATATGTAGACTGGAGATTAGATCTCTGTGCAAAACAGGGTAAGCGTAAGCGTAAGCTGAAAACAAAGGAATTATACCTATGGGCAGATTTTGGCACACTTTAAGTTACAAGCATTCTATTACACCTGTCCCAAATTGTAACAAGATATCTTCCTTGGCTGGAGGACTAACATGGGTGTTATTATACAAGGGTGATCCCTACACCTGGGAGAATAATTTTTCTCTAAACACCTTTCCCATTCTTAAATTTCATGTATATCAATAGTCCATTTAAATTCAGGAGTTACCATCATTCAATATTTAAAGCTGATCATAATAATGAAAGCATACAATATTACAACTCCTTATCCTGTATGAAAACAGTAAAACAAACAGAAGAATCCTAATTCATAAATGCCCTAATGATGACTCCATCCTTAGACCTTCACAGACATTTAAGATGGATCCCAAAATAGGGTGGGTCTATTGGAATGTATGGCCAACTTTTGGTTTAATATTATTTAAGACTCCAAGTGGACAACAGAAACTTCATAAAGGGGCAATTTTTTAAAAGTGCAGTTGTCTAAGTACTACTGTGCTTTCCAAATTAATGGGCAACTGCTTCAGGAGCCTAGTCACATGAATAATGAAATGAGATGAATAAAGACTGACATTTTTCGGAAACAAACAACCAAGGACAATCATGAAAACATTCTTTTGAGGTAGTTGCATGGTCTAAGTTTTGACATGTAATAAAATGCATAGTGCTAGACTGCTTATAAAGATAAAATAAAGACTCATTTGTTAGACAATTTTGGGGAGAAGTATAAAATACTGGGCTCCTCTGGCTTCTTATAGAAATGTGTTGTGGGTTTAAGAATAGCTCGTAAGAAGCAAAAGAGGAAGAGGTGGGTGGCAATTAATAAGTCTTTCTTTTTTTTTTTTTTTTCGAGATAGGGTTTTGTTTTGTCGCCAAAGCTAGAATGCAGTGGCACAATCACAGCTCACTGCAGTTTCAAACTCCTGGGCTCACATGATCTTCCTGCTTCAGCTTCCCAGCAGCTAGCACTACAGGGGCCCAGTAAGTCACCATGCTCAGCTAACTTAAAAACTTTTTTTTTTGTAGAGATGGGGGTCTCGCTTTGTTGCCCAGGCTGGTCTCAAACTCCTGGGCTCAAGCAATCCTGCCGAAGCATTCCAAAGTGTTGGGAGTAAGGTGTGAACCACTGCATCCAGCCTAATCTTAGTATTTAATTTAAATGACTCAAATATATACAAGAGTATTTACCTGTTCTGTTTCAAAGATATCCCGAAGGTGTTCAAGGCCAAGGCTTTTTAGAAATTGGCTGATATTCATGTCAAGACCAGCAACTAAAACAGAAACATATTAAAGATTCTCAGAAAGAATTCTCTAAATATAAAGAAAATTTCAGTATCCATTTAGACATGACTCTGACAACCTTGGCTGTCAGATGATTTTCCATGGCATAAAATAATACAGAATACACAGATTTAATTTAGACACTTTATTTCTGAAGTTGATTGGGAAGTAAAAACAGAGTGTTTTATCTTTATCAAATTAGTATTTGTATTCTAATATTATGGTTAGAATATAGAATTATAACTTATTGTAATTTATAAAAATATAGAGAATATTATACTAATTTTAACATTATAGTATAATTCTTATACTACAGAATGCTACTTATATAGAAACATCTAAAGCTTTTAATGAATTAAAAAATCTAAATGTATCAGCTATCATTTTAGTTTTCATTCCTGAAATGACCTCTCAGTTGTGTTCTGACACAATTTCAGTATAAGTGGTTCAATAAGATGCTATGGTTGTAAACAGATGCTCTAGAATATACAGAAATAAGAACAACGACAATGCCAAGAAACGTGGCAGCCTTCTATGAAGAAATATTTCTTGTAAGATGTTGTGTGTATGAAAATTTACAGACAGGACGTCTCTAATTGAGGCATTCAATAGTTATCAATAGAAAAAAGTCATTCTGCTCCACTAACAAAAGGTATAAATAAATAAGCATTCATGGGGTCTACTCACCTTCTCCTTCCTTCCTTTCTGTTCCCGCGGCGCCATCCCCTGCATTGGAGGCTCCTCCTACGGCCAACTCTGCTAAAGGGCCAGTGAGGTTGTCTATGCTGCTGGCAGCCGAGAGGCAGGAGGGGGTGGATGCTGGTGAGATCAGAGAGGCACTCACTACAGTAGCCTGAGGTTTAAAACAGGTAGGTAAGGCCTCTGGGGGCATGGCATCTATCAGCAAAGCTCTGATATCGTCAGCCTAAAAAAATGATTAAAAACAAAAACCATGAAAATACTATATATTAAAATGGTAAGTTTTTCACTGATAACCAAATACTTTGTGGATTTTTTCCTTAATGAATGCCTCATTATCACCTACTGGTTTTTGATCATTCCTTCTCCTATCCACAGCTCCAAAGAGTTTCAATAGTTTCAGTAGACAGAATTGGAGAAACTATGTAATTTTTAAAGATATTTCTTCTTTCATTTAAAAAAAAGCACTTTCAGTGTTAACTGTCACCCTTCTTTAGAAAAAATTTCTGTGTTTACTATATTTTGTTTACGTTTAAACAGCTATAATCTGGTTATTTACTTCACACTTAATAATTTCATGTACAATTAACATCTGGTGAAATTTCAAAGGGATGACACTTTAATTTAGCTCATTTATTCATAAACTTTTCAGTTTTTAAGTATTAGATGCAACTGCTTTTCGAGTATGCGGGAGATAGTCTCCAAAGACAGCCACCCATCAATTCCTTCCTCCCGTCATGTATGCCTCCCCTTGAATTTCTGCCCCCTACCCGCCGAATGTGGTTTGCCCTGTGAGTTGTCTTGACCAATAGAATGGAGAAGAAGTGACATTCTGAGGCTTTTGAGCCAGGCTTTAAGTGGATTGGCAGTGTCTACTTTTACTCTCTTAGAAGCCATCTGCCATGTTGTACAGAAGTTTGGGCTAGACTACTGAGTGGTGAGATCCTATGCAGGGAGAGCCCTGCGGGATGAAAGGCCATCTTGGAAGCTCCAGCCTCTGCTGAGTTCCCAGGTGCAGGTAACTGCAAAACCAGAACCACCCAGCTGAGCCCAGTCAACTCCCAGACGTGTGAGAAATAATAAATTGTCACGTTAAACCCTCAGTGGGTTTGGGGGTGGCTTAGTGGGCAGCAATAGAGAAATGAAATGCACACCAGTACCTGGAAGTGGGGTGCTGGTGGACATGTGGCTTTGGTTGGAGGCGTGAAGGGTGGCCTGGTTATTGCTGAGGGAGGCTGTGAATGGAAGATAGATAGGCAAGTGCTACTGAAGGCGAGAGAAAGGGGACTAATGCTGTGTAGCAGAAAGTTTGGCAACGCTGCCACAGGAGGTCTTACGGAAGGTAGAACGTAAACCTAAATAAATTTGTAAATTTGGCTAAGGAAATTTCCAGAACAAATTCTGCCTTGTCAACTGGACTGGTGTGTTTATCTGCCCATGATAAGGTACAGGAAGAGAGAAAGGAACTGTCCAGTTCTCTTTAAGGAAATGTATTCACCTAACATTTGCTAGCTTAGAAAACAAAATTATTCACCATTCCCAGCCTCTCCATCAGCAAAAGTTTCTTCAAGTAAGGCACAGCCTCAGGCCAAAGGTCAAATCCAGCGTGCTGACAGGAAAACATGGCCTCAGAATAAAAATCAACTAGAGGTACAGATATATTACCTCAAAATCTTTAAAAAACCTCTAAGGTGGTACCTTGTGAATTCCCTTGGCTAGATGAAAGAGCTTCAAAGGATCTTATGGGCATTGTCCCACTGCACCTTTACTTGGATTCCATGTTAGAGAGGGACCTGTCTTGAAAAGATTTGTGGGTGGAGCTTTTGGCTGATGGAGTGGTGTGTAATTTGATGGGAAATCCAAAAGTTTACAAAGGAAGAGTTGTACTAGTTTGGACTAAAAGGGACAGGTAGATCAAAATGATAAAAGGCTCAGGGTCCCGAAAATTTCTAGGAGCAGGGAACAGGTTGAGAAAGCCACTTGGCTGTAAATATGATCCATTTCTTATGAAAAGAGAAGGATAATTCAGAGGGCATGGCCAAGAGCTACAGAGGCTATGTACAGTGGTTCACACCTGTAATCCCAGCACTTTGGGAGGCTGAGGAAGGACGCTGAGGGAGGAGCCCAGAAGTTCAAGACTAACCTGGGCAACATAGCAAGACCCTGTCTCTACAAAAAGTAAAAACAAAAAAAATAGCCAGGCATAGTGGCATGTGCCTGTAGTCCCAGCTACTCAGGAGATTGAGATACGAGGATGGCTTGAATCTAAGAGGTTGGGGTTGTGGTGAGCCATGATCACGCCACTGCACTCTGGCTTGGGTGACATAGCCAGACTGTGTCTTAAGGGGGAAAAAAAAAAAAAAGAAAAGAAAAAAAAGGAAAAAAAAAGACAGCCACAGTGAACCACTCCCTGGGAGCAGAACTGGGCCCTAATCAGGGATCATTCCCTAACTCCAGAGTAGATGGCCCTGATAACATGTGTCTGGCTGAATTTTAGAATTGCTAAGGACCCAGTGATGACTATCTGCCCCCTGTTGGTGGGGGGAGCACGTGGCAGGTGAGTGTAATTTGAATGTGGGAAAAATAGATTTAATTTGTATTCACAGGGAAGACTGTGGCTGATTAAAGATGGCCACGAAATTTTTGCTTCTCCTTTCAAAGAAGGTGGAATCTGTTTTCCTATCCCTTGAACCTGAGCTGACTTCATGACTTGCTTTGCACAACAGAATGTGGCAGAAGTGACAGCATGTCAGTTCCAGGCTTAGCCTTAAAGAACAATGACAGCCTCTGCTTTCTCCCTCTTGAGATACAATTATTCTGTGAAGAAATTCTAACAAGACCACTTAATGATGAGATGCCACATGGGACTAGAGAGGCCCGTGCCTTCTAGTTGTATCTGTCAAGGCCCCAGGCATATGAATGAAGCCGTCTTTATGTTTCTGCCCCAGCCACCAGCTATATGCAGTTGCACAAGTGACCCCAGGTAAGACCAGAAGAATCTCCTAGCCAACACACAGAATCATAAGAAATAATAAGTCATTATTATTTTAAGCCACTGGGTGTTTTGAAACAGTTTGTTATGCAGCAATCAATAAATGAAACAGAACATAACTTGAAAAAACATTTCTGGCTTAAAAATTAGAAATTACTGTGACTATACAGTAACTCCCTGGTTTTCAGAAAGTTCACGGAAGATGATGCAGTGCTTAACTTTGCAGTTAAATAATACTGCCCAGAGTTAATTTTTCTTTGACTATCTCACAGACTTAGGTAAATTATCATGAACATTAGTTGCTCTACAATAACATGCCAAATATAGAAGGTACAAGATATTTTACTAAATATAATTCTTTGAGGGTACACTCTAAAAACATGTTTTCTTAAGATCCATGTTTTCCCAGCAGGCTAAGAATGGCAAAAAATTAAATTAACTTACTGTTTAGTTTGTCTTAAGAGTTTTAAATTATATTTTCATAGAAAAAGTGTGAACTTCAAAAATTTTCAGAAGATCTCTGTTCTAAGTGAAATAAACACGACTAAAAGTAAGCTGGTGAACCCGAGAATCTGATGTCATCTGTGAAAGTAGAAGGAACAATAATCAGTATCTGAAATGAGGACTTACTGTTGCCAGATCCAGAGGCGTCTGGCCTTCCTGGTTCTTCATGGTGGGGTCTGCACCATGCGCTAGGAGGAGGGCGCACAGCTGCGTCCTTCCTTTCTGGGCTGCTTCATGGAGGGGAGTAAACGCCCACTTATCTGTTGCATTTACACACGTGTTGTATTTTATCAATAAAGCCGCTATGTCAACATGCTGAAAAAAAAGAAAAGGATACAAAGAGTTAAGAATGAGATCATCTGGTAAAGCACCATTGTGTATACCTGTTTTTATTTAACAATTCACTCCTCTGTATCTCCATTTTCATCCTTAACAGAAGTTTCTTCTAAAAAAAAGAGTATTTCAGTCTTCTACTTACACTTTGGACTCCATCTTTTCTTGCCTCCTTCAAAATCTCAATTACACAATTATACTATTACCCTGTAACTGTTCATGGGCTTTTTTTCAAAAAATGCATCCCTCTAATATATTCAACTTTATTTTAAAAACAAATACTTTGTAAGGTGTTTCATTCTGTAAAGTGAAACTAGTACCTAATTCAAATCTTCTGTTAATGGTCTAATCTATCTGCCAAACTTTTCAAATATGCATTCTATTCACATTGATTCTCTTATCTTCCCATTTCTTTTCTACCTACTGCAATCAGATTTACTGAAATACTCATCTCAAAGATTCTCAATGTTTTCTCTTTAGCCTTTGAAAAAGCAACATAACATTTTATGAAAATTGGTCTGTTATGTCTAAATGATTGCCGGGTGGAGGAAATGTTAGCAGCAGACATGCTAATAACCTGGGCATGAGGTGATGAGACCCTGAACCATTGACAGTTACAGAAAAATGGAAAAGAAGGGCTAAATCTGAGAAATTTTGAAAGAAAAAAAATTGTGTTTAAAAGCCAAATTCACAACAGAAGAGAGAGAGAGAAAAGTCAAAGATGACTACATTTTTTTGAGGGGGGGAAGGAGGGGGGAATCTGGAAGATTAGAAAATAAGGTAGAACTATTAAAAGAAATTGAGTTGTAAAAGTTTAAGTAGGGGCTGGGTGCGGTGGCTCACGCCTGTAATCCCAGCACTTTGGGAGGCTGAGGTGGGCGGATCACCTGAGGTCAGGAGTTCGAGACCAGCCTGGCCAACATAGTGAAACCCCGTCCCTACCAAAAATACAAAAATTAGCTGGGCATGGTGGTGCATGCCTGTAATCCAAGCTACTCGGGAGGCTGAGGCAAGAGAATCACTTGAACCCAAAAGGCGGAGGTTGCAGTCAGCTGAGATTGCACCACCGCACCGCAGCCTGGTTACCAGAGCAAGGCTCCGTCTCAAAAAAAAAAAAAAAAAAAAAAGTTTAAGTAGGTATGAAACTCTCAGATAAGGCTCACTGAGGTAGGCACCTTCTGAGGTAAAACATCAAAGTAAAGACATTGTGCAGATCGTTTGTCAGAAAAGGTTGGAGCACAGTCGAGGGGGCATCATTCACTTACTCACTCTCCCACCACTCACCTACCAACCAGCATTTGCTCAATACCTATGGAGGGCTGAGGACTGGGGCTGGGGGCTCCAGGGAGATTACGAAATGGAATAGGGGATTAATAGTTGTAGCTACTTGATAAATGAGCTCATTAAGGAAAGGAATACAGAAAGATAATTACAAGGTGGATAAAACCTTGACAACAACAATATTTTGGAAAAGGAGAGTGGAAGAAAAATCCTCAGAGGAGACAAAAGGAAAAATGGAAGCTGGAGAAGAACTATAAAGGAGCAGGACTATAAAAGCCAATACAGAAGCAAGTTCCATGGAGACCAGGTTCACTCAAGCAAGAGCTCCACATAGCAAAAGGCTTCAGCTTCTTCCCAAAAATCCTTATAAAATAAGCTAAGACAATCGATCACACAATAGGCACTACTGATTCAACAAATAGGCTTTTTAAGAATATTAAAAATAACTTGTATATTTTTATAAATACATTTAGGATGTTAGGCTGGTTAGCACTTAAGTATTTCTGAGATCCATTTCAACTCCAGTATGCTATAATTTGGTGCAACTGGCACATTTGTGTCCCTTACAGACACATTTCTGGGCATAACTTGGTCAGTTTGGATAATTAACTCAAAAGCACATCATCTATTGAAAATAAATTTCTAACTCATGCTGCTGCTCGACTACCACACATTGAGGCTTTTAAGGAAGACATTTATGAGAATGGGAAAAGACAGGGAAGGCCAAGAAAGATCCCAAGATGCAACTTAATGCATGTCACTTTCTATCTTCCTTAAGATATCGTCTTCCCTGCACTCTTGAAGACACTCACTTCAAAAAGAACAGGCACTTTTTCTGAGGTAGTATTTAACTTTATGTAATATAAATATCTGTATTTCCTAATTTTAGAAATAGTAGTTTCTGAAAACAAAGTGAAGAACATTTATCTAAAAACAAAAGTACAGATCAGCCAACTACTAAGGAAAGCTTCCACATTTGCTCTAATAATACAAAGCAAAAAACGCCCCCAAAAACAAAAAATAGGCCAGGTGTGGTGGTTCAGGCCTGTAATCCCACCACTTTGGGAGGCCGAGGCCAGCAGATCATTTGAGGTCAGGAGTTTGAGACCATCCTGGCCAACATGGCGAAACCCCATCTCTGCTAAATACACAAAAATCAGCTGGGTGTGGCGCCACACACCTGTAATCCCAGCTACTTGGGAGGCTGAGGCAGGAGAATCGCTTGAATCTGGGAGACGGAGATTGCAGTGAGTCAAGATTGCACCACTGCTTTCCAGCCTGGGTGAAGAGTGAGATTCCATCTCAAAACAAAACAAAACAAAAAACCCCATAAACAAAAAATAAAATAAATAAGCAGCATAATCAGACTAAGTCTTCTCAGAACAGGATGTTTTGTGATTCTTCTGGGATTATAATATCACTATAAAATTAATTCTATAGCTTAATTATTTTTAAATTTTCTAACACAAAAGATGAAAACAGAGGTACCACTCGTGGTATTATCAAAATCACCTAAAACAAAACCAAACCTAGTAATTTATCTCCCTTATTCAAAGGCTATATGTTGAAAAAAGGCAGCAATTTTTGTTAAGTTAACCCAAAAGCACGGAATAATTTCAAGCTTCTCCCCAGTGAGGTTACAAGCTACTTAAACTGTGTTTCTGATGATTAATTTTATTGAACTCCCATGTTTACAGGCTGAATAATATAATCTGGTAGACTAATTTACACAGGCTTCCAAAATTACAAAAAGTCCAAGGAAAATTACCTGTTTCTGTATGTGTGTATAAAATGAATTGTATATCTGGTATGTATTATTAAGCTTTCTTTATATTGAAGTTATAGTTTATGCTTGGACAAACCAACTACATGCTTGTGAAATTTTCTGACAAATGTCTGAAAGAACAATGAACAGGAAGGAGTATATTACTACCCAAATAGACTAAAAATACAGTTCTTAAGCTGTTTAATTCTTTTAAATAGCTACACCATTGAGGCAAAAATAGTAACTGGAATTTAAGGCTGACAAATCCAATAAATAGCAGTTCAGTTCTATTCAACACAGTATATAAGAGCAAAGTATTGAACTAGAAGGTCCAGAAAAGAAACTGATCTCTGTTGGAATGTTTCCAGGAGAAACAGACAATTTAACCTAGTTTCAGAATCCAGCTGCAATACAAAATGCTTTAAATGACAAATACAACCTAAAAAGACTGGGAAGCTTTTAATTTTAAAAAGGTGGGAAGTAGGGGAAAGAGAAACATGCTTGGCTTCAGTTAAAGCCATTTAATTGTACAGAGGCTTTATTACAATTATGTCATGAAATTCCCCAAATGTTATCCATTTTAGAGAAAGCACTGGAAAATAAAAACAGTTGAGAGAAAATGAATCAGTCAATTGATTTACTCTTATAAGATATAAATTTACATGCTTTGTGGTAATAAGTATCAATGCCATTTACTGACTTAGCAGAAAAGTTAACTGTCTTGTATAAACATGTATTCAAATATAACACAAGGCATTATTATATAAAGAACAACGACACAGTAAGGCACACTACCACTAATATCAACTCTCATGCAACTTGTAATTTTTATTGATGCTTCTTAAATAAATATGTATTTTTTTCTCCATTTGGAAAAACTGAGGTTCTTTTTATACAAAAAAGGCTCAAAGACACACACAGAGCAGATTGAGCTCTCTAGGGGAAAAAAGTAAATAAGTATGAAGGAATAATGATCAATAAATAACTACATAAGTAAATAACTATGTAATTTCACAGCTACCTCAGATTATTATTTCATCCTCAGCCTAGTCAATTAATCTGTGTTTATTTAACACAGCACTGAGCCAGTCAAATATATAGATTACTCCTAAGGCTGTGAAATGTAGGAGTGACATGCAGCCCTTATTCTGACTGGCTTAGTACAGGAACTGTGGGAAGCAAGGAATTTACTAATTTTTAATATCTATACATCTATAGATATGGATATGTATTTTTTGGTAGAAATGGGGTCTCGCTATGTTGCCTAGGCCGGTCTTGAACTCTTGGGCTTGAAAGATCCTCCCGCCTCAGCCTCCCAAAGTGCTGGGATTATAGGCATGAGCCATTGCACCCGGCCATGAAGCAAGTTATTTTATAATAACAGTATTACCTTGCATTTTTATAATGCCTTACATTAGTTAATGCAATTTCCACATGCATGGTCTCATTTAATCATTACAACAAGCTGGAAAGGAGGTCTTGGAATCCAACTTTTACTACTGAGAAAACCAAAGATGAGAAAAAGTTAGACACTTGCTGAAGACTACTGGGTTATAAAACAGAAGAGGAAAGACTAGATCCCAGATATTCAGACCCTAAGTTCAGGTTTTTCCATTAAACCACAGGTGCCTGCAGAGTTTGCTAGACTAAAACACAAGAGCCATTTTCCTTCCAAGCTGAAAATGGGAAAGAGATAATATTAGGAAGAAGAAATGATTTAAGTAGAGATCACTGGGTAACACTATACCTACAGTTGCTCTATAAATTGCTTGATTTTCAGAATAGAAGCTGTATTCCAGATGATATGCCACAGAAAATCTACTCCACAAAATGATATGTGGCCAGGCTAGTTCAAGCATCATCAAATTCATGGGACGAATACAACATAATCAGTGTTTTTCTATCCTAATAGAAATGTAGACTGGAGTCCTATGATTTCATTAAAATATCCAGCCAAGGCAGGATAGAATGAATAAAAAGGAACTTTTGAAAGATACACAGATTTATCAATCTACAAATAATAGAACACAGTTGTATCTACTCTTAAGGGGAGACAAAGTAGCTTTTTAAACTTTTTATATTGTGTTAATATTAGTACTCCTTAAATATATAAATGTATGTATTTATTACTCCTTAAATATAAGGATATACATGTATATCCTTAAATATATAAGTATATATATTTAAGGAGTACTAATAAATACTTCTTAATTTAATTCATTATATTTTAAATAAATATTTATTAAATATTTATTTATAAATAATTATATAGAGATAGGGTCTCACTATGTTGCCCAGGCTGGTCTCAAACTCCTGGCCTTAAACCATGTTGCTGTCTCAGCCTCCCAACGTGCTGAGATTGCAGAAGTGAGCCACCATGCCTAGCCTTACTTTAAGTCTATTAATTGAGATTAAGAGAAATACTACTTAATATGGTTACTGATTGGTTACTAATAATAGATTATAGGTTTTACAAGTGGCATAAAATAAAATTATTTTGCGGAGCAGAGATCGTGAACAGGGAAAATACCAACTGAGAGTCACTGTATGTCATGCGAGATTGCTGAGGGAAGTGGGTTGCCCATGTTAAAAAACAAAAAAAAGGTATTATCACACTCATGTATCTGACCAAAAAAAAAAAAAGGTAATTAAAAAAAGGTCTAGAAATCACCAGAGTCAAAGTTTGCCAAAAAAAAGTAACAGTCATCAACTCACGGATGCCTGATTTTTAAATTTACAAGTTTAATACATGAAAAAAATTTTTGAGTGACTCAATCCACCCTCACAATGAGGTAAAAATACCTGCTATAAACACATTATGTAGCCCATTTGCATTCTTCCATACAAGGATGAGATGAACCAGGTTGATCAAAACCTCTATCAAATGCCCTTTACAAGGCCTGGAGAATTTTTTGATCATTCTCACCTCAGTAAGTTACCTTCATTTACAAAGAGCTAAGCAGTAGGGATTTAACAAACATAAAAAGAGGATACCATAAAAAGAGATAGTGAAAAAAAGTGTTCATTATTTTTTCTTACTTGGAGTTAGAAAAGGAGAAGGGGAGTTATGGGTGATGGTGAATAAAGTTTATGAAAATGAAAGAGTGGACTTCCGGTCAGGAGACCGATTGCATTACACCTCTCTTCAGGTGACAGCAAGTCAGCCTCAAGGGAACGTGAAGTTAGACAAGGTCGACCAGTACTCTACATTACGCTTGAGCCACAAGAGAACCACTGTACATTTTACTGTCTTCACAGTGGTCATCGAGTGACACACACGTAGAGTAAGTAACATCTTAACTGATGGGGATCAAAAGGTAAAATACTTAGTTTATAAATTAACTTTCCTTTATCCTCTGTGACAGCTATAAAGACTGTGCAAGGTGAAGACTAATGCAGTAGAACACATCTTAACGCTATCCCATGAGAAGAATGAGGATCAAAAGGTAAAATACTTTATAAATTAATTTTTCTTTTCCTTATCCTCCGTGACTGCTATAAAGACTGTGAAAGGTGAAGGCTAATGGAGTAGAACTTCCTTACATCCACAATGTATGGGATCTACTGTAGTCTACACAGTTGACAGTGTAACATAAGCCTTACTAGATCAGTTCATTATTATAATTCTATGGCCACCATCTGTCCCTACTCATAGTAAGTTTACAGAGACGATAAAAGATCTAATTTCAGTTCTACCGATCCCATTGGCTTTATAAACCCTTAACTGAAGCTTAGCAAAAGGATTAGTAGAAAACCATATGAAGAGAACAATTATGCTAAGAAGTGCTGAAAATTTGTCTCCAAATGATATACATGTGTAAGTTATAACTTAAGGGTCAAGAATTACATGTAGGCCAGGCGTGGTGGCTCACGCCTGTAATCCCAGCACTTCGGGAGGCCGAGGCAGGCGGATTACGAGGTCAGGAGATAGAGATCATCTCGGCTGACACGGTGAAACCCCGTCTCTACTAAAAATACAAAAAAAATTAGCTGGGCGTGGTGGCAGGCGCCTGTAGTTCCAGCTACTCGGGAGGCTGAGGCAGGAGAATGGCGTGAACCCGGGAGGCGGAGCTTGCAGTGAGCTGAGATAGCGCCACTGCAGTCCGACCTGTTCTCAAAAAAAAAAAAAAAAAAAAAAAACAACAAGAATTACATATAAATGTATATGTAGTATGTTAGCAGCAAATATTTAGCATGCTAAGTCTTTGGTAGAAGTATTTGTTGCTCAGAGAAATTGAGAACCTTATGTGAAGGAAGGTTAAAATTTCTACG
Source organism: Homo sapiens (assembly GCF_000001405.40). NCBI lineage: Eukaryota > Metazoa > Chordata > Mammalia > Primates > Hominidae > Homo > Homo sapiens. The sequence goes on from NW_018654717.1 coordinate 3,610,884, forward strand.
AATTTTAATAAAAGACTACTCATCTTTAGAAAGGTAACTTTAAATACTGTAGTTTCAAGAGGATTTCAGTACTAACACTCATTAAATATGATACTTTCAATTAATTTATATCATACTTGGAAGCATAGTTTTCTTTCAAAAAACCGGATTGTTGCTTTCCTTAAAAGTATCCTCACTCAGATTTGTCCTCTCTCTGAAATACAGGTCTTTGTAAAATGGGTCTGAGAGACGACAGTCTCATTACAAAGGGCCAGGGAGAAGGCGGTAGGAGGAAGAATATGGTAATCAAGGTGGTTGGGTTGGTTTGGTTTTTATTTATAGTTTGTCAGGCTTTTGCAAATCTAGAAACCACCTTCTATCAAGAGTGATTCCAACTGTGAGAACACCTGGTACGTATGAACTGGCATCTGTGGGTTTTTACAGTCAAGAAGGGATTAAGTGGATGAACTGTCAAGCACATGAGCATTCATCCTATTTCTGCCGTGAGCCAGGCTTGAGTGGGCCTTAGTTACTTCCAGTCAGTCAGTTCTGACATACGGCATCAAGGCACTGCAATCCATCTCTCTTCCTCTTACAACTGATGACAGTGTTTGAAAGGATAACTCTGGACTTTCTTTTTTTTTTTTTTTTTTTTTTATTATACTCTAAGTTTTAGGGTACATGTGCACATTGTGCAGGTTAGTTACATATGTATACATGTGCCATGCTGGTGCGCTGCACCCACTAATGTGTCATCTAGCATTAGGTATATCTCCCAATGCTATCCCTCCCCCCTCCCCCGACCCCACCACAGTCCCCAGAGTGTGATATTCCCCTTCCTGTGTCCATGTGATCTCATTGTTCAATTCCCACCTATGAGTGAGAATATGCGGTGTTTGGTTTTTTGTTCTTGCGATAGTTTACTGAGAATGATGGTTTCCAATTTCATCCATGTCCCTACAAAGGATATGAACTCATCATTTTTTATGGCTGCATAGTATTCCATGGTGTATATGTGCCACATTTTCTTAATCCAGTCTATCATTGTTGGACATTTGGGTTGGTTCCAAGTCTTTGCTATTGTGAATAGTGCCGCAATAAACATACGTGTGCATGTGTCTTTATAGCAGCATGATTTATACTCATTTGGGTATATACCCAGTAATGGGATGGCTGGGTCAAATGGTATTTCTAGTTCTAGATCCCTGAGGAATCGCCACACTGACTTCCACAATGGTTGAACTAGTTTACAGTCCCACCAACAGTGTAAAAGTGTTCCTATTTCTCCGCCTCCTCTCCAGCACCTGTTGTTTCCTGACTTTTTAATGATTGCCATTCTAACTGGTGTGAGATGATATCTCATAGTGGTTTTGATTTGCATTTCTCTGATGGCCAGTGATGATGAGCATTTCTTCATGTGTTTTTTGGCTGCATAAATGTCTTCTTTTGAGAAGTGTCTGTTCATGTCCTTCGCCCACTTTTTGATGGGGTTGTTTGTTTTTTTCTTGTAAATTTGTTTGAGTTCATTGTAGATTCTGGATATTAGCCCTTTGTCAGATGAGTAGGTTGCGAAAATTTTCTCCCATGTTGTAGGTTGCCTGTTCACTCTGATGGTAGTTTCTTTTGCTGTGCAGAAGCTCTTTAGTTTAATTAGATCCCATTTGTCAATTTTGTCTTTTGTTGCCATTGCTTTTGGTGTTTTGGACATGAAGTCCCCACTGTCAATATTAGACAGATCAACGAGACAGAAAGTCAACAAGGATACCCAGGAATTGAACTCAGCTCTGCACCAAGCAGACCTAATAGACATCTACAGAACTCTCCACCCCAAATCAACAGAATATACATTTTTTTCAGCACCACACCACACCTATTCCAAAATTGACCACATAGTTGGAAGTAAAGCTCTCCTCAGCAAATGTAAAAGAACAGAAATTATAACAAACTATCTCTCAGACCACAGTGCAATCAAACTAGAACTCAGGATTAAGAATCTCACTCAAAGCCGCTCAACTACATGGAAACTGAACAACCTGCTCCTGAATGACTACTGGGTACATAACGAAATGAAGGCAGAAATAAAGATGTTCTTTGAAACCAATGAGAACAAAGACTCCACATACCAGAATCTCTGGGACGCATTCAAAGCAGTGTGTAGAGGGAAATTTATAGCACTAAATGCCTACAAGAGAAAGCAGGAAAGATCCAAAATTGACACCCTAACATCACAATTAAAAGAACTAGAAAAGCAAGAGCAAACACATTCAAAAGCTAGCAGAAGGCAAGAAATAAGTAAAATCAGAGCAGAACTGAAGGAAATAGAGACACAAAAAACCCTTCAAAAAATCAATGAATCCAGGAGCTGGTTTTTTGAAAGGATCAACAAAATTGATAGACCGCTAGCAAGACTAATAAAGAAAAAAAGAGAGAAGAATCAAATAGACACAATAAAAAATGATAAAGGGGATATCACCACCGATCCCACAGAAATACAAACTACCATCAGAGAATACTACAAACACCTCTACGCAAATAAACTAGAAAATCTAGAAGAAATGGATACATTCCTCGACACATACACTCTCCCAAGACTAAACCAGGAAGAAGTTGAATCTCTGAATAGACCAATAACAGGCTCTGAAATTGTGGCAATAATCAATAGTTTACCAACCAAAAAGAGTCCAGGACCAGATGGATTCACAGCCGAATTCTACCAGAGGTACAAGGAGGAACTGGTACCATTCCTTCTGAAACTATTCCAATCAATAGAAAAAGAGGGAATCCTCCCTAACTCATTTTATGAGGCCAGCATCATTCTGATACCAAAGCTGGGCAGAGACACAACCAAAAAAGAGAATTCTAGACCAATATCCTTGATGAACATTGATGCAAAAATCCTCAATAAAATACTGGCAAACCGAATCCAGCAGCACATCAAAAAGCTTATCCACCATGATCAAGTGGGCTTCATCCCTGGGATGCAAGGCTGGTTCAATATACGCAAATCAATAAATGTAATCCAGCATATAAACAGAGCCAAAGACAAAAACCACATGATTATCTCAATAGATGCAGAAAAAGCCTTTGACAAAATTCAACAACCCTTCATGCTAAAAACTCTCAATAAATTAGGTATTGATGGGACGTATTTCAAAATAATAAGAGCTATCTATGACAAACCCACAGCCAATATCATACTGAATGGGCAAAAACTGGAAGCATTCCCTTTGAAAACTGGCACAAGACAGGGATGCCCTCTCTCACCGCTCCTATTCAACATAGTGTTGGAAGTTCTGGCCAGGGCAATCAGGCAGGAGAAGGAAATAAAGGGTATTCAATTAGGAAAAGAGGAAGTCAAATTGTCCCTGTTTGCAGACGACATGATTGTTTATCTAGAAAACCCCATCGTCTCAGCCCAAAATCTCCTTAAGCTGATAAGCAACTTCAGCAAAGTCTCAGGATACAAAATCAATGTACAAAAATCACAAGCATTCTTATACACCAACAACAGACAAACAGAGAGCCAAATCATGGGTGAACTCCCATTCACAATTGCTTCAAAGAGAATAAAATACCTAGGAATCCAACTTACAAGGGATGTGAAGGACCTCTTCAAGGAGAACTACAAACCACTGCTCAAGGAAATAAAAGAGGACACAAACAAATGGAAGAACATTCCATGCTCATGGGTAGGAAGAATCAATATCGTGAAAATGGCCATACTGCCCAAGGTAATTTACAGATTCAATGCCATCCCCATCAAGCTACCAATGACTTTCTTCACAGAATTGGAAAAAACTACTTTAAAGTTCATATGGAACCAAAAAAGAGCCCGCATTGCCAAGTCAATCCTAAGCCAAAAGAACAAAGCTGGAGGCATCACACTACCTGACTTCAAACTATACTACAAGGCTACAGTAACCAAAACAGCATGGTACTGGTACCAAAACAGAGATATAGATCAATGGAACAGAACAGAGCCCTCAGAAATAATGCCGCATATCTACAACTATCTGATCTTTGACAAACCTGAGAAAAACAAGCAATGGGGAAAGGATTCCCTATTTAATAAATGGTGCTGGGAAAACTGGCTAGCCATATGTAGAAAGCTGAAACTGGATCCCTTCCTTACACCTTATACAAAAATCAATTCAAGATGGATTAAAGATTTAAACGTTAAACCTAAAACCATAAAAACCCTAGAAGAAAACCTAGGCATTACCATTCAGGACATAGGCGTGGGCAAGGACTTCATGTCCAAAACTCTGGACTTTCACCTGGAGGTTTTAGCTAGTAATTCCTACTCTCTGAAACCATATATATCAACTGCTCAACCATTTAATTTTTTTTTTTTTTTTTTTTTTTTTAGATGAGGTCTCACTATGTTGATCAGGGTGGCCTTGAACTCCTGGGCTCAAGCGATCTTCCCACCTCAGCCTCCCGAATGGCTGGGATTACAGGCGCATGCCACTGTGCCTCCTACTCGAATATTTTTAAGGTGCTGATGATAAATGTAAGCCAACATACTTTCCATGCCTGTATAACAGCTGCACAGCTTTTCTAGTTTTTAAAATATACTTGAGGTAGAATTAAGAAATTGGTATTTATTATATTATTTTATATTATATATATATTACAATATTGATAAATATAAACTGAGCACCCATTACATGCCTATTATTGTGCTTGATAACGTGCTGAGACCAAAAAGCAATAAAAAGCATGACTGTTGGCCAAAAGGTAGTTAAGCTTAGCTGGGAAGATACACCAAAACTCTGAACAAAAGATTAAAATTATGCTAAATCATGCTATTAGTTAGATATCTACTTACTTAATGCATAGTATGCATTTAATAAAGTCGTAAATGCCAGGGAAGTTTTCTAGATTTTATTTTATTTATTTATTTATTTATTTTGAGTCAGAGTCTCGCTCTGTCACCCAGGCTGGAGTGCAGTGGCGCGATCTGGGCTCACTGCAAGCTCCGCCTCCCGGGTTCATGCCATTCTCCTGCCTCAGCCTCCCGAGTAGCTGGGACTACAGGTGCCCGCCACTATGCCCGTCTAATTTTTTGTATTTTTAGTAGAGAGGGGGTTTCACCGTGTTTGCCAGGATTGTCTCGACCTCCTGACCTCGTGATCTACCTGCCTCGGCCTCCTAAAGTGCTGGGATTACAGGCGTGAGCCACCGCGTGCGGTCAGTTTTCTAGATTTTAATGTTAGTATGCTTACCCCATAAGATGCCGCATTATGAAGAGGAATTAAACCACCCTTGTCCTGGGCATTAACATCAGCTCCATGCTCTAGAAGATATTCAGCTACTTCCAGGTTATTATAGCCTGCTATTTAGAGTAAAAAAAATACAGGAAACGTGTCAGCTTAAAGGAAAAAAAATACATACATATGTAATAAGGACCAGAAAATGTTAAGGTTTTAATACTTTTTGCTTCAAAAGCTAATACTGTTATCACATAATGGAGGGACTTCACAATAAGAAATTATACAAAACTATGTCAATCAAGAGCATTTTACTAAGTAGTCCCATTTGTGTTCAGCATGGCTTTCGTCTTTTAGTAAACTGTATTAGGTGTCCGAGAAAGGAAAAGGAGGCTTGGAGGCACTGGGGGCGCTTACCTGCCAGGTGCAGAGGGGTTGAATTTCTGCCCTGGGTGTCTCTGCAGTTGATATTCTCTGGGGTACAGAGCTTCTGCACTCTTGCCAGGCAGCCCTTCTTGGCAGCATCCAACAAAGCAGCATCCCCTCTCAGTAAGTCCTGAATATCTGTGTCTCCTTCCTTTACCAAATCCAAAGGTGTATTTCCATCTCTGTTCTTTTTAGTTGGATCTGCTCCATGCTACAAAGAAGAAAAACCAAATGGGGTTTGTATTTTCTGTAGTAAGTAGGTAGGTAGGTAGGTAGGTAATTAATTTACTCTACCTTTGTTCCTCTGGGGAAGATATCTACTCTATATGCATTTTGAAAAACACTTTGCAAAATTCCTACTTAGTAATATAATGGATCAGCTTTCTAACTATTAATACTATACAGTCAAAGCTTCAGGATCAATGGTGATGATAAAGTAGGGAGAGTGTTAAGTATCTTTGAGACAACCTATATAATACACTTTTTCTCAGACTCCAAGTTGTCTTTGGAAACCTATTTTACTTTGAAGAATAGCATGGATGTTAATTTTGACCAGATTCAATTACATAAAGATACTCAGTAGGTATGAAAAAGAAGAGAGTAAGACACACTGGTAAAAAAGGACTTAATTCTAAAGGCCATCAGTAAGAATAAAGTTTGGTAATATTTTTAAGATTTTTATCCTAAGTCTTAACATCTATCATGAAATTAGATATAAATGTATTAAAAATTATAGATTTTAAAAGTTTAATTACCAATAGCTATTAAATAAAGTAAATAGAAGTCAATAATTTTTATTATGGGTCGGCCACAGACTGTCATGGGCTCACTGCGGAAATTAGTTGTAAGTCAAGGTGGACAATGGATTCACAATGACTTGGAAGTTATTTCTTACCAACCAGTGATAATAAAAATGAGTATCAGATATTGTGTTTTTCTCAAGATTCATAAGAATGTATTTGATATCATAAAAGTGAAGGGAGAAGAATTTTATTTAAACACTTCAATTTTTTTTCCGTAGTTAAAAAAAAGCAAAAGAAAATCTCATAAATACACATCTGGTCGTTTTTTAAAAATATACTTTAAGTGAGCATAAATTATAGTTAGTTTCATATAACTACTAGTTTTCACTCTTTTACATGTATCTAAAATCTATATGAACAACTTTAGAGATCATCTTATATTTTAATAAAAATCTGATACTACAATAAGTTCTTAAAGACACAATATTTGATGTTTACTAGTGAATGAGTTAGTTAACAATAATAAAATAGCCAACAAAGAAAAAAAACCCAACTTGATTGAAAAGCTTGTTTCTCCTGTACAGTTTTTTCTGATATTAATACTATAAGTACTAGACAAGCAATGCAAACTATTTCAGCTCTTTCTAAAACCTACTTTGATGAATTTTTATGACATGGACTTAAACCATTTCAGATATTCACTTTAGGCACTACGCAAAGCTATGTGTCATATCACATAAACGGTCTTCTGGGAAATAGAAAATGAGAGCAGTCTCTACAGCAGTATTGTTCTTAATAGAATAACATACCCCAACTTACTTTCAAGTAATAACCAAAATATAAATAAAATTAGTTATATTTCATAACTTTTTAAACTACATACTTTTAAAAGGAGCTTGCAGATTTCATACTTTCCTTTAGCTGCTGCTTCATGGAGAGGGGTAAATTTCCATAAGTCCGCCACATTGACAGAAGCCCCATGCCTTACTAAAAGCTCAGCCACCTCATAGTGTCCATATGAACAGGCATTATGAAGGGGCACCAAGCCACTAAACAAAAGAAAGTTATTTTAAAGTCATAAAACAAACCTTTGAGTTACAATGATTCTTATAATAAAAATCCTACCATTCTTCTATGGTACTGACTATACTGAACACTGCGCAAAAAGAAATACACCCACCTCTGTTCTTTAAGATATAGTTATCCATTTCTAAATAAGGAGTAATAATTTCAAAAATGTTCTTTCAATGTAAAGATTTTTTCCTAAGTTTCTTGGGGATGGATATATACTCACAGCAATCCTTATCTTTATGAGTTTCGCTAATGAAAATTGTATGCTTACTTATAAAAAATATAATACAATTAGCTTATTTAGGCAAGTTCTACCTTGGTAAAAAGTTGTGTAAATCATAGTGGTGATTAAATCATAGTGGTTTAATCATAGTGGTGATTCAGTGGTGATTTCCATGCACAGGTGTAAATATTGAGGTGCCAAATATTGAAAATTCATAATCCAGGTAATTCAGAGAAGTATTCAGTAAGAAAAATGACGATGTCAACTATAAGTTCTACTCAGATGAGAAATGGGCAAACTATTCTGAGAGGAGTCTAAGCTCTGATTTGTAAGCAGCTGACATTCTAAAAGGACAAAAAGATGCTCCCACAAAAGAGTACATCAAAAGAATAAAATGTTGAAGTTAACACATGGCAGAAGCAAAGTAACAAGTGCATTTTTTTTTTTTTTTTTTAGTTTTGGGATGAAATATGCTAACTGTTAAAATGAGCAATAGAAGCAAATGCTGATTGCTCTCCAATGCACTGAAACAGTTTGAAATATTCATGTCTGATGTGTCCCTTTTAAAAGATAAATAAATACATAATGGTTCGATGAGGCCTAAATCGTGCAGTTTAATTCTACTGTGCACTTGTATGTAATTACACAGAAAGCTACTGGCTTATTTTGAGATGATGTGAAATTAACTCAGAACACGGGAATTAATATCAGTTAAAATACCTTTCTCACATTTCTAAGTAGCTGCCTTAAGCTTTGCCTAGACAAAATAATTTAGCAAACTAATATAAAACATACAGTATCTGAATTAGTAAAAATAAAACTATGCTTCTAGGAATACTGATGTCTTTGGGATGGATGACTTCTTTTTAGAAGAGACTGTACATTTTTAATAGCAAAAAAGAAGAATAAACAATAACTTACAGACTATATAAAAACATTCATATAGGGCTGGGTGCAGTGGCTCACGCCTGTAATCCCAGCACTTTGGGAGGCCGAGGCGGGTGGATCCATGAGGTCAGGAGATTGAGACCATCCTGGCTAACACAGTGAAACCCCGTCTCTCCTAAAAATACAAAAAATTAGCCGGGCGTGGTGACGGGCGCCTGTAGTCCCAGCTATTCGGGAGGCTGAGGCAGGAGAATGGCGTGAACCTGGGAGGCAGAGCTTGCAGTGAGCCGAGATTGTGCCACTGCACTCCAGCCTGGGCGACAGAGCGAGACTCTGTCTCAAAAACAAAACAAAACAAAATTCATATAATGTAATAAAATACTATATACAAGCATTAAAAGAATGAGACTATTAAGTACTGATATGGGAAGACTATTCAAGATACACTACTGAGTGGAAAAAAGTAAACTGCAAAGCAGACCATATAGAATGGCACCACCATTTGTGTTAAAAATCACCACCACCACCATCGCCACAGCACACACACAAGTCTATGCATTTACAATATCTGGAGGAATAAGGTCAACATTTGAATGCTGTATCTCTGAGCAGGAGGTGGGCTGACAGGAAATTTTCAATTTCTATACTGTACATTTCTATGTTTTTTTTTTTTTTTTTTTTTTTGAGATGGAATTTCGCTCTTGTTGCCCAGGCTGGAGTGCAATGCTGAGATCTTAGCTCACTGCAACCTCCACCTCCCGGGTTCAAGTGATTCTCCTGCCTCAGCCTCCCAAGTAGCTGGGATTACAGGCATGTGCCACCACGCCTGGCTAATTTTGTATTTTTAATAGAGACAGAGTTTCACCCATGTTGGTCAGGCTGGTCTCAAACTCCTGATCTCAGGTGATCTGCCCGCCTTCGCCTCCCAAAGTGCTGGGATTACAGGCGTGAGCCACCATGCCTGGCACATTTCTATGTTTTAATTTATGTTTTAAACAAAAAATAACGATTACTTTTTTAATACAGAAAAAATCTAAGACTTCAAAAATATTTTAAATTTTTTAAGCATGAAGAGAATGACTCCCAAACAGCTAACTTCTAACACGTACCCCTTGTCTTTGGCATGGACATCGGCACCGTGGTGTAGCAGGTACTCTACAACAGACACGCGGTTGTAGCCTGCTGCGAAGTGTAAGGGCGTGGAATGCCGGCCCTCTAAGTCTCTACAATTCACATTTTGAGAGCTGCAAAGTTGCTTTCGTGGTGCACACACAAAGACAAACACAAAACGAACATTACTCTTTATTCACAGGTTTTGCCCCAAAATAGTTCAACATCTTGGATAAGTAAATTATAATTGTCTAATGAATATTTATTTCCAAAGATTAGACAATACAAATGTTTAGAAATCAGCACTATGCCTTTCAGTGACGACAAATATTTTTTATTATGTACAGAGCAAATTAATGTTTTTCAACATTTCCCAACCAAAATCGGAATCAAATAGAAAAACCCACAATAAAGCAAGCATTTCCAAAGCAACTAATCCCTTGCTGTTTTATCTTTGTAAGTCTTTCCTCCCTGAGATATGCTCTACTGTTTGTCATAGCGTATCTGCTTGTGCCAACACCAACCTCAGTTGACTGTGTAACTAGAGAGCTCTTGCCGTCTCTAATGTGAGTCAAGCAAGCAAAAAGGGTCTGGAAAATTATTTTTCTGCCTGGGCCACTCCCTGGGTCTTTTGATTGACTGTAGCAAAGTTACGTCGTCAACAGTGCTTTACTTGCCTTTTGGGGCAACATTTGCTTACCTTTACAAGTTAAACTGGTTTTTAATCATACCCTAGTTTTTGGGCTTTACTTCCATCTCTTTCAGAGATGTCCTCCAAATCTCTTCTATGTCTCCTTATCTCTCTCTGAATGCTTCAATTTCAGCACAATCTAAATTGTAAGCTCCGTTTGTTTACAAAGCAGCAGGATGGCATGGAAGGAATGAAAGACTGTATCACTGGTGGTAATAAGTGAGTAATGATAATATCTGAATAATAATTTACAGTTTATAAAGAATATTGGCCAGGTGCATTGGCTCACGCCTGCAATCCCAGCACTTTGGGAGGCCAAGGCAGGCAGATCACGAGGTCAAGAGATCGAGACCATCCTGGCCAACATAGTGAAACCTCATCTCTACTAAAAATACAAAAATTAGCTGGGCATGGTGGCGCGTGCCTGTAGTCCCAGCTACTCGCTGGGAGGCTGAGGCAGGAGAATTGCTTGAACCCAGGAGGCAGAGGTTGCAGTGAGCCGAAATCACGCTACTGCACTTTAGCCTGGTGACAGAGTGAGACCCCATCTCAAAAAAAAAAAAAAAAAAAAAAAAGAATATAATATTCTTTCAGTGAGGAAATTATTATATGTCTAAGAAGTTGATAGATAACAAACCAGGGATGGAGATTAATTTATAAATTAACTTTACAGATAAATAAATCAGGGATGAAGGTTAAGTGAGTTATCCTTGTCAAACAGTTGGTAAGGGGTAGAATAAAGACTCAAACCCTGCTTTACTGATTTTTAACCTCTTAGTCTTTCTGCTACATCATGCATCATCGCTTACTTTCCTAATTATCCAACTTGAGGGAAGTGATCAGAAGAAAGGCAATGAAAAACAGAAAAAGCAAATGAAGCAGAGCAGACAATAGCATGCTCTAGGCTATAAAGGACGATTGCAGGGTCCCTGGGGATTTTCAGGTATTCACTAATTTTGCTGCCACTTCCGTCACAGTAATAAGCTATTATTACATAAAAATTAAGAACTTGAAAAATTTCTACTGATAGAGGAAGTAGGAGTGCTACGGGTTGAATGTTTGTGTCCTTCTGGAATTCATGTTGAAACTTAATCTCCAATGCAATAGTGTTAAGGAGGTGACTGGGTCATGCGGACTCTTCCCTCCTGAATGGGGGCTTAAGGCCTTTCTAAAAGAGGCTTCACACAGCATTTGGCCGTTTTGCCCTTCCGCCTTCTGCCAAGTGAGGATACAGCATTTGTCCCCTCCAGAAGAGGCAGCAACAAGACACCACCTTGAAGGCAGAGAGACGGGGTCCCCACCAGACACTAAGCCTACGAGTACCTGGATCTTGGACTTCCTAGCCTCCAGAACTGAGAGAAATAAATTTCTATTGCTTAGAAATTGCCGAGTCTATGGTATTTTTTTATAGCAGCACAAATAGACTAAGACAAGAAGCTTTCACACAGGTAGGATAAAAACAAGCGCTTTTTAAGTGGTGTAATTTTCACATGACAGGAAGGAGTCTGGGCAGTAAAGGCGAGTTCACAGTTTCATCAACTCTATACGGAAATGCACCAGCCTCTAAAATCTGAAGAGCCATTGTAATGTGACCAGGTCAAATATCTTTTCATGACAAATGAGTCTGTGGCTATATTAATATATAAATAGCATAATTGACAAATCAAATTAAATAAAAAATGAATAAATACATAAATCAAAAAGAAAAGATGCAAAAATTGATAATAAACACCCTCTAAGGAGTCTGACATGATTGAAGCTTCTTCCTAATGCTGCTTTCCCCCACTGGTTCTTACATTCTAAATTAACTCTATTATTATTCTATTTGTCAGAATACTGACAAAATAGGAATAGGTAGGGAATGAAACACAACTCATTTTGTGAGGCTACAGAAATAGAAGCCCATCCTGCTTATTAAATATTTGATTTTTAAGATTTAGAAATTCTTTATTCTGTTTCAGTTTTCTTTCGAATGGCAAAGCAATTTCACATCCTTCCTACTTACTTTTCACAATTTCAAATGCTTTATTCAGCAGGCAGCCTTTTCTTCTAAAACCTCAGTTCTACTACTTTCTAAAGTCTCTTGGGGAAGAAATTTACCAGGCCTAATTCTCACTCAATTTGTGCTGCTTTGTTTTCTTTTGCTACTTCCATTCCACAGATCAAAATAAATTAGGCCTTCACTGTGAATGGATTGTTTAAGAAACCTAAAAGCTGTAGTATACATCTGCTTATCATATACAAAACACATGGAATTTAAAACTGTATGCTTTAAAAATAAAGTATGTATTAATTATAATAAGCACATATAGCAATTCAAGCACTGAGATGATCATGCTCTGAAAGGAAGCCTAATCGTCTTATATTTAAGAAATTTCTTTTATTAGAATACATTTCAAGTGATGAAGCATTTTTAAGAAAAAATGTACAGTTTTAGATTTAAGACAACATAAAAATTTCTCCCTAGTGGCTATCACAACTAAAATTTACTATTATTCTTTAAATAACTTAGATGCTATCGTAAGTTGGATGTGATCCTGGAAGTGCCCACATATTAAAACAAAAATAAAATTTCTAGGCAACAGAGCTTAAAACGTGTTTACCGTCACTTTCAACCAGTATATGTTATCAAGAATGCTAAAATTAGTTTGCTAAAAATCACAAAAAGTTTGCTTAAGAAGAGGTGACAAAGTTGACAGTATGTCGTAAAAAGTACTGAGTGTCAATAGCAAATTTGCTATTAACTTTTCGATAAAAATAATAAAGGCAAAGCTGGGTGCAGTGGTGCACACCTGTAGTCTCAGCTACTTGGATAGTAGGCAGGGTAAGGCAAGAGGATTGCTTGAGCCCCAGGAGTTTGAGGCCTGCCTGGGCAATACAGCAAGACCTTGTCTCGTAAAAAACAACAAAAAACAAACCCCAAAAGACCAACCTCCAAACAAAAAACTTTTGCTAACTTCATCCCTAAGTGAATGATTATAGATGGGAAATGTGTGTTTTAAAAAAGTATACTTAGTATTAGAATATGACTATATTTGAAAAAAAATAAAACTACAACCATTGTTTCTATACCACAAATACAGACTGATAAAATTTTTGAAGCAAGTAGAGCTACACAGGGAAAAAATCTATCTTCTGCATATGAATAATTCCACTGTTGAGGGATCACAGGAATGCTTTCCTAGAATAAATGTGTGAACCTCTGAGAAAAGATCAAGAAATATTCTTTCAAATGTCATCCTGCTAATGTCTGGGCTCGATCTAGTTTATACATTTTGTGAATGCAGCCAAAAATAGTAACACTGTAATTAATATAAGTGAAATTAAAAGAGCTTTCATGTAACCTGAAGAAAAATTACTAAAAACCATGTATATGTGTGTGTGTGTATGTATATATCCATCTGTCCATCTACCTATATACATACACACACATATATATACAAATGGTTTCATAAATACAAGGCACATACTGGGAATTCCTTAATAGTAGTACAGATTTTTCCTGCCCATGACTCTGTTCATCCTTTTTACTGTTTGTATTTGAGTAGATATACTTAGAAGCTTAAAAATGAATTGGTTAGCAAAGTTCAACAGTGCTATTCCAGATATTAAGGGCACTGACTTACCTTCACAGTTTCCAAGTCTCCAGCTTTAGATGCCTCTAAGAGTCGATAATCAACATCAGAAGTACGTATAGGTGTACTCTCTGCATAAAAGGAAGGAAAGAACTCATATATATATCCAAACTCATATATTCCAACTGCATTGATTTTGGAAACAAAAATGGTTCTTGAGGGATTGCAAAGTAGTTCAGGAGGAAAAATTATTTAGTTTGGTTTTACTAAATGTTGTAGCAAAACTTTGCCATAGATTTGTTATACAAACCTAGGGAAGCCACACAACTTTCAGTACTTAATGTTTACTTTTTTTATGTATGTACATATGTATGTATTTATTTTTTGAGACAGTTGCTCTGTCACCAAGGCTGCAGTGCAGTGGCGTGATCACAGTTCACTGTAGCCTCAACCTTCCAGGATCAAGCAATCCTCCCCACCTCAGCCCCAAGTAGCTGAGACCACACGTGTACACCACCACGCCCAGCTAGTTTTTGTATATTTTGTGGAGATGGGGTTTCACCATGTTGCCCAGGCTGGTCACAAACTCCTGGGCTCAAGTGATCCTCCTGCTTCAGCCTCCCAAAGTGCTGGGATTACAGATGTGAGCCACTGTGCCCAGCCTTGATTTTTCTTTTAGTCTCAATGTACTACTTTTGAAATCAGAATCATCTTGTGAAGTATAATCAGTGAACAGAAAAGGGCTACTAAATACAGACATTTGTTTAATTCACATTTATTGAATGGCTTTAGGAAAATGCAACTTTCAATGTTTGTATAATTGGAGGTATGATAGCAATGCGAAACAGAATATAATTAAATTGGGCTGTTAGGTTTAGAGGCTAACAAATGAGTTATTATTTTGATTAATCCAATGTAAATAAACTGAAAATTCATTTCACATTGACCCAAATAAAATAAGTTTTTAAAGAAAACAATTTATAATATGTCAACCAAAAGTATGTTTATGTACATGAAGTGTGGCTTTTAGAATGAGCACACATTATGTTAACACAAAAGGATGGATCTCCAGGAGGCCTACATTTTAGACTGGGCTCTATAATCTACAACTTTGGACAACTCATGTAACAGTTTAGTTTTTGCCCTTATAAAGTGAGTGCTGAAAATCTTTCAGATCTAAGATTGTATTATCTTATGATCAGAGACATCTTTTTTGAGCCCAATGTCCAAGTGGGAGGATCAAGTGATGCTATGAAGAGGTTGTAGATTTCAGGAGAGAGTGGCTTTTACAGAATAAGTTATGACAATTCTTCAGTAAAAGATAAACTACTTATTTGATCATAATAGCAGGTAAAATGCTGAGATTAAGGGAGGAAAAAAGAGAGTGTTTCATATAACAAAGTAAATCTTTGAATTATTATTCTTAAGAGTTATATTACATTTTAATTTGTGGAAATGTTGAGGAAAGGAACCAGATCTTGCTCATCTTTATATTCCTTTTCACACAGAGAGCATTCCAAAAGCATTTCCTGGATGGATTTCCACTATGTACTGGGGTCAATGAGTCTATCAAATCTTGGCTCTTTTTTTGGCTGCTCTTATTCTGTTCTTTCATTGTCTCATTAGTCTCCATTATAAGTGTGCACATACACTACCGCATTTATAGGTAAGATGCTGTGTGTATATTATGTCTCTATGACAGTGATTCTGGATTTGACAAAATTCACTGATATATCCTTTCAATATCTACAGGTAATATTTTTAGTTTTTCATTTCAACAAAATAGAGACAATTGTTTATGTATATAGTTATAACTGAGTATTTTTCGATGACAGCACTTTAAGGATACATTTAATATGGCAAAATTTTTGAAATCTAAGAACTATTTGAAATTGGAACACATATCTTGATGCGGACTGTCTACTAAAGAGTATAATTTTCCAATCAAGCAAAAAGTCTTAAGCAAATATAAGAATGCTTCTGGAACTATGAGAAAAGAATTATTAGTCCTGGTTAAAGAGGAGAAAGTAAAGATGTTTAAAATATTGGTTAATTACTATACAGATTGTAGAGACCTGCACCTATTACATATCTTGAATAAGGCCTAGGATAGACTTGTTTTTAGAAATAATGCGAAAAATGTATTAGCTGAAATGACTTACATACAGCCCAGGAACTTTGTATAAAGTGATGCACAATTAAAAGAGATATAAAAAATGAAATTAAAAAAGGAACATGAGTGAAAGAGTAGCTTGTATGCAAAGTACTATATTAGTAAAATTCTTTGTAAGTATGCTAGGTTTGTATAACATGAAATTTATTTATTTGTTTAGTTCTTTCTTTTTAGAGATGGGGTCTCACTATGTTGCCCTGGCTGGTCTTGAAATCCTGGGCTCAAGTGATCCTCTTGTCTTAGCCTCCTGAGTAGTTGGGACCATAGGCATGCACCACCATACCCGGCTAATTTTTAAAAATTTTTAAGTAGAGACGGGGTTTCGCCATGTTGCCCAAACTGGGCTTGAACTCCTGAGCTCAAGCAATCCTCCCACCGTTGCCTCCCAAAGTGCAGGGATTATAGGCGTGAGCAACCACACTCAGCCTGTAGAACATGAAATTATAGTCACCTAGAATCAAAGATTAAAGATGGGCTTCTTATTTTGTCTCCAATCTTTTTCTGGCTCATTAGAGTTTTTAAAAAGTTAGAAACGCTAGGAAGCAGCCTATTTTTAAAAACATCTTTTATAGACTTAGTAGTTTGATCAATATTAGACTACTGGACTGGCAACAGGTCTTAATGGCTTATTTCAATGTGCCACTGTAAATGGGGTTTCAATGTTTAATTTAGCTATCATAAGCCTAATCTTTACCTGTGTAGATAAAAGTAATGCTTATCCCACACTGGGTTATACAATCGCAAGAATTCAGGTCAAGATCGAACTTAAAAGAAATGACCAAAAGAACTGTCTGTGGTGCTAGAAATAGTGTTATTTGTGCTATTATGCTAGCCATTAGCCACGTGTGACTACTGAATACCTGAAATGTGGCTAGTGTAACTAATGGAAAGATTTTCCATTTTATTTAATTTTAATTAGTTTAAATGTAGCCAGATGTAGCTAGTGGCTACCATATTGGAAAGAGCAAGTCTAGAGAAAGAAATCAAATCTTTGGAAATAATGTTTTAAAGTGCTAATTCATAAAAAGCTGCTTGTCTTGTTTTCTTTACATTGATGTTAGTTTTGACACAAATATTGCCAGCAGTTTATAATGAAAACTTTATTAATGTAAACTTCTGGCAACTACAGACTTGGGAGTTGAAAGTGCAGGTTTCTAAAGTAGATCTCAAGCCCAGTATTAACAAGTGTATTTAAATGAATCTTATAAAATGTTATCCAGAACAAAACAAATTACTATACATCTTATTTGAGTGATATTAATATATTCTTTCAAAAGTCATTATAGATATAACCTGATATTGGGTTAATAAATAACTAAAAGTTCAGCTAATGCATGGTCCATAGTCTACAGAGACATACAAATTCCTGGTAAAAATAGTAGTTTAAAAACTTATATCCTATTTCAAATAAGAAACAATTCCCATTACAAAAAAAAAAAAAACCTTTTGGAGGGCAAAATTTTCCTATATATATTTTTTATTTGTATTAGCTTTCCAGATCAATAAAGAATTAAATAAAAAGTTCTGCATGTTCTAAATTAAGCATTTAATTACCTATATAATGTCTTATTTCAAAAATCAATTTTAAAGGAGATTTATCAAAATAATCGAAAAAAAATATTTCATTTGTATTCAGTAGTTTTATCTTTTGCCAGAACTCATATATTCTAACTGCATTCAGTAAGAAGACATTTTAAAAGTATTATATGGATCTGATATGCTTGATTTATTCAATACTTTCTTCTCCATTTTGTTAATTATCTCTAAAAGCTATGCACATAATTTGAGGCAAAGCTATGTGTTTGCCTGACTTATGGTTAAAACATACAGAAACTAACTTAAAATTCGGTACTAAATGATTCTCAGTAAAATGAGAAAATTTAGAAATTTTAACAAAAATCACAACTTTTAGAAATCATTAGAATTTACTGAGAGGGAAGAAATATTTCCTAGGCAAGGAGTAATATCTCCTTTAAGCAAATGTTCTATCACTCCATAAAAACAGGAAGTCAAAGTCTTTTTTTTTGAGTTCAAGCTTGAAATTTATATAGAAAATTTCATTTGTTCAGCTGGATCTTACTCATGTTGACAGTGAAGACATGCTGGATAGATTTCCTTCTAAATCTTCCCGTCTCAAGATCACCATTAAGGCTGAAGTAGAATGATCACTATCTACGAATGACCTAGCATGAGGAAAATAAATCCTCATCAATAGTTTTCACAATGTTGCACAATTAGTTTTATTATGCTATTTAGCTCTGATCTTCCTATAACAATATACACATATCATAATCTCTACAAGCCCTAGAAGGGTCCCTGTTGCATCATATAGCAGTGATTCTCAACTGGGCTGTATTTCTTGGGGTCCCTTTAGAAATCTGTGGGGTCATGTTTTGTCTTCTAATATAGTCGTGTCCAATCTATTTACATAAGAACTATAAATTATTTTATTGTAACTTACTGCTATTTTCCCTTTATATTATAGTTAGGGCATTTTTTTCTTTCTTTTTTTTTTTTTGTTGAGATGGAGTCTCGCTCTGTCACCCAGGCTGGATGGAGTGCAGTGGCGCGATCTTGGCTCACTGCAACCTCCGTCTCCTAGGTTCCAGTGATTCTCCTGCCTCAGGCTCCCGAGTAGCTGGAATTACAGGCACGCACCACCACACCCGGCTAATTTTTTAACATTTAGTAGAGATGGGGGTTTCACCAAGTTGGCCAAGGTGGTCTGGAACTCCTGACCTCGTGATCCGCCCACCTCGGCCTCCCAACGTGCTGGGATTACAGGCGTCAGCCACCAAGCCCGATCTAGTTAGGGCGTTTTATATAGATTTTTGGGAATGTACCTATACAGTTAGGTCATATTATCTATGAATTTCACTTCTGAAATGTCATAAGGATATGTCATAAGACATTCTTTATAAAAAGCGGGCACTGTACCTGATAGAGTTAAGAACTACCAGACTGTAGGTAGAAAAAAGTAACCAGGACTTCTACATTTTACTCTTCTGGTTTGTCATTTCATTCCATAGCAGATATAATCCACAGACAAAATTAAAAGGTTAGGAAAGAGGTTAATTATACTACACTTTTGATTCTAGTTCATTTTGTCAGTAGGTAGACTGCATTACTTCCTCTAGTTTTGGGACTTAGGAAGCCAGTATCTATTTTCTTATCAATTTATATTTAAAATATCTAACACTATACCAGGCAGACAATGAAACATTCAGCAAAATTTTATAATTTTATATATATATATATATATATATATATATATATAATTTATTTATTTATTTTTGAGACAGAGTTTCACTCTGTCTCCAGGCTGGAGTGCAGTGGCGTGATCTCGGCTCACTGCAACCTCCGCCTCCCGCGTTCAAGCAATTCTCCTTGCCTCAGCCTCCCAAGTAGCTAGGGCTACAAGGCATGCGCCACTCCGCCCAGCTAATTTTTGTATTTTTAATAGAGACAGGGTTTCACCATGTTGGCCAAGATGGTCTCGATCTCCTGTCCTCGTGATCTGCCTGCCTCGGCATCCCAAAGTATTGGGATTACAGCAGTGAGCCACTGTGCCCAGCCTATAATTATATTTAAGCCAGAAAAAGACAAGATAATTTTATAATAATGCAATGAAGTTAAGAATTTTAAAAGTATGTCAGAATTTTACACAGGTAGGAACAATTAATTAAATGTCACTACCATATGAATGATTTATAATTTTCTCTATTTGATAGATTTTATAGCTACCATAATTCCACACTGTTTATATGAGTTTTAAGTCACCTTTGATCAGAACACTCATGAGTCAGGTTTTCAATTTAAACCTAAAAAAATTAAAAGCTGTATCTGCTTCCTTCCAATGACACCTACCTTACCCTACCAAAAAAGGGAGATGGGGAAGTCCACAGGCTAAATTGCAAGAAAAGACATGAGAAAAACTTCAGGCAAAGTAAACACTGCAAAGTTTGTCTGTGTATTTCAGCAGGGATGGAAGAGAAAACATAAAATGCCCTGTTGGTCTATTTTAACTCACCACTCAGAATCTGCTGCACTGCTTCATTGCCCATCTGTGCTGCTGTGAAGCCTTGTAAGGAGATGATGGAGGGGTCAGAGCCGTAACTCAGCAGGAGGCGGCAGGTCTGCAGGTGGCCTGCTAGGGCGGCTCTATGCAAAGCAGTCTGACCAAGGGTGTCCAGTGCATTCATCTGAAAAATCATTGCGTGGGCACATGGAATTGAGCATCTTGTTTAGTTTCCTTTTATACCTTAGAAAATACATTCTTATTAAAAAAAAAATCAACTTTCAAAGCTTTTAAAAAGTCTCATAGATATTGATTATAAACTTTTGCTCACTGATTCTGAAGAACTATCTTCTTTTTAGTTACCCTTCTCTGATCACCTTACTGAAAATTACAACATACCCTTTCTTCCCGGAATGACCATTTTCCTGACCATTTCCCATTTCTGCTACTCCCTTCGACGACTAGACTGGTCTATGGAGGCAGCAACTCTGGTCTGGTATTTACTGCTTGCCACAATGAGGATGCTCACCAAATTCTTCTGAATGAATGGATTTTTACCAAACTTTTCCCCAGAATATAAAGACAACAGCATATGTAAGCAAAGACTGTCAAAGTAGTTGATTATATTTCTTTTCTAATTTAGGTAATATAGCTAATTATAATATCTTAATTGAATTACAAGCATATTTAAGCAAAAAAAAGATTTGAGGATTCAAACATTCCTTTTTAAAGCTTTGAAGAGTTATTATACACAGGAAGAAGAATCATTTAGCTAGTTGTGAGACTGCTTAAGACAATGTGAAACACTGGCATCATGTTCTTAATCTGGTCAAACCTGACTCATCTTATCTTCCAGCAGATCCCAATCAGCACCCTCTACTCCAGTCAGACCCAAGTCCACGTTCATTGTGCTTGCTGCTCTTTTCAGAGAAACCCTTCTTTCTGCCTTTATGGCTCCTGAGATCCAGTGTAAATAAGTCTCCTCATCTCCAAGAAGTCTTCCTTGATTTCTTGAAGACTTTGATTACTCCTTTTCTGAACATCTATGTCAATTTAGCACTTAACTGTCTTATAAAATATAATACTGGGGTAATTTTTGTTTATTGAGTTAAACTAAGGTTATTGAGAATATGAGTGCATGTTACACACAGACTTTCTGGGTCCTCTAGAAAGCTCCTGCTAAAGGTACACAGTAAATTCTCAATTATATGCTGGTTGATTATTGAAAATATTTGTGTACACCCACTAAATACAAGATTAAGAAAAGAAAGGATAAAAGACAACTAGTCTCCCTGTCGCCAGTCTTTTATCATTACCAGTAAGGCTGTTGTACTTACTCAGGAAAGGGTTCATACAAATTCTTGATGGTCTTTCACAAAACTCCCATGAAATAGTAACATATTTAACTCTATCACATTTGCCAGAAGAAAAATGACTGCTGATACATACCAACAAAAAAGCACAGCCATTAGCATGTATCAATGGATAACACAAGCTACCAAACTAACTTGAATTTTGATTTCTTTGTTACTTCTTCAGCACAAAAGAAAAATCTAAAATTGTGAACATTCTAATCATTAACATTTTTCTGGAAACTGGGTAAGAAACATACTAACTTATTCTATTATAGTAATGGGAACTCCCAATCCAACTTATTGAAGCATGGGAACATGATTTGATGTCACTAAAAAATACTTAACATTCAGCACTAAAGTGATTATTTTCACCAGGTTACAGAAACTGTCTCAAATAAAGAGACTCCTACATTTAATGTTACCCCTCAACTGTGGTAATTAAATGCTTAAGACTGGCTTGACCTATCCATTCAGGAGTCAGAATAATAGATGTCTGGCAGTTTTAGAGGTAAAACATATTCCCACTTTTCCTTGTATCTAGAGATTGCAACCTTAGTGTACGTATTTTCATTTCTACCTGAGTAGCAAAAATGACTTTACAGAAGATGAATAACTCAGTAAAACTATATAAAATCACAATGACACTTGGCCCGAAATATTTAGGACATGAAATTATGATTCAAAAAATGCCAAAACAGTTCTGGAAACCGGCAAGCAGACCACAAGGAAATGGCTGAGGGGAATCCTTCAATATTCTACTCAGTGTGAACAGCCTAGTCTCAGACAGCTAATCCTGAGGCCACTTCTCCTAAACTTAAAGCTATCATTGTCTACATCACTCATTTGGTAATTAATCACAAACTGTTCTGTGACATCCGTACTTAACACCTTTAACTGTGAACATGTGTTTGCCTCAACCTAAAAGCTGATTTCAAGTAAGCCGAGAGTTGAAAACAGTCTGTACTCTTTAGCTAGAGTGACACTGCATATTTTTTCTCAAACCATAACAAATTGAAAGTCAACAATTAAAAAAATTAACAGGCATTAATATATCTATGATAGAAGAACAAATGATAGGTTCTCCAAGTATTATGAGAACAAAGTTTAAACTCTCCAATTGACAATACAAAGATCTTGCTTTTCATTGTTTCCATTTTCTGTACCTTTTGGACTAACTAATCATAACTTCTGACTGTTTAACAAACAAACCCCTTTACTTCCCTGATTTTCAGTCCTTACTGAAAATGTATTGTTTGTATTTTGCCTGTATATATCTATATATTTGATTCCTGAACATTCCTAGCTGAAATTCTATTTTCTTCATGAGATTTCTCCAATCTCTTCCCCAGGCTGCCACCACCAACAGAAATAACTGTTTATTCCTCAGAATATAAATCCATCTATACTTCTCTTATTATATATACTACTTTCCAGTTCATATAGTAGTCAAGTAGACTGTGTTAGACAATTAGATTTTAAGTTCCTTAAGAGAAGGATCTTGATCAAATTCAAACTTTATACATCCTCTCAGCAGTAAGTACCATGCCTTGTATAAACAGATATTTGAAAATGGTTGGTAAGTGAATGACTCACAAGAGCAACAAACTAATAAATTCTGGTGATAAAAAATACTACTTTTGACATACTGTTCTGTATATTGAACAAACATTAGGAACTACTAAAATGTTCGCTATCTAACCAAAATGCATTCCTCTTTCCCTGGAAATTGAGGGAGAAGGGTAAATGCCAGTGTTTATAGAATTGCTTAATATTGAAAATGAATTTGCTTTATCTGTAATCAAAATATAATTTAAATTGATTCTAATGTTTTTACAGGTGTTTTACAAGTATTCATCATTATCCTTGGTGGTATGCATAGTTAAAGCACTTCCTATGAGGAATGAAAGAGACAAATGAACACAATTTTTCAATAGAATACTGACATAGTAATCAATATTTTACTTGAAATGTTTTTTAATCCTTTAATGTGTTGTGAACTCACTACAGAGTACGGAACTGGATTTCTATTTGCTAGCTGAACTTGAGTGTGCTATCTGTAAAGATTCCTGTGGAAATTTAAAAGAAACAATCAAATTCCCTGAAAATATATATATATATATATATATATATATATATATAATAATACAACAGATTATCTTTGGTGGTTTCAAGGGGTACTAATCTTGCTCACGTGCCTTAAGAAATAACAAACTGAGCAAAAGTGATTATAGACTAGAGGGTGCCAATCCAATGAATGCTCGTACTCAACAAGCGAGTCTTATTTATAATTCTCCCTTTTTCATCCCAGAGACGGGACAGACCCTATCAGCTGCAGGTGGTATACTTCTAAGCCAAGGACACATAAAGTATGGGTTGTAAAAGACCACATTTAGGCCATAGAGAAATAATACAGAAAAATCCAGTCTGCAGAAAGAAGAATGAAGCAGATGAACAAACACTGGCAGAGAAAAGAAACCTCAGAGAAAGAGAAAGAGAGAGAAAGACAGGGAGCGACGGAGACACAGAAGAGGGGAAAGAGGGAAGCAGGGAGGGAGAGACATAGAGAACGGCAGCCAAAGTACCTGATAGTTTCTAAATTCCTTGTTCTGGTCTTTTGTGAATCTCAGCTACAATTCTTACACATATTTCTGGGAGATAACCATACGGGTTTCTCACAGAAGTAATAAACACATTTGCATTAATATACATTTATATTAGTATAAAATATATTTCCATTTGTGTTTAATCTAGATTGAGTTGGTTTCTTACTGAGAACTAAAATGTCTCTGGGACACTTGCCCCTTTGGACTTTATTTTGGTATGATCAAACCTCAGATATTATTTACACTGTAAAAGATACTTTAGAGCTATAGTATCTTTAAAAGTACTTTAACATCTTTGCGCTAACAATCTACTTATCAATCTACCTCTAGAAAAGCATTAATAAAACTCTTATAATGGGCTGACACATTTCCCCAAGTGAGCAAAGACTCGTGATCGCTTCTAAATGTGAGAAATAAGCCTATTAAATGTCAATTATTATGTCACAATATCTTCTTAAACACAATGTAAATAAATCTGTCAAATTAAGACATATGAATATGAACTGTCAAAAAAATTCCTTCATGTTTCACGTATTTAACAGATGCACATAATGACAAAATAGCTATGCTTTATATATGAAGAAATGCATTTATGAATTAAACTTCTTGAATACCATATGCAGTTGGGGCGTAAGTTTTCTTAATAATGAGAGCAGACAATTCATTACTGACAGAATGCAGAATGCCAGGGCAGACTAACCATAATAAAGAAAAAATTGCCACATGAAGGATAAAGTCTTCATGTCTTTCCTATTTAGACTTTATAGTACTCCCAAAAAGCAGGGGATAATAAATTATTGATTTTTTTTAAGGAACAAAAGTTTACTCCTAGTTAATGAGGATTTTTCAAATGAATTGGGTAATGCTCCAATGTTCTTGTAACTCTCCTTACTAGCAATTTGTTTTCTAATCTTTTGCTGAATATTGCCCTTATTCCCCTCTAGAGCCACAGCCATCCTCCACTTTGCTCTGGGTCCTGAGAAAATCACTTGTATGAACCACATCAACAGACTCTTTTGGTCTTCACTGTTTTGTTGAATTTGGTCACGGGCACTGGGAGGAGATGGGGGGTACTGGGAGGAGATAGAGGACAGCAGGACAATGAAGAGTAACATTAGATACATCCTTTGATCAAAGGCTACAGGTGGTACCAGGTGGCCTTTTCCATACAGCTACCATCTTCCAGCACCAAGAACCTCTCCTTTGCCTTGTCCCTTCAGACCAGAGATGATCATACCCCCTCCTCTGCTGCTAGTACAACCTCTTTCCTTGCTACTTTCCTTGAACCTTGCCCACGTTTCTATACAGTTCCTTTATTAAACTTTCATCAAATTACCCACTTTAAGTGTGCCATTTATTGCGAAGACCCTAACTGAGATATATCTCTGCTTCTATCTCCTTAGAATCTCTCCTTCAAAAACTACCAAAGCCCTCATACAAAAACGGTCTAAGTAATGCCCCAGTCTGCCTTGATTTCTCTCAGTGGCACTGGTCACCTGCTCCTTCTTCATACTCCTCCTGTACTCTGTAGACACTGTGATAGAACTTCCAGCTTTCTCTTCCCACCACCGCTCTATAAACATGGGCAATCCTCAAAGGATCTTTCCTTAACTCCCTTCTTTCCATGCTTTCTCTACCAGGGACCGTACTTGCTCCTAAAATGTAGAATCACTATGTGAATTCTCAGTAGATCTTTCTAATCTTAAACTCTTTTATACTCTGATGCTGTCTTTCCAACTGCTGGTTTTATTAAATGTCTTTCTGTAATATCAACTTCAAGTAGAAAATCATTATCAAGGCGTAGGAAACCAGTGTTTCTCTGTAGCTTTCTTACTTCCATTAATTGCACCACCATTTTCTAAGTCCACTCTAACACCCAATTCATTTCCAGGTAATATAATTACTCCTTCATAAGTGGCTTTTATCTTCCTCTTCCTTCTTCATTACTAATGCTGCTAAATTGATTCAGGACTGAGGTCAAGTTTGGTAACTGCATTAACTTTCAAACTGGTATTTTCCACAGTATCTACTACAGTCTTGATTATTTTGCATGCCAATATTTATGGAGTTAGTGGATCAAACCCAATTATAAAGGGATTAGATATGTGTCTTATAAAATTTAGATAATTAAAGGGAAATACATAGTACATACACATTTGAAAAGACAAATGTGGGAAAAAAGGCTCATATTCACAAATAACCAAAACATTATCTGTGTGTTAAGCACTATACTACATATTTATATACATATGCTCATTTGATTAAAAAAAAAAAAGCCTGTAGGGCGGTTGCTTCACATATCACTGATTAGTCAACTGAGACTCAGGGAAATTTAGCCCAAGGTCACAAAACTAGAAAGTGGAGGATTCTAAACTCAAAAGCATGCCTGTCTAGGTTATATATGGCGTACATTTAGTTTAACATTAACAGCAAACCTCAAGTTTGTATGTATTACCAGGTTTTGGGCAAAAGAATGTTTTGGCTTATAAAAATATCACTAAGTTCTGTCAAAGTAAGGCAAATTACTTAATGATAATTAGGTCTTCATCCCAAATTCTTCTGCCTTTGCCTGAGAAATTGATTCATCAAGAGTAGGGGAAGGCAGCAGGGTGCTAGAAGCAGTGGAAGAGGGCTGAATCCTAATTAAAAACTGGTGCTGCTTGTTCAGAAGGTGTGTTCAGAATCAAATGGAAACCATGAGTTGCCTGAAAATCATACAGAAACCATGAGTTCCTCAGAAAGAAATACTACACAAGAAAAAATGGGAGCCCAACAATAGCTAAGTGAGTTTCTTACAGGGAGTTTTTTACAACACATTAATCACCAGATACACCAACCATGAGGAACAGCATCCTGCCTTGGGATGGGGTAAATAGGAGTTGCTACGGCATTTGATATCTACTGATAGCAATTGATATCTATGGGTTCATAACTCTGATTAAATATAACTCTCCTCTTTTTTAAGTGCCTACTAGCAAGCGTTATCAATGTAGATGAACTACAGTGGAAAGACTAGGATGAACACAAAAGTCTAGAAGTTCTTCTAAGTCATTGACAGGGCTAGTAATGAACTAAGATGTTACTGATGAAAATGTATTGTGCACATAAAGGGCAAATAAAGAGTGAGAACCACAGACCTAGAGAAAGGCTGACTAGAACAAGTCATAATGTTATTTTCCATTGAACCTTTATAAACTAAAATGCCTGATGGGAGACAATAAATAGATACTATTTTCCCAAAATGAAGGGCATTATTCCTAATTTTTCAAGAGCATTATAAATGTCATTAGATATTTGCAAAAACGGGTCAAAGATAAATGTACAAAGCTCCTAAGTGTAGCAGAAATGTCACTTAGCTTAGTGTTTTCTGCTTGAAAGAGCAACAAGATGCTACTTATATAATAATGCAGTAGTTGTACCTACAAAATAGGTAATACATCTGTAGAACTCTGTTCCCTTTTATTCCACTTTGTCTTCATTTCATAAATTAAAAACATAAAGTGCCATTTTAAGGCAGTGATATCCAAATTTTTAAATCACACACCCTCCAGGTAGAAAAGTTTTGAGAACACTTAATATATATATATGAATTTCTTTGTAAATTATAACCAAGAAGTGCTACACTATTATAAAACTTACACAAAGAGAATTTATGAAGGATGAGAAAGAGATGAAATAATTAAAAATTTAAAAAGATTTCATGATTATTATTTTCTGAGATAGAGTACTGCTCTGTCACCCAGGCTACAGTGTAGTGGCATGATTACAGCTCACTACAGCCTCGACCTCTTGGGCTCAAGTGATTTTCCCACCTCAGCCTCCCGAGTAGCTGGGACTACAGGAATGCACCACCACATCTGGCTATTTTTTTTTATTATTTGTAGAGACGGGGTTGGCCTGTGTTGCCCAGCTGATCTCAAAATCCTGGGCTCAAGCGATCCTCCCACCTCAGTCTCCCAAAGTGCTGGGATTAAGGCATAGGCTATGGTACCTGTCCAAAACATATTTTAATTACTTATGCTAGAAAATATCCATTGACTGTAGTTTAAACATTTAAAAAAACTTATAAAAATTGTGATATTAGGAATTTGAGGGTTTAATTTTAGGTTCATTTCATTTTTCTTTAGAGACAGAGTCTTGCTCTGTTGCCCAGGCTGCAGTACAGTGGTATGATCATACCTCACTGCAGCCTCAAACTCCTGGGATCAAGTGATCTTCCTGCCTCAGCCTCCCGAGTCGCTAGGACTATAGGTGCACACCACCACGACTGGCTAATTTTTAAATTTTTTGTAGAGATAGTGTCTTGCTGTGTTGCCCAGGCTGGTGTCGAACTCCTGGCCTCAAGCAATCCTTCTGCCTTTGCCTCCTAAAGCTCTGGGATTACAGGAGTGATTACGGGCCACTACACGTGGCTCTAAGTTCATTTTTGATAATTAGTTTGAATGGCTATATTAGTTGCAAAGATTTCATACAGATTCATGGAGCCAATGAAATAAATGCATTGTTAACTATGCCTACTCAATCAGAATGCCTAATTTTAATGTAATTTACTAATTATGCTAAGGCTTTCATTGAAATTCTGTAGTAAAATTCCATCTTTACTGATGTTCTTGCGAAGTTATTAGGAAGTGCTGCATTACAATGTTTTGAATAGATTCAAAATCTACCCTAAAACCAAATTAAGGAAGGCTTTTGAACAGGTGAGAAAATTCTGTTTTTATGTGTTTAAATTATGTAGATATGACGGCTGGGTGATTCATTTATATCATTTTTCAGCAAAATCACAGAAAAGTGAACATTTTCTAAAAATCTATGTTCAAAACGTTCTCTTCATTTTTTAAAGTTTCTTTTAAAAAAGCAGTTATTTTATCATTTACCTAAAGTGTGTAACTTTTACCTTTAAGGATCTGATTATGTTTCCTTTTTAAAGGGTATCTACATGCAAGTCATGGTCATTTGTCCTCAGAGAACTATTAACAAATTTTGAACCCTTTTATTTTCATTAAAAAGAACACAACTATGACAACACCTTAAAATACTACTTCACAAAATAACCAGACCACCTTTTTACGCTATAAAAGCATGTCAGGGTCACTCCCTGTGTCCCTTGTCAGGGTCACTACTCTGATCAAGTATGATATTTATAAAAGTTCTACCATTTAGGATAATATCCATAAATTCAACTCATTTGGACACAAGTAAAGTCCACTATGCCAAAATATGCTGAAAGGGAACAAACAAGTGAGTTTGCCACTGTCAATCCCTCGATACTAACAAGTCCCACTCTTACCTCAGGAAACCTTGACATCACGAGTCACAATGGCTGACACGTGGACCTAGTGAGAGTGCTGGCATCATCTTTGTATTCAATATTGGTAAATCTGAATTTCCTTATTCTTAAATAAAAGTATTATAAATTGAAATGCTAGGATTTTTCCAACAGGGCATCTTGTATGCTCCATAGGGAGTCTATACCCTACTTTGGAGACAACTGCTTTGAAATATACATTCTTGAGAATGAAAAAATCTATAATTTCAAGTCACCTCTAAAAAACAACCAGTTTGCTTCTTTCCTCTCTTAAGTGCTTGACAAAGTTTCAGACTACACCATTCAGAAAATGCCAGTAAAAATTATTAAATATGTCATATTTCTTTAGTGTAGAGGTTGAGAAAATTATTACAAATCTGAAGGCATACAATTTTTTTTTTTGAGACAGATTCTCACTCTGTCTCCCAGGCTGGAGTGTAGTGGCGCAATCTCAGCTCACTGCAAGCTTCGCCTCCCAGGTTCATGCCATTCTCCTGCCTCAGCCTCCTGGGTAGCTGGGACTACAGGCACCCGCCACCACGCCCGGCTAATTTTTTGTATTTTTAGTAGAGACGGGGTTTCACCGTCTTAGCCAGGATGGTCTCCATCTCCTGACCTCGTGATCCACCTGCCTCGGCCTCCCAAAGTGCTGGGATTACAGGCGTGAGCCACTGTGCCTGGCCACAAATGTTTTTTAGAATAAGTAGAGCTATTCTGATGCTATCATTTAACATAATTTATTTTCTGATAAACTGTTATTCAAATGGACACTATCAAAATATATCCGTATAGTATTAACTGAAAATAATGTAAAGATGAAATCTATTTCAAATGACTATAGCTATATTTTGTTGCTTTACAGAAGGGTGACATTAAAGGATCAAGAAACACGGGTAATTATTTTTATTAGAAACAAGATCTAAATCAGCTTTATAGGAGAATCCATGAATTTAAGTACGAACTAATAGTCCTTTATAAAATTAGTTTCTTCAGAAAAATCGGAGAGAGAGAAGCAGTGTTAAGAGCAGCTGGCTGCTCAGTGCTGAGTCTGGCACTCTGCTCAGGTGTGTGCCTCACCTTGGCGCCATGCTTATGCAGAACTTCCATGACATCATTATGGGCTCTTTCGGCTGCAACATGCAGGGGAGTCATGAAACTACAGAAAAGAGGAAAGAAAGAAAAGGTAATTGTCTCTCTTTTATTGCATTTCCTCTTTAGGAACTGAACAACTCCTTCTGCAATTATACTTACTCTTTATTTTTTTCATTAACATTTGCTCCTTTTCTAAGTAACAATTCTGTCACTTGTTTACGTTTGGGATGCAGAGAGGCCACAGCACAGTGCTATAAAGTAAACAAAACCAAGTTAATAAAATACACTTCCATATGTACAGTAGCTCTTGGAATTGAACAGTATCTGCTGACCATTTAAAACATTGTTATCTCAGAGTATCAGAACATATGTATATGTTTTATATCACAGAGATGATCCATATTCTTTCTACGTATAGTGGAAATACAAAACGTAAGCGTTTAAACCAAGGTGAAATTATGCTCTTAAACATTAAGAGAGATCTTATTTCTTTTGGCTTAGCCAATCAATAAATATTCACTATATATTCCATGGAGAGCATCATAATACGTATGCCTCTGCAACGCTACAGAAATCTATAACTAAGTTACTCAATCTTTCATTAGGCCATCAGCCACACAAGTCAGTATTTCTAAGCTCTTCTACAGAGGTACTCCCAGCACTACAGGAGACGTTTATATGCCCAAGGATAAGCAAGAAAATGATAGAACTGAAGCAGTTTAGAGAAAAATATTCTCAGAAATTTTAGGTTTTAACATAATATTTATACAACTTTTTTATTCTGCTTCATTTTAATATTCGTATTAAAATTTAAAAATAAAAAACTACTTTCAACTAAATAAAATGAAAACTCCAAAAAAGTGGGTCAGGTTTATTCTGTGGCTATGAATATCTCCTAGCATAACACCGTGTAGCTTGAATCTATCTCAACCCTAGTTTGAGAGACATGTATTTAAGTGTACATATAGTTAGCCTATTTCAGTTTGGTCAATCCTTTAATGTTGTTTTATGCAGATACTGACAAAGGTTTGATCTTTTGTGTCAAATATACGTAAGAATATTAATTAGGTATATTTAAGGTCTGTGATGCAGGCATCACATATGCTTAAATTCTGAATTTAGGAGCGATCACTAACCACTCTCTAGCTGAGCCTTAATGTGTCAATGACAAAGAAAATAAATAAATCTTTCCGAAAGTGCATTTGAAGAAAAAAAGTGGATAGTTTTAAGAATAATTTGTATAGTATCAAACAAAAAATTCATGATCTTGCCATTTTTCTACCATGAATATAATCAGTTCTTTGAATACAATTGCTCAAAAAGATAATGCAAATATCTAAAAATATACTTTAATCTTCTACAGAAGGAAATCTAGTATTTATCTAGCAAACATAAGAAAAAAAAATTCTATTGAAAAATCATATCTTGTAGTTTATGAAAGCACTGGCCACAAAAGTGGATTTGTTATAATGAGGTGGGGAAGACAAAGGTAAAATAATTTCCAAATTGAGGTTGAGCAAATGTCAATTCTCTCACCCATGAAAAGAATCACCCCCCAAACTAAGTTTAAAAATCAATGCAACCAAAATTAACATGCAAATTCCTGGCATTTCAGATACTAAAGTTACTTTAAGGTTTCTGAAATGAAAATCATATTTTGTGCTTACGTTATTATTATAGACACAGGGAATAGATTAACAATAAAATCTTACCAGTGCTGTTTCATGAGACTGCGGTTGTTTGAAATTAATGATTTCCAGAGCGAGTGTTTTTTTAACTTTAGCTAAGTCTGCTTCTCTGGCTGCTTGTAGTAAAGAATGACCTTTAAATTCATCTGTCAATGAAACAATGGTTGACATAAAAAAAGATGTAAAAATGTATAAAAATCTTCAGCATGATTATAAATAAGTAGGAATATTATTATTTTATGAATTTCTCTATTTTAACAACAGCAGCAATGTGATAATATGATGATAAAAATGCAAAAGATGAGGATGTAGATTAATGTGAAGTATGTATGCTCTGAAATAAGACTGTTTCACACTCTCAGAGTCATAAAGATACACCTATAAAGATACTTATTGCAGCAAAATTTTGAAACAGGAAACCTAAATGTCCACCAAAAGGAAACCAGTTAAATAATTTGTGTGCACATATGCTGTAACACTTTCTAGCTCTTAAACAAGAGATAGGTCTACATACACTGACATGAAAGTATACAGTGGTACATGAAAATTCAAAAAAGAAAGGACAGGCTGATGCATTATTTTTGGTATTGTCACTACTCTTGCTACTACTATTGCCACCATAAGTACACCATAATTAATGGTATAGAAAACATTTACAGAAATATTTACCAAAATATCAATGGTGATTAGGTCTTGACACAGAAAAGGAAAGGACTAAAATATGGGAGAAATGCAGAGCTTGAAAATTTTTCAAAGAACAATTAATAGCTTATTATTTTCATAACCAGGTGAGAGATTTTTTGAAAAGCTGTATCTAAATTAATTGCATGAATGAGAATCCAATATTTTTATATCTTTAACTATGCTAAAACAAAAAGTTTATTTAAAAAACATTTGCATGTATATATTGGTAATATATTCAGAAGATGACCTCAACCTAATTATTTTTAAAATCTCACTTAAATATGGGAAAGTGATTATACTTGGGTCATAACACACATGACAAATAAAAATATGATTGTGCAGCCTTGCAGGGCTCGGGAAATGGGGAGGGCTCAATAATGCTAGATACCTGTCACTGTCAATGGCACAAGAACGTAAGCCCGTAAGAGGTTTCAATAATGCTAGATACCTATCACTGTCAATAGCACAAGAATGTAAGCCCCAGAAGCTCAGAGCTTTTTAATGGTTTGTACACTGCTATATTTCTAGTGCCTGCCACATTGCAAGTATCCAAGAAATGGATGCTGATTGACTCATCCTCATTAGCCTTCAAAAAACCAAAAAAGGAGCTTCAACATACGAATTAAAACTAGGCTCGAATAAATACAATATATACAAAAAGTGTCTGTATATAACATTCCCATGGAATTCATGAAGAAAAGTATACAATTAGAAATGAGGATTATGAATTAGTCTGCTTGTAGGAATGGAAGGTTATTATTTAAGGTAGATAAAACTCAACAGAAATTAAATATTCCAATTTATGCGATAATGATTTCGGGATATAAATACGTACAAGTCAATCTCTCCCTAAGCTCCGGAGTTGGAGCCATATCCACAGCACTTTTGCCATGGCAGTTGACTAACGTAGGATCAGCGCCATGGCTAAGTAACAAAGAGCAGACTTCTACACGGTTCTTGGAAGCAGCCTCGTGCAGTGGAGTAAACTGCCAGAGATCCATGGCATTAACACAAGCTCCATGCTGAATTGAGAAAAAAAACATTTTAGGTCAGTAATCATTTTGCTGGATCAAATAAAACTCAAAAGACATTTATTTCTTTGTAAATTTCAGTTATAACTTGTTCAAATAAGTGTTTTAATTTCTTCAATATCACCTTTCAAAAACAGCTGAAATTAAATTCAATGTTTTAAAAATTTTAAGGCAATGGTAATATGTTTAAAAACGTATTTTATTCTCTTAAAATCTAAAAAAACAAGACTGGGCAACATGGCAAAACCTCGTCTCTACAAAAAACATAAAAATTAGCTGTGCGTGGTGGCACACCCCTGTAATCCCAGCTACTGGGGAGGCTGAGGGGGAGGATCACTTGAACTTGGGAGGTTGAGGCTGCAGTGAGCTGTGAATGTGCCACTGCACTCCAGCCTGGGTGACAGGGCAAGACCCTGTCTCAAAACAAACAAACAAAAAACCCCAAAGAACTAAACAAACTTTCATGAGGCCGAAAGTATGGAAAGTCATGACAAGGTAAAGAAAAAAAAAAAAGTAAATGATGCTCAATATTCTGAATTTCTCTTACCTTTAGTAGCAGTTCTGTGACTTCATAATGTCCATATGAACATGCATTATGAAGAGGCACAAGTCCACTAAATGAAAAGAGGCAAATTAAAATACTTAAATTTCAAACAACTTATTTATCCATGTCGTACTAAGAAATAAAATCCAATAAATCCCAATACAATTATTTTAAAATATTTAAAAGTATTTAATAAAATAATAAAAGAATTCAAAGCATAGCTTATGTTCACACCTTTTGTATTTATCTTGTTTTTTGTATATAATCCTTGAAGATAATGAAAAAAATACCAAATAGAAGAACATTTTGGCGAAAGGAAGATCATATGCTAATTGACAAATGCATGCATTATATATTAAGTATTTACAAGAAATAAATGTTAATTGGTAGTGAACTGAAATATTCCACCATTTTAATTCACTTTAATGGTAATTTCTAGCAAAATAATCAAATATCCAAACTATTATAACTTGCATATCAAAGTATTCTAAATAAACCAAAAAAACCCTTTTTTTGTGGTGTACATCTCTTGATGACTCACCTATTGTACACCCATCTGTTTTCAGACATGCACAAGGAAATAGAGATGTACAAGAGCATCAGGCATTTATGCCCCTATACTACTGGGACACCATTCACATATGGCACAAAACCTGGTGCAGGCAAGAGAACAGCACCAGAAAAAGCAGATTGGAAATGGAAGAATTCTTCTGGTAAGTGTCTCAAGCATTGAGTTCATTTTTATGTTTCTTGACTTGGGGAGGGACAAAGTGAAAGAAACTCTCCTCTAGGGCATCTCTTCTTTATGCTGTCAGTCACAAGACTGTAACATAATCTACCTTACCTGGGTAGTAGGGTTAATTATCTTTCAGATCTTAAAGTGGGGCAATGAGAAATGTTAGTCCACCACATAGGACAGCAAACCCAATGATCGTATATCTCTGGAGACTTTACAGGAAACTGATACAAAGTTTTCAAAAATGACCTACTGGTAAAATAAATGACATAACTGCTTTTTTAGTTACCACCCATATCCCCTCACATCAACCTTCTAGGTTTTCTCAGTTTAGATGTCCAAGATTTCACCAGAAAAAAAATTTGGTATTGTATACTTATGATTTTGGTTTATCAATAAAGGATGATCCTTTACTATCTGTTGAATCTGATAGCTATGCTACTGGATTTTCATAATTTTCAATTTGTTTTATTTTTCTAAAATGCAATTTAAGAGTTGAAAAACCCTAACTGCAACTGAGACACAATTTCAACTTCAAGTAACAGAACGGTGATAAAATTAAATTGATTTGGGAAATTATTATGAGAAGTATCCTTAATTAAGTAGGTACATGAAAATAAAGCCTCAAACCAGAGTTATGAACATTCTTAAAACGTTATGTAAGCCGTAACAAATGGGACATATGACTTTGTCTAGTGTTTTAAAAGTTTAGAGTATCAGACAAAAAACAAAGCACTGACAGGAAGTAAACTGATAGACCTACCCTTTGTCTTTTGCATGAACATCAGCACCATGCTGAAGAAGAAGCTGAACTATTCGAACTCTGTTGTAGCCCGCTGCTAGATGTAAAGGAGTCGACTAGAAAAGAAAAACATCCCCTTTTCAGGTAAAAACAAACAAACAAAGAAAATCCTTGCTTTGCCATTTCAGATTTAAACACAATGAAAGTTGACACAAAAATACTGCGCTGAAATGTCAAAAATTCACATTTCATAACTTAAGGAGAGATAATTTACTGCCCTCAGGAGTCAATACTAACTTTAGTGCCATCCACCTATTTCACTTACTTGTTTTTTTAAGGCCATCAGTAATCAAACCTTACCCTACCTATTCTACATGATTTCCTATTTCTTTCCAACATGAAACATTCTCACTGTTCTGAGAAGACACACCAGGGCTCATGTTTCCTATAATTGGAAACATTCTTCCTTATCCTACTTAAATCCTGTCCTCCTTTCAATTTCTAACCTTCAAATCCCAATTCTACCATAAAACTTTATCTAAAGATCTAGCTCTCAAAATTTCTTTAATAGGAAAGATTGAAAAACATCCCTAAAGAACAATTTGAACAAACTTTAATGGAAACAAAAAGGACAATGGGCCTTATTCATTCTGTACGGCGGCTAGTAATGGTCAAAACTAATTTGCTACACTGGGTGCAATGATGTATACCAAGGTAGCATTTAATTCTTCCATTTTATGTACCACATACACAGTGTAAAGACAAGAGAGGAATACAGTTTCTTCCCAGCTAATTTCTGCCACATTGTAATTTGAGTCAAGTTATTAGAAGGTTCTCTACTAAAATTTAGTATGGTAATTAAAATAATCAAACTTCTCACCTTTTAAGAATCAGAAATAACTTCACTTTAATTAAAAACTTCTCTGCAACCATAGCAATTTTCCACCTTTGCTAATTTAAAGTTTAAATACCATAACGGGTTTTTCATACAGGCTTTAATATACTTTAATGCATTCCCTTTCATTTTTCCTGTCTTCTATTTGGGGTCTTGAGATTTAATAAGATTTTTAATTTATTTGCTTCACCTATTCCAGATGTGAAGATACAAAAGAAGTACTAAACACTGTACTACTATTGCTTTTGAGATATTTCATACATTTTACATATTCTGTCAGTCTCTAAGTTTAGAAAATATTTTGAGCAATGCACAGCTATCAACGAGGAGACCATTCAGATTAGAAGAGTCCTGAACAGGAAGTCAGGAAACCTGACTACATTCCTGGAACTTATTATGCAACCCAGTGGAAGTCATGCTACTCGTGTGTCTCAGCTTCTTCATGTATAAAATGGAGATAAAATCACTCATCCTCGCTATCTGAAAAACCTGTGAAAATACAGTACAATTTCACTTACCTGTGGTTAATTTTAGTCTGAAAATATTACTTGTGGAATTCCAGAAACAAACAATTGATAAGTTTTAAGCTGAGCACTATTCTAAGTAGCCTGATGAAATCTGCCCACTTTGTGCCACCTTGGATGGGAATCATCCCTTCCTCCAGCATATCCACACTGAAGATGCTACAAATTAAGTAGCCATCTCAGTTATGAGATCAAAAAACCATATATAGGGTTTGGTACTATCCGAGGCTTCAGGCATCTACCGGGCTCCTGAAACGTTATCTCCCGAGGATAAGGGAAAACTACTGTAAAGTTTTCACCCATACAGAAACACATTTTTGTTTCTTTTTTGTTTGTTTGTTTTTTGGATGGAATCTCACTCTGTTGCCCAGGCTGGAGTGCAGTCGCTTGATCTCGGCTCACTGCCACCTCCGCCTCCCGGGTTCAAGTGATTCTCCTGTCTCAGCCTCCCGAGTATTTGGGATTACAGGCGCGCACCACCATACCCAGCTAATTTTTGTATTTTCACTTGAGCTGAGGTTTCACCATGTTGGCCAGACTTGTCTGGAACTCCTGACCTCAAGTGATCCACCCGCCTCCACCTCCCAAAATGCTGGGATTACAGGCGTGAGCCACTGTGCTTTTTTAAAATGTAAAATGCCATGTAAAAATAGGCAACTAAAATTTTTTATCATCAAACATGTCCAGCTAAGTTTCTGCTCTGAGATCCATGTCAAATGCTACTGCAAATGATACTGTCAGGGAGTATCAACTTACTTTCAGGACTCTTCACTCTCATTTTAGAAGAATACTTCTGCTGGATAATGAAGTTTAGTTAACTTTTTTCCTTCCTTTAATATTTTAAGAATGTTATACCACTGTCCTCTGTCTTGCTTTGTTTCAAGACTAGAAATCTGTTACCCTTATCTTTGTTCCTTTGTACATGTGTTTTTTCCCCTGTGGATACGCTAATATTTCCTCTACATTAATATTTCACTGACTTAAAGCAATTTGATTATGATGTGCCTTGGTATAGTTTTCTTCGTGTGTGTGTGTGTGTGTGTGTGTGCACGCACACGCATGCATGCCCACAATTGGAGCTTGCAGTGCTTCTTAGACCTATATAGTTTTCACTAAATTTGGAAAATTTTTAGCTATGATTTCATCAAATATTTTTTCTGCTCCCTCTCCTATTACTCTCACTAGGGAATTATTCCCACTAGGGACTTCAATTACACAAATATTAGGTTAATTTCAAAGCTTGCTTCTAGGCTTTGGTAGGCAGGGCCAGAGCAGCCTTTAGTGTAGGACAGATTTTCCCCTACTACTGAGGCATTGTCCTTTGATGACACCCAGTGAATTATGAGGGCTTTTTACTATGGCTGGTGGCAACAGAAACTATTACAGACTCTGTGTGAGTTCCTAGGCTTGTTACCTCTCATCTTTCCGTGTGGTTCTTTTACTAGCCTCAAGCAGTTTCCTCACCCATGTGTTACTCAGTACTTATCTGAACACTGTAAGGGGCCCCTGTGTGTATCTCCCTTTCCTGGCCCACTGCCTTGCTAACTCCTTCCACCTTAGTCTCCCCAAACTCCCAATTTCATCTCCTCAACTCAGGGAGACCATCAGGTTCCTCCTGGTTTTCCCCTCCTTGTGTTAAGGCCTGGAAATTCTTTGGAGGCGGTAAGTTGGAGTTGTTACCCTCTCTCAGGGATAATTACCATGTACTGCCTGATGCTCAATGTCTGAAAACCACTGTTTCATACATTTTGTCTATTTTTCTCAGAGTTTCAGGAAGCAAGGTAAATCTAGTCCCTCTTATTCTATCTTGGATTCTTTCATGACTGAATTGGACTTTTCATTGCAGTTTGAAAACTTCCTCCACAGACAAGGACTGCTTTGGAGGACTGGTCAGTAAGTCAGCAAGCTAGTATAGCACATAGCTAATATTTAATATTACATAAAAAGGGTCACATCTTTCTTGCTTATGAACAAAAAGATGCTCCATTTTCGTATTATCTTTTACACAACTTTCTTTGTATAAAGTTCATTCAGTAACTTTTATTTCTTATTCCTGAAAATGAACAAAAGTTCTCAAATGAATGAATGCATATGAAAACCTACAGTTTATTTAAAAGGGCAGGTCGGGCATGGTGGCTCACGCCTGTAATCCCAGCACTTTGGGAGGCTGAGGCGGGCGGATCACGAAGTCAGGAGATCGAGACCATCCTGGCTAACACGATGAAACCCTGTGTGTCTCTACTAAAAATACAAAAAATTAGCCAGGTGTGGTGGCGGGCACCTGTAGTCCCAGCGACTTGGGAGGCTGAGGCAGGAGAATGGTATGAACACAGGAGGCAGAGCTTGCAGTGAGCAGAGATGGGGCCACTGCACTGCAGCCTGGGCGACAAAGCAAGACTCCGTCTCAAAAAAAAAAAAAGGGGGGCAAAACATAAGAAAAATTTAACTAGTTTTCAGATTTTAAAAAATCATTTAATTGTAAGATTTACAATGCTTTGAAAACAGTAATATATTTAGTTTTTAAACTACTGAAATTTATATAACTCAAATAAATTAGCAGGCTCTGTAATTAAGGTAGAAAGTGACAGGAAGTCGGTGAAAAAATGGAGTTGAAGGGTGAGTTTTCAAAAACTATTAGGAAGCAGAATTGATAGCCTCTGAGAAATGACTGATCTAGCTAGTGAGAGATAGAGTAGTTTCCAGGTTGGAAATGCCAATGACAGAAGAACAACAGAAAAAAAAAAGAAGGGAGTGGAAGGGAAAGGAGAGCCCAGAGGGAAATAATGTGAGGTCTGGGTTTACTGAATTTAAAGTGCCTAGATGATACCCCAGTGGTAATGTCAGAGAGAGAGACTTACACGTATGGCACTAGAATTCAGAAGAGGTTAAGGCTAAAACAAAAATCTGGTCATCACTAGCATTCACCTAAAATATGTGAATTTCTACCACGTATCTGACACCACGTTAAGTGCTAGGGATAGCAATGAAAACAAGGAAAGCGAAATCAGTATTTTGAGCTTATGGATCTTCTTCTTTCTCAAAATCACACCAAGTTTGATTCTCTAAAGGAAATGCATATAAATGAATTCTTTATTCAGAAGGACAAAAGATGAGGAAACAGAAGTCTACATTTTAAGGAGTCAAGTCACTAGAGAAAGCAGGCAATACAATATAAATGCTGTGGATGTGGACAAATCCCATGGAAGGGGAGTTCAGGACACCCGGGAAGGCTGGAGGATGCTGGTCTAAACCACTCTAGAGGCAAGCAGAGGGAAACGGGGCCAGGGAAGATTCTCAGAAGAAACGCTTTCTGAGCTGAGACTTTGGATAAACAGAATCACTGAGGCAAAAGAATAAGAAACTATTCCAGGTTGTGTGAAGAATCCATGTTAATATTCAGTGGACAAGGTATATTTGAGAAACTTAAGAAAAATTCAGTGGCTAAGTGTAGTGTATGAGACTGGGGAGAGCCTAAGAATAATGAGAAATCACTGAAAGACTTGAAGCAGAAAATTACTTAAGATTAGAGTCTTGGAAAGATCACTTTAGTTACTAAGTGGAGAATAAAGCTGAAGAGAGAGAGCAAACTCTATGGCAGGAAGGCCTGAACAGAAGGGTACAGGACTAATCCAAGAGAGAAATGATGACGCTGTCAGCAAAGTGGCAGCAGCATCTAAGTAGGAGTAGCTGAGCTATGAGAGTGGTGAATTCACAAGAAGGGTGAGTGCAGAACAAGCTGGGTGAGACTTTCCAAGTCATCATTCCCATGTGAATGCTAATCCTGCAACTTATATAGCATCACTAGAAGGCACATAGAAATAAATAAAATGCATGCAATAAATTTGAGAAAATGGCAGACTGCAAAGAGAAAAAGAACAGACAAATTGAGAAAAAAAAGGATGATTTGCGCAAACTCCATGCCACTAAAAGCCCTGAGGTTTTTCAAACTTTGGGAAAAAAGAAATTTACAACTGCTATTTACCAAATGCTGTCTCCTGATCCAAAGCAAAAAAATCACATACCCTAGGACTAAACCTAGTGAATGGTTACCACATAGTGCCAAATTTATATCTCAACTGCCAAATGGCAAAGCAATGGTAAAAGTAATTTTCTAATTGCTAGGATAATTAACAGAGTATCATTTGTTTTAGATAAATAAGGCAGCCCCATTTCTAAAATACACATGTTGCTACGTAATTTGATGATGGTTGTAAACTAGTAAACACAAGCATCAAACATTTAGGACATCCACATACACAGCACAGCAATCACTGCCAGTTTCTACACCTCTGATTTATTCTAAAAACAGACGTTTCTGTTAGGATCATTTTAAAAGACAAACATGTAAAGTAAATTATGGAACAGATGCAAATACAAAAGCTATCTAAATATTATTCTGCTGTAAGATAAATCTTATCACTGATATCTTCATATCATAAAATGTTAACAGAAAAAAAGGTCTTAAGGAAGTCCTATAAATTAAAGATGTCTTCTTGGATTCAGGCTATAAGAAAAAACAAACTTGCATTTGTCTATCTTTGCCTTTTATCATATAGATTTGCGGTGCAGTATAAAGCATTTAAGGTAGTTTTAATTTTTCCTATACAACCATGCATGTAAGGCATAGCTAAAATAGTGACAACTGATAAGCCTTTTGCAAAGCTGTGGCTTCAACGTAAGTCCAGGAAGCATGGCATGCAAAAATGAATAAAGGCTTTTAAATCCTGGTTTTGCATTCCGGCTTTGGAAATTTTACTAGGTATTTGTGTTAATTTATTAACGTCTCTGCGTCCGGGCTTCCAACATCTGTGAAGTGGGAAGTGTAATCCCTATCACACAGGAATGTTTTACAGATTAAAGATAACTGTACAAAGTACATAATACGGTATTTATCACATTGGAAAAACTCAACAAATGATAGTTATTATTTATCATCATCTTATTAAGTTGCTTATATACGTAAGCTTTTTTTTTTTTTTTTTTTTCATTTTAAAATTTAACTTTTAGATACAGGGGGCCATGTGCAGGTTTGTTACATGGGTATACTGCAGTCAAGTAGTGAGCATGGTACCCAATAGGTAGTTTGTTCTTGAACCTGTGCTGC